>NC_000002.12:151732042-152035072 GCF_000001405.40 Homo sapiens
GACTGGTCACTAAAATAATTTTCCAAAGAGAAATTTTGGCACTGCCACCTAAAATTTGGTTCTGGGTAGCTCTTACAGTTAATTTCAGTCTTATTAAAAAGCACAGATTTTCAAAACTGCCTCCAAGTGCCTTAGGCATTTGGAGATTTTCATGTGTTTAGATCATCATCATTAATTGGTAATTATTAAGCACATTCAGATTCATGGCACTGTATTTATGTGCATTATAGTTCCAAGCCTTTAGATTTTATTTCTAGAATGTGAAGCTAAAGGCAAGAGCCGGTGAGGAAAAACCGTAAGATGATAAAAACAAAAGGATGTAAAATAAATATAAAATAAATGATTAACAGCTTTGTAAAATGTGTTAGATGTCCACTAATAATTGGAAGGAAAATTTTCAAGATACCCACTATAGTCTTTGTTCTTATTCAAAATTCAAAAGCAAAAGCTAGTCTTGTTGACTTGGGTAAATATAATGAAGTTGGTAGGAAGGTGTGGCTCCAACAATCGCTGTGACCTTCATGCCTTTATTTATATTTGCTTGTATGTGTGTGTCTGTGCACATGTGTATGTATTATGTATAAAGTCTCACATCTGCATATAATTTCATACATATGATTATTCTGAATATCTAACCCATGTTACCCTATAGATGATTAGCTAGTTGAAGCAAAGAATAAGGAGTAGATCTTTTCTTCTATTGCTATACAGATACTAAGAGACAGAGTTCCATTTTCAGAACTTTCTCTTCGTCTCTGTCCCTTTGAACATCGGGGTTGGGAAGTGGGGAAGAAAGCAGTTTTAGAAGACGAATTAAAACCTGCCTTTACTCCAACTTGGTTTTTTGAGAGCTTAAAGAAAAGCAAAAGTGGGAAACAGTGATATTTCCTGTCAATTCTAAATCCCACATAATTATAGTGAAACTGAACATAAAATATTCCTTTCTTATGCTTTAAATGATGACTCTTTGTGAAGTTATAATAGACAATGTATTTTTCGAATGATTAATTCACCTACACAGCTTTGATTGTCACTACATAAAATAGTTTGCTGTCAGTGTTTTTTTTTTAAATCTTACCTCCACCACCTCCTCATAGTCTTCGTCATCTGCCATTTTTCCAGAGTAGTAGTGGCACCTACAAACTTTTCATATTCCATACAAATGAAAACATATTAGAGTCTATTCCCAGCACAGAAATTATCTTATGACATTATAAAAATAGAATTTGAAGCTAAACTATTGTACAAATTCATATATTGTTGCAGGCTAAAGGAGAGAAGACATTTAAAATACAAGTATAAACAGCAGAAGCTTCAAATTTCTTTCTCTTTATTCCTTCAGTGTTGGGAATTGCTACTTCTACATAATCAGTTTAGTTAAAATTGTAAAACGAAATTGAGGTAAGGAAGTGAGAGAGTTTGGACTCAGGGAACAGAGAATTTAAACTTCCAAACACTTAGAGAAAAGACATTTTCCAGCAAAAATTTTAGTGAAAGGTCAGCTTGGGTTTCAGAAGAAGCTGAAATTTATCCCCCAGCACCAAAATTCTAAGAGGGCTGACTTAGTTTTCCATACTGCCCTGATCCACTGTTTGCAATATATCTTAGGCTTCAAATTGGAACCCATAAAAATACATCTGTCAATAAATTTTAAAAGAAAAAAAGAAACCTCAAGGCAATGGGGTTATTTTCTTCCCGAACACCATTGGCTTATACAGACTTTTTCTTTCGTTTCTGTAGCTCTCGTTCAAACCTGAAAAATAACAAAGTTGTAAAGCATTGATTGAGGTACATATAGGATTGTCAGTCCTTAGCCTAAGCTTCTAATGCAGAAAACAGCGAAAGGATCTCTCAAGGCCTCTACAGTTTGACGCCAGAGAGTAAGACTCTTGATATGAAGTGGATGATGAGTTGGAACAGCTGTCCCTTCATCCAAAGATGTTTGCCATGTAAACCAATACCCTGCAGTGGCTGGTTTTGTTAAGCTAGCGAAACTGCCACTCCTCAGGCAAATGAAGCCCAGTAGAACAGGATAAATATAGGAACGTAGAGCAGCGTATCTTCTTTTTCACACTAATATATTTAGAGAAAAATATCAAAGGCAAAAAAATGTTAGACAAGAGAGCCAATTCAGTCAAGCAATAAATTGGTTAGCAAAGGACTTGACTCTAATCACACACGGTACATAGCAGATATTAGTAGGGCCTTAGTAGGGCAATGGGGTTAAACTCTCCTAGCCATATTTCTACCACTAATTTCCTCAGTTATGGCCCAAACCTTTGAAAAATACTTCGAGGGAAGTTGTGGAGCATCTCCTGAAAGAGTATTACAGAAAAAGTCATAAACTGGCCTTACCTTCAATCTACCAAATAAATTTCCTCAGCAGCAAAGCCTCTCCCAACTCTCCCCTCCTGAGAACCCCAGGCAAAAGCCAGCGTGATGCCTGGGCTCCGAATTATCATGTGGCAAGAGCAACCAATCAGATCTTGAGTTGCTCAAATTTCAGAAGCTAAATTTACCAAGTGATCTTCTGAAAACCACCTGTTCATCAATTCCACTAAAGGATAAAGGGTAACAAATTGCTTGCTTAGAACAATTCAAATGGAATCAAATTTTACCTAACTTCCAGCCTGTGCAGTTCAATTTTAGGTTGAATTTCCCATTTACTGAGGCCCCATTCAATGTCATATTCATGCAAAAGAATTTAGTAGAAAATAAGCATGACTTTGAGAGGCTTTAACCCTTCCGTGACTGCTTTCTTCATGTCATTTGTCCAGTCATGGTGGTAAATGTACTCACTCTGGTAAGGTTCACCAGGTGAGCTACAGGTAAGTTACTGGTGCTAGTGTGAAAGAAACTGAGGAATAAGACCCAGTAAACATCAAGTTGACAAAAGCAATTTTTAAAAATGTGATGAGTGAAGTTAAAGGTGAAAATATTTGACAATGGCACTAAATAAGATATCCACAGGGTGTAATTAGAAAGATTAGACCCCATCATTTTTCTGTTACTAAACCAAGAGGGTATACCAAAATCCTATTTAGCACCTTCTCCCTCCTTAGATAAGGCAAGCTGCTAGGAATACAGAACCTCTCTCATATGTAACCGAGTTAGTGATTTTTCTATTAACTCAGATGACTCCTGGCTCCCAGAAGCAACGTGTGAATGCGGACACAAACAGGCTCAATTTCTGAACAGCAAGAGCAGATAACATGGAAATCAGTAACTTATCAGGAGAAAATAATGCCCTATTTGGCAAATCCGAACGTAAGACATTTCCTTCATAAAAATTATCTAACCATTTTCTTAAAACTTGCCTGATGTCTTTCTTGCACTTTCTTTGCTCCTGAAGTATTTTTTCTAATTTAAAATCTAATTCTATCTGTCTGTCTGTCTGTCCTTACACACAGCGACAGAAATCACAGGCTCTTATGTGACAGAGAACTGCTCTTTCTCTGGGTTGCTCCTGTATTCAGGCAAAACCCTGTGAGTCACCTATATCTTGATATGGATTTGAGATTAAACATATTGTAATATTTTTTCTTTTTTAAGTTAAACATTAGAAAGTAATCTCGCTGGGCGTGGTGGCTCACGCCTGTAATCCCAACACTTTGGGAGGCCGAGGCGGGCAGATTGTCTGAGGCCAGGAGTTTGAGAAAGTAATCTCATATTTCAAATACATGTACCTTTTCCCCCTCCATGATTCACATGGTAGTAAATAAAATCTAACAGAATTTTATCATCTTAACTGATTATACCTGTTCATCTTGTATGTTCTCACAGGTCTTATGACCAAAGGATATTTATGTAATATGAGATCACTCACTTGGTAGCTGCAAACTAGAATTGTGACTTACTAGTCATTACATGCTTTAAAATGTGTTGTTGAATTAAAAAATAATACAGGCCCATACTTTAAAAACATAGAGTACAAAATTATATAAAGTAAAAAATGAGCATTGACCTTCTTAGTCATTTTTAAGTTTCAGATATTTTCAATATAGATATTGACATAAATCGATATACTTAATATGCAATAGACATTTTTATGAAACATCACATAAACATATCCTACTCTAATTTCCACAAATAATTCTATTGATTGGATAGAGTATAATAGTTTAATCATTATTAATGGACATCTAGGTTGTTTCGAGGTTTTTGCTATTACAAAATAAAGCAAAACAATGCGAAACAAAACACACAGTAAGCATCCCTGTACATTACCTTTGTATACTTATATGAAATGTATCTGTAAGGTAAATTTCTAGAAATAGAAATACTGAGGCAGAAGATATATGCACATTTTGAAAATTGATAGATATTGTCAAGTTGCCAGTCAAAATCCTTACACTATTTTATGTTTCACTAACAGAGAATGAGGGTTCCTATGTATACACATCTCAATATCCTTAGGGATTATTAGACTGAAAAATCATTACTATCTGAGCTGAATGTGTCCCCCCAAAATTTATATGTTGAAGTCCTACCCCCCGATGTGTGGAAAGTGATTGGGTCATAAGGGTGGAGCCCTCACGAATGGGATTAGTACACTTATGAAAGAGGCCCCAGAGAGCTGCCTGGCACTCTCTCTGCCATGTGAAGTTACAGGGGGATGATGGCCAGCCACAACCTGAAAGAAAGTCCTCACTAGAACCCAACCATGCCAGCACCCTGATCTTAGACATCCAGCCTCTAGAACTATGAGAAGTAAATTTCTGTTTATAAGCCATCCAGCTTATATTATTTCTGTTATAGCAGACCAAATGGACTAAGACACTCTTTATACATTACTTTTGAAACCACTATGATAGTAAATAGAAGTGCTACAGATGAGCAGAACCTCAAACTCCATTCATAATGAAGTGTGCATCTAAAAAGTTAGGGTGGGGGGTGGGGCAAGAGTGAGTTCACATGAAATTACCCTGGCTTAGATCTCTTGGGATAAATTCCTCCTAAAAGAAAGCCCCAAAGCCCCTGCTAAACTGGCCTGCTGCAGGTTGCCCTAATAATTTGCAAAGCCATCAGAAGTAAGAGACTCACAGGAGAGCTGGTTATATTCCTACCATGGTTACACAGGGGTGAGTGAACCAGCAAGCAGCTTATATTTACCTCCTAGTCACACTAGAGAAAAACACTGCCACCTCCTTACTAAATTCTGCAGATTCTAATCTGGAATGATGCCCTCTAGAGATGAAAGAACAGCTTTATTTTCCTGGCCTATCTATGACCTCTTCTGTGGAACGACAGTACATTGGCACCCTGATTTATTGGTAGGTTCTTATTATATGCCTTGCACATGGTAAGTGTTCAGTAAATGTTAGCTATTATTATTTTTACTATTATCATTTTTTACATTATATTGGAAGCTTCACGCTTTATTCTGTATTTAACTGAAATACCAAATATCTTGAAGCTTCTAAAATCAGACAATAGTTAGTCTAAGAATTTATGAGTACGCAGGCATCTGACTAGAAGCTTGTACAACTGGCTACAAACCAAAGCAGGGCAGTTAGGTGCCAATATCGGAACTTCAGATAAGGCTTCCCTAAATATGAAAATATAGAAGTGTCATGCCTGGAGACCAAAAAAGACATGATAAGGGGAGATGGGATTGTAACAGTTTTTGTTGTCATTACTTTGATTTCAGTATTTTGATCAACCTCTATATGAACATAGCTTAAGAATCAAGCTTAAGTTTCATAAGACTTGCTACTAAATCAACATTTCCTGTTTCCTCTATTCCTTTTTCCCCTCCCTGGAGACATCACTTGGACTCATTTAGCTGAATCTTTTGTTATATTCCTTTACACATTTAACAAAATGTCTACATTGCTCCTTCCTGATTTTTCATTCATAGGCATCATTTATTAAGCTCCTATCCGGGAAGATGAGGCTTTAATTCTCTTTCATCTAAACCACAAGCCTCACCTCCTGCACCTCAATAAAGTTCTACACATATAATTCAGAACTCAATGTTTACATTTTTATGATTAGCAAAAGGCTATTCACAGCTGAACCCTATAAATTATGATTATTTTTCTTTTCCTCTACAAGGGCTTGTTTTTCTGGAAGTTGGTATTTTTCTCCATTTCTTTTATTTTCTTCCTTGGCTTAATTTTTTTCTAGACAAGTGGTGTCTGAGAGAGCTTTCTGCAATAGTTGAAATGTTCTATACCAGCACTGTCCAGTACAGTAGCCACTAGCCCCATGTGGCTATTGAACACTCAAAATGTGGTTAGTGTGACTGCAGAATTGAATTTTTAGACTTTTATTTGACTTAAACTCAAACAGCCACATGTAGCAGGTGGCGATGGTATTGGGCAGAATAATTCTAGACACTTTTAGCACTAACACCTCAAACTTTCTGGCTAAGTCAAGTCTGCTCTTGGTGTTTTCAAAGACATTAAGTAGTGTTCTATAATTCTACCCATTTCCTCTTCTTAGATCTCTCAGGGAGTCTTTTCTTCCAACTGGATCAGTTCCCTGTGCGGCTGGAACTCAGTTCTTTTCTTGAGCCCCCTCCACTGTCTTTCATTCTGGGAATTATCCTCTTCTCTCTTCTGAATTAGATCTTGGGTTTCCTGGATCCCATGTCTTTCTCTTGCTTACCTTTCCTGTTTTGATGGAAAACATCCTCCAGTAGTTTCCTGAGAAAGGATACATATAAGGTATGAACCCAAAAGTATCTGAGACAGGTCTCAATAAATTTAGAAAGTTTATTTTGCAAAAGTTAAGGACGTGCCTGTGATACAACCTCAGGAGGTCCTGATGACATATGCCCAACATTTTTAAAAACTTTTCATCAAAGTATAGTATATACATAGACCTAGACTTTCAGAACTGGAACCAGATGCTCATCCAAAGACTTCTTGGTGGCTTTTGAGCTGCGAGTGTGGGACTGAATGCTGGAGTGTGGGACTTGGGATTTGTTGCTGAGCTTTGGGGCTGGATGTGGCCTGCAGTATATGGCTCCATTCTTCTGGTTCCCTTCATGACTATGGATGTGAATTAGATGAATAAAGGCTTGTGGCAAAAAGACAGTAATGTGGCCCCATGATAATCCCTGCCTCCTGGTGATCATACTTTGGTGAAATCCTGTGCCTGTGCCCTGCTGCTAACCAGTAGAATTTGGTAAACCTGTTGAGATGGCACTCCTATAGTTACATGCAACATATAAGACTCCATCTTGCTAGCCAACTTGCTCAAGAGACTCTTCTTGCTGGCTTGATGAAGCCACGTGGCCTTGATGGGGAAGCTCACCTGGCAAGGAACTGCTGTTGCCCTCTAGGAGCTGAGGACAGCCCCCGGAAGAAGAGAGTAAAAAGCTGGGCTTCCAGTCATACAGCTGCAAGGAAATGGTCCTGCCAAGAATCAGACTAATCTGGGAAGGAGATTCTTCCCCAGTCCAGCCTGCAGATGAGAACAGCCTCACCAACCCAATAACTTCTTTGGAGCCTTGTGAGATCCTAAAGAGGACCCAGGTAAGCCAAGCCGAAACTCCTAATACTCAGAAACTGTGAAACAATGAATATGTCTTGTTTAAACCACTAGGTTTGTGGCAATTGGTTATGCAGCAATAGATAACTAATATACCCTTTAATCAGTAGAAAAGAGATCAAGAATATTCACAAGAATTTGGATATTTTCTTTTTAACAAACTTTATTTTTTAGAACAGTTTTAGATTTACAGAAACAACTGAGGAGACAGTACAGAAAGTTCCCAGATACCTTCCATTCAGTTTCCCCATCGTTGACACTTTACATTAGTATGATACATGTGTTATGATTAATAAGCCAATATTGACACATCATTATTTTTAAAATGGCATAGTTTATTTAGAGATTCTTAGCTTTTATTCAATGCCCTTTCTCTGTTCCAAGATTCCATCTCAGATACCACTTTACATTAAGTTGTCATGTCTTTTTAAATGTGGCAATTTCTCACACTTTATTTTTGATGACCTTGTTAGTTTTGAGGAGTACAGGCCAAGTATTTTATAGGTTGCCTAGTATTGGAATTTGTCTGACGTCTTTCCTCATAGAAAATACTCGGGTTATGAGTTATTGGGAGGAAGACCACAGAGGTGAAGTGCCATTTTCTTCCCATCATATCAAGAGTAACTGCTATCCCCATGACTTACTACTGTTGATGTTGGCCTTGTTCATCACCTGGCTGTGGTGTTTGGGAGGTTTCTGCTCTGTAAAATTACTCTCCCCACCACCTCTCTTCATACCACACTCTTTGGAAGGAAGTCACTAGGCACAGCCAAAACCTAAGGATTGGAGAGTTGTGCACCCCTCCTTGAGGGTGGAGTAACTACATAAATTATCTGAAATTCTTCAGCATGGGAAAATTTTCTCTTTTTCCCAATTTATTTATTTAATCACTTATTTATATCAGTAAGGACTAATGGATATTTATTTTATACTTTGTGTTACAATCCAATACTTCTTTATTTTATTACTCAAATGGTTCTAGCTTTGACCATTGGCAGCTCTTTTAGTTGGCTCCTGCATTCCTTTGACATACCCCCCATCAGTGTGTGTGTGTGTGTGTGTGTGTGTGTGTGTGTGTGTGTGTGTGTGTGAGAGAGAGAGAGAGAGACAGAGAGAGAAAGTGCATTTTCTTACTTTCTGGAACTGCAAAATGCTCCAGGACTCCAGATATAAGTATGCATTCGATCTATAAATTTGAAAGTAATACAAGTTCATTGTAAAAATTTCAAGCAATAAAGGTTCATGTAGATTATAATATGAAATAAAGGTTTATATACACTATAATATAACAATTCTAATTCATTCTTTTAACTATTATTTATTATGTACAATATATGAGGTTCTGTTCTACATGCTTCCTTCATGCAGCAGACATCATTAGTTGCTTAAGCAATATACAGCCCTCCCCCAGTGGGTATTGGGCAGAACAATTCCAATATCCATGGAAGGTTGGTTCCAGGACCTCTAGCAGATATCAAAATTCATAGATGCTTAAGTCCCTGATATAAAATGACACAGCATTTGCATATAACCTGTGCACATCCTCCTGTACACTTTAAATCATCTCTAGAATACTTGTAATACTTAATACAATGTAAATGCTGTTTAAATAGTTGTTATACTGTATTGTTTAGAGAATAATAATGCCCCCCCAAAAGTCTCTATGCATTCAGAATGTTTTCTTTTTCCAAAATTTTCTATCTGTGATTGAATTCGCAGATACAGAACCCACAGATACAAAGGGCCAACTCTATGTGCGTCCCTTCTTGTCTATTAACAGAACCACAGTTTAGTGCAACCCAGAAATACGCCCATTTTAAAAATACACTCCTCAGATTCCCTAACAGTTAGGGGTAACCTGTGACACTGTTTTGCCAATAAGATTTAAGTACAATTCTTGGTGCTGAGGCCGATGGGAAAGCTGTTTTTTGACTGACGAGCAGGGTCAGACTCACCTGGCATGCACTAGTTTTCTTTTGCCATTCTTCCCTTTACTATGCCTGGAACACAGATGTAATGCCTGGGCCAGGGCAGCCATCTTGAGACTAAGCATATGGATCATGCACTAAGAAATGGTGAAGCTAGAGGAGTCTTAGCCTTTACTGATTTTCTTAATTTTTGTATTTTAAATTACTTTTTAATAATGTTAATGTATTATAATTATACAAGTAATTACAATGATTATATGACTTCTCCCTACGTATCAAACATTTTTTCTATTTTTACTTTGCCAATTAATAATAAAGTTGGTTATTTTTTCATATGTTTATTGACCATTTATATCTTTTATTCTGTCTACTATCTGCTCATATCTCCACCCCACATTCATTTCTGGGCATTTGTAATGTACTATAGAAATGATTATTTGCCTCTTGTGTATGTTGTCAATATTTTCTCCAAGTTATTTGTGGTGTCTTTGACCACGGAGATGAGTTGAAATTTATCGTCAGTCAAATATGTCAATCTCTTCCTTCCAGTTTCAACACCATTTATTGACTAAATTGAATTTGAAATACTGCTTTTAACATATATTAAATTAACATGTATTTCTGTTTCAAGAGTCTCATGTCTTTTCTTGTTTTCTTTTCTTTTCTTTTTTGAGACAAGGTCTCACTCTGTCACCCAGGCTGGAGTGCAGTGGCCCGATCTCAGCTCACAGCAACCTCTGCCTCCTGGGTTCAAGCGATTCTCCTGCCTCAGCCTCCCAAATAGCTGGGATTACAGGTGCAGGCCATCATACCTGGCTAATTTTTGTATTTTTAGTAGAGACAGGGTTTCACCATGTTGGCCAGGGTGGTCTCAAACTCCTGACCTCAAGTGATCTACCCGCCTCAGCCTCCCAAAGTGCCAGATTAAAGGCATGAGCTATGGCGCCCGGCCTTCTCATTTTCTTTTCTTTACTTCCTAGGGTTTTTGTTTTGTCTTTGACTTTATTTGGTTTTGCTCTTCTTATGAAATGTAACATGCAGGAAATTATGTAAAACAAGCATACAGTTCAGCAAATGGTGGTAAATGGGGGCAACTATTAATACTACACTAGTACAGAAAGGTCATCTCTTGATCTTGGCAGTAATAATTTCCTTGCTTTTATTTACCACGTATGTATGCATTTCTAAACAATATAGTTTCATTTTGCCTGTTTTTAGATTTTATATAATGGAATCATGCCATACGCAATTTTTTTTTTTTTTGAGATGGAGTCTTGCTCTGTCGCCCAGGCTAGAGTGCAGTGGCACAATCTTGGCTCACTGCAAGCTCCACCTCCCAGGTTCATGCCATTCTCCTGCCTCAGCCTCCCGAGTAGCTGGGACTACAGGCGCCCACCACCACGCCCGGCTAATTTTTTTGTATTTTTAGTAGAAACAGGGTTTCACCATGTTAGCCAGGATGGTCTCGATCTCCTGACCTTGTGATCTGCCCGCCTCGGCCTCCCAAAGTGCTGGGATTACAGGCATGAGCCACCACACCCGGCCTGCAATTTTTGTAACTTAATTTTTTACTTATATCATGTTTGTTGGTTTTTATTATTGTATAACATTCTACCAAATGGCCATACTTCTGCTTACACATTCTGCTGTTGAAAGGGAATTAAGTATTTTCAACTTTTGTCATTTAAGAACAAAGATGAAATGAACATTCTTATACACTGTATTCTTGCGTGGAGGGGTGGAAAACTTTTCCTCTACCCTCTTAGGTTCTGTGACTTGGCTTGAGAATTAAACTAACAACAGAGAGATTAACAGGATAAAAACATATAAATTATACTTGATGTTAATATTCTTACATGTACATGGAGGCCTTCATATTTAAGAAAAGAAGACCCGAGTTCCAAGATGGCTGAATAGGGACAGCTCCAGTCTGCAGCTCCCAGCATGAGTGACGCAGAAGATGAGTGATTTCTGCATTTCCAACTGAGGTACCGGGTTCATCTCACTGGGGCTTGTCAGACAGTAGGTGCAGCCCACGGAGCAGGGTGGGGCATCGCCTCACCCGGGAAGCACAAGGGGTTGGGGAATTCCCTTTCCTAGCAAAGGGAAGCCGTGACAGACGGTACCTGGAAAATCGGATCATTCCCACCCTAATACTGTGCTTTTCCAACGGCCTTAGCAAACGGCACACCAAGAGATTATATCCCATGCCTGGCTTGGAGGGTCCCAGGCCCACGGAGCCTCGCTCACTGCTAGCACAGCAGTCTGAGATCGAACTGCAAGGTGGCAGCAGGGCTGGGGGATGGGCGTCTGCCATTGCTGAGGCTTGAGTAGGTAAATAAAGAGGCTGGGAAGCTCAAACTGTATGGAGCCCACCACAGCTCAAGGAGGCCTGCCTGCCTCTGTAGACTCCACCTCTGGGGGCAGGGCATAGCTGAACAAAAGGCAGCAGAAACTTGTGCAGACTTAAATGTCCCTGTCTGACAGCTTTGAAGAAAGTAGTGGTTCTCCCAGTAGGGAGTTTGAGAACTGAGAACGGACAGACTGGCTCCTCAAGTGGGTCCCTGACCCCCGAGTAGCCTAACTGGGGGACACCTCCCAGTAGGGGCCGACTGACACCTCATATGGCCGGGTGCACCTCTGAGATGAAGCTTCCAGAGGAAGGATCAGGCAGCAACATTTGCCGTTCTGCAATATTTGCTGTTCTGCAGCCTCTGTTGGTGATACCCAGGCAAACAGGGTCTGGAGTGGACCTTCAGCAAACTCCAACAGACATGCAGCTGAGGCTCCTGACTGTTAGAAGGAAAACTAACAAACAGAAAGGACATCCACACCAAAACCCCATCTGTACGTCACCATCATAAAAGACCAAAGGTAGATAAAACCACAAAGATGGGGAGAAACCAGAACAGAAAAGCAGAAAATTCTAAAAATCAGAGCGCGTCTTCTCCTCCAAAGGAATACAGCTCCTCACCAGCAACGGAACAAAGCCAGATGGAGAATGACTTTGATGAGCTGAGAGAAGAAGTCTTCAGACGATCGGTAATAATAAACTTCTCCGAGCTAAAGGAGGATGTATGAACCCATCGCAAAGAAGCTAAAAACCTTGAAAAAGATTAGATGAATGGCTAACTAGAATAAACAGTGTAGAGAAGTCCGTAAATGACCTGATGGAGCTGAAAACCATGGCACAAGAACTACGTGACACATGCACAAGCTTCAGTAGCTGATTTGATCAAGTGGAAGAACGGGTATCAGTGATTGAAGATTAAATGAATGAAATGAAGCAAGAAGAGAAGTTTAGAGAAAAAAGAGTAAAAAGAAACGAACAAAGCCTCCAAGAAATATGGGACTATGTGAAAAGACCAAATCTACGTCTGATTGGTGTACCTGAAAGTGATGGGGAGAATGGAACCAAGTTGGAAAACACTCTTCAGGATATTATCCAGGAGAACTTCCCCAACCTAGCAAGGCAGGCCAACATTCAAATTCAGGAAATACAGAGAACACCACAAAGATACTCCTTGAGAAGAGCAACCCCAAGACACATAAATGTCAGATTCACTAAAGTTGAAATGAAGGAAAAAATGTTAAGGGCAGCCAGAGAGAAAGGTCAGGTTACCCACAAAGGGAAGCCCATCAGACTAACAGCTGATCTCTTGGCAGAAACTCTACAAGCCACAAGAGAGTGGGGGCCAATATTCAACATTCTTAAAGAAAAGAATTTTCAACCCAGAATTTCATATCCAGCCAAACTAAGCTTCATAAGTGAAGGAGAAATAAAATCCTTTACAGACAAATAAATGCTGAGAGATTTTGTCACCACCAGGCCTGCCCTAAAAGAGCTCCTGAAGGAAGCACTAAACATGGAAAGGAACAACCGCTATCAGCCACTGCAAAAACATGCCAAATTGTAAAGGCCATCGATGTTAGGAAGAAAGTGCATCAACTAATGAGCAAAATAACCAGCTAACATCATAATGATAGGATCAAATTCACACATAACAATATTAACCTTAAATGTAAATGGGCTAAATGCTCCAATTAAAAGACACAGACTGGTAAGTTGGATAAAGAGTCAAGACCCATCAGTGTGCTGTATTCAGGAGACCCATTTCATGTGCAGAGACACACATAGGTTCAAAATAAAGGGATGGAGGAAGATCTACCAAGCAAACGGAAAACAACAAAAAAGCAGGGGTTGCAATCCTAGTCTCTGATAAAACAGACCTTAAACCAACAAAGATCAAAAGAGACAAAGAAGGCCATTACATAATGGTAAAGGGATCAATTCCACAAGAAGAGCTAACTATCCTAAATATATATGTACTCAATACAGGAGCACCCAGATTCATAAAGCAAGTCCATAGAGACCTACACAGAGACTTAGACTCCCACACAATAATAACGGGAGACCTTAACACCCTACTGTCAACATTAGACAGATCAACGAGACAGAAGGTTAACAAGGATATCAAGGAATTGAACTCAGCTCTGCACCAAGCAGACCTAATAGACATCTACAGAACTCTCCACCCCAAATCAACAGAATATACATTCTTCTCAGCACCACATAGCACTTATTCCAAAATTGACCACATATTTGGAAGTAAAGCACTCCTCAGCAAATGTAAAAGAACAGAAATTATAACAAACTCTCTCTCAGACCACAGTGCAATCAAACTAGAACTTAGGATTAAGAAACTCACTCAGAACCGCTCAACTACATGGAAACTGAACAACTTCCTCCTGAATGACTACTGGGTACATAACGAAATGAAGGCAAAAATAAAGATGTTCTTTGAAACCAATGAGAACAAAGACACAACATACCAGAATCTCTGGGACACATTCAAAACAGTGTGTAGAGGGAAATTTATAGCACTAAATGCCCACAAGAGAAAGCAGGAAAGATCTAAAATTGACACCCTAACATCACAATTAAAAGAACTAGAGAAGCAAGAGGAAACACATTCAAAAGCTAGCCGAAGGCAAGAAATAACTAAGATCAGAGCAGAACTGAAGGAGATAGAGACATAAAAAACTCTTCAAAAAATCAATGAATCCAGGAGCTGATTTTTCGAAAAGATCAACAAAATTGATAGACCACTAGCCAGACTAATAAAGAAGAAATGAGAGAAGAATCTAATAGACGCAATAAAAAATGATAAAGGGGATATCACCACTGATTCCACAGAAATATGAACTACCATCAGAGAATACTATAAACACCTCTATGCAAATAAACTAGAAAATCTAGAAGAAATGGATAAATTCCTCGACACGTATGTGTCCCAAGACTAAACCAGGAAGAAGTTGAATCCCTGAATAGACCAATAACAGGTTCTGAAATTGAGGCAATAATTAATAGCTTACCAACCAAAAAAGTCCAGGACCAGACAGATTCACAGCTAAATTCTACCAGAGGTACAAAGAGGAGCTGGTACCATTCCTTCTGAAACTATTCCAATCAATAGAAAAAGAGGGAATCCTCACTAATTCATTTTATGAGGCCAACATCATCCTGACACAAAAGTCCGGCAGAGACACAACAGAAAAAGAGAAATTTAGACCAATATCCCTGACGAACATCAATGTGAAAATCCTCAATAAAATACTGGCAAACTGAATCCAGCAGGATATCAAAAAGCTTATCCACCACGATCAAGTTGGCTTCATCCCTGGGATGCAAGGCTGGTTCAACATGCGCAAATCAATAAACGTAATCCATCATATAAACAGAACCAAAGACAAAAACCACAGGATTATCTCAATAGACGCAGAAAAGGCCTTTGACAAAATTCAACAATCCTTCATGCTAAAAACTTTCAATAAACTAGGTATTGATGGGACGTACCTCAAAATAACATGAGCTATTTATGACAAACCCACAGCCAATATCATACTGAATAGGCAAAAACTGGAAGCATTCCCTTTGAAAACTGGCACAAGACAGGGATGCCCTCTCTCACCACTCCTATTCAACATAGTGTTGGAAGTTCTGGCCAGGGCAATCAGGCAAGAGAAAGAAATAAAGGGTATTCAATTAGGAAAAGAGGAAGTCAAATTGTCCCTGTTTGCAGATGACATGATTGTATATTTAGAAAACCCCATCATCTCAGCCCCAAATCTCCTTAAGCTGATAAGCAACTTCAGCAAAGTCTCAGGATACAAAATCAATGTGCAAAAATCACAAGCATTCCTATACACCAATAACAGACAAACAGAGAGCCAAATTATGTGTGAACTCCCATTCACAATTGCGTCAAAGAAAAAAAAATACCTAGGAATCCAACATACAAAGGATGTGAAGGACCTCTTCAAGGAGAACTAGAAACCACGCTCAATGAAATAAAAGAGAACAAAAACAAATGGAAGAACATTCCATGCTCATGGATAGGAAGAATCAATAATGTGAAAATGGCCATACTGCCCAAGGTATATTATAGATTCAATGCCATCCCTATCAAGCTACCAATGACTTTCTTCACAGAATTGGAAAAAACTACCTTAAAATTCATATGGAACCAAAAAAGAGCCCACATTGCCAAGACAATCCTAAGCCAAAAGAACAAAGCTGGAGGCATCACACTACCTGACTTCAAACTGTACTTCAAGGCTACACTAACCAAAACAGCATGGTACTGGTACCAAAACAGAGATATAGACCAATGAAACAGCATACAGCCCTCAGAAATAATACCACACATCTGCAACTATCTGATCTTTGACAAACCTGACAAAAACAAGAAATGGGGAAAGGATTCTCTATTTAATAAGTGGTGCTGGGAAAACTGGCTAGTTATATGTAGAAAGCTGAAACTGGATCCCTTCCTTACACCTTATACAAAAATTAATTCAAGATGGATTAAAGACTTAAATGTTACACCTAAAACCATAAAAACCCTAGAGAAAAACCTAGGCAATACCATTCAGGACATAGGCATGGGCAAGGACTTCATGATTAAAACACCAAAAGCAATGGCAACAAAAGCCAAAATTGACAAATGGGATCTAATTAAACTAAAGAGCTTCTGCACAGCAAAAGAAACTACCATCAGAGTGAACAGGCAACCTACAGAATGGGAGAAAATTTTTACAATCTACCCATCTGACAAAGGGCTAATATCCAGAATCCACAAAGAACTTAAACAAATTTACAAGAAAAAAACCAAACAACTCCATCAAAAAGTGGGCAAAGGATATGAACAGACACTTCTCAAAAGAAGACATTTAAGCAGCCAACAGACACATGAAAAAATGTTCATCACAACTGGCCATCAGAGAAATGCAAACCAAAACCACAATGAGATACCATCTCACACCAGTTAGAATGGTGATCATTAAAAAGTCAGGAAACAACAGGTGCTGGAGAGGATGTGGAGAAATAGGAACACTTTTACACTGTTGGTGGGACTGTAAACTAGTTCAACCATTGTGGAAGACAGTGTGGCGATTCCTCAAGGATCTTGAACTATAAATACCATTTGACCCAGTCATCCCATTACTGAGCATATACCCAAAGGATTATAAATCATGCTGCTATAAAGACACATGCACAGGTATGTTTATTGTGGCACTATTCACAATAGCAAAGACTTGGAACCAACCCAAATGTCCATCAATGATAGACTGGATTAAGAAAATGTGGCACATATACACCATGGAATCTTACGCAGCCATAAAAAAGGATGAGTTCACATCCTTTGTAGGGACATGGATGAAGCTGGAAACCATCATTCTCAGCAAACTATCGCAAGGACAGAAAACCAAACACCCCATCTTCTCACTCATACGTGGGAATTGAACAATGAGAACACTTGGACACAGGGAGGGGAACATCACACACTGGGGCCTGTCGTGGGGTGGGGGGATGGGGGAGGTATAGCATTAGGAGATATACCTAATGTAAATGATGAGTTAACAGGTTCAGCACACCAACATGGCACATGTATACATATGTAACACACCTGCACATTGTGAACACGTACCCTAGAACTTAAAGTATAATAATAAAAAAAATAAATAAAATAAAATAAAGAAGACCTGAAGAAGTGGATAGGCCTGAGAACCTATACTTCATTTCAATGAAGGACAATATGTGGCGGCGACATGGCAAGACAAGGGAAAGACGGGTTTGGGCTATGGATGATAACCTGTGGGAAAGTGACCAGGAAATATATGGGAAAGACTAATGAAAGATAAGCATTATTATAGTAGGTTCATTTGTACAGATTCATCTCAGTGTTGACTTTCCCACCTCAAGTGATAAAAATGTTCTGTTCCTGGTACAGGAAGGACACCTTTTTCATAAGAAATTTATGCTCCACTTCTAGGTAGGAAAGGGTTAGTCAGAGAGCCCTTTCTGCATCTGCTTTTCTTCAATTATCTTCAACTCAAAATAATCAATATGTGCTGGGTGTGGTGGCTCACGTCTGTAATCTCAAAATTTTGGGAGGCTGAGGTAGACGGATTACCTGAGGTCAGGAGTTCGAGACCAGCCTGACCAACACGGCAAAACCCCGTCTCTACTAAAAATACAAAAATTAGATGGGCATGATGGTGGGCCCCTGTAATCCCAGCTACTCAGGAGGCTGAGGCAGGAGAATCTCTTGAACCCGGGAGGCGGATGTTGCAGTGAGCCGAGATGGTGCCACTGTACTCCAGCCTGGGTGACAGAGTGAGACTCCATCTCAAAATAAATAAATAAATAAATATGTTAAAGTAGTATATTTGTGGTTGGCATGTTCTGATCACCTTTAGGAACCACTGACAATGAAATCAGTAAGATATGCAAGTAGAAGTGGAAATTATAGGTTATAGAATATGCTAATCTTCAATTTTCTTAAATAATTCTATCTGTTTCTCAAAGTGTTGGTACCAATTTACATTTTTTCAGTCATGCATGCTCCTAACCTGGCCAACACTTAAGATTAGGCTTTCCTGCAGGGTGTGGGGGGTCACGCCTATAATCCCAACACTGTGGGAGATCAAGGTGGGAGGATCACTTGAACCTAGGAGTCTGAGACCAGGCTGGGTGACACTGCAAGTCCCTGTCTCTACAAAACAATTTAAAAATTAACCAGGTATGGTGGCATGCACCTATAGTCCCAGCTACTCTGGAGGCTGAGAAGAAAGGATCACTTGAGCCCAGGAGTTTGTGGTTACAGTGAGCTATGATCACACCACTGCACTCCAGCCTGAACAACAAAGCCAGACCTTGTCTCTCTCTCTCTCTCTCGATATATCGAGAGAGAGAGAGAGAGAGAGAGAGAGAGAGAGAGAGAGAGAGAGAAGCCAAGGGTTTTATGTATTTTGCTTCCACTCTTTCAATCTCTACAGCCAAGGGCAAAAGTGCTCTTTTGACCCACTATCCACAGTTATTCAATTGTTACAGAGTAAATTATCAAATTTGGCCACAATTTACTCCCCATCCCAAAACAGACTTTGCAAATCATGCAAAATATAAATATATATATTTATATTTATATATATAAATGTTAAAATATATAGATAAATTTATATATATATATAAATTTTAAAAATTAGGCTTTCCAAAGTTTGCCTAACGGGTGTGTAATAGTATAATTGTGACATTTTAATTTGCATTTTCATGACTACTGGTGAGGCTGAACTCCTTTTTATATGTTTGTTAGCCAATTCAATGTTTTGTTGTTGTTTGAGAAGTGTCTGAGTCTCTTAACCATTTTTCTGTTGAGTTGTTGACCTTTTGTTTATTGATCTATAGACCTTCTTTAGTCTGAATATCCTTTGATCATCACATATTCTGCAGATGTCTTCGCCTCTCATTGGCTTTTCTTTTCATCATTTTCATACTGACATATGATGAAAAGTTTTTAATTTTCATGTAGTCAGCTTCATGAATCTTGTTTTTTGTGACTACTGCTTTCAACAAAAAAATACTTTTTACCCAAGGTCACGAAGATATGTTCCTATATACTCTTCTAAAATCTTTAGAGTTTTATGTATTACATTTAAGTCTTTAACCTACCTGGAAATTATTTTTCTATGTTATGAAGGAGAGATTTAATTTTATTTTTAGTATATAGATAGCCAATTGTCTCACATTTTATTGAGAATTCCATCATTTCCCAACAGGATAAAGTTCCTCCTCTGCTATCAATATTTTCTGTTACCAAAATTGTGAGTTCTTTCTGAACTCCCTGTTATATCCACTGGTCTATTTGTCTAGCCTTGCACCAATACCACACTATTTTAATTCTGTAGCTTTGTGGTATGTCTTGATTTCTAGAAGAGCAAGTCCTCTCACCTCATTCTTTATATTCAACAGAGTTTTGGTTATTCCTGTCTTGGATAGTCCACACAAATTTTACAACCAGCTTATCAATTTCCCTGAAAAGTGTAGTCTCTTTCCTCAATCAATCTGTTTCATTGTTCCTAAGTCAGTATCACACTGTTTCAGCTACTGCAGCTCTTTAGTATGCTTTGATATCTGTAGAGCAAGCTGCCCCCATTCTTCTAAAATTCATTTGGATATTTTATATTTTTGTTATTTGTGATATATTTAGCCTATCATGTTTCATTAAAATTATCCTTGGATTTAAAAAAATAATTGCATTTAATTTATAGCTTTGTTTCGCAAGAATTGGTAGTTTTATAATGTAATCTTCCCATTCACTTCCTTTTTTATGTCTATAGCAAAGTGTTAAGGCTGTTCTCTTCTACATATGTAGTGCTTTAATTCAATCAGATATTAGCAAAGTAGAAATATATCAATAATACATTATACAGTATGTAATGAAACATATTCAACTGTGAAACATGCAGATTCAATAACACAGCAGGAATATAGGTATGAATACAAATCTATATCAACATTGAAAAGAGCTTTCTCAAATTATCAAACCTCCCAAGTGTTATCTACTTTTCAAAATCCATGTCAAACACAATAAGTTTCACTAATGCTGCCCCCTCATCCTTCTAAATACTCCTACCTGCTCTTACTGATGTTCCCTAAAATCAGACCCCAAGAAAAACACATCAACATGGAAGAGAAAGGAGAGGTTTCAAAATATTAAATTACCCTCGGATCCATTTCTAGGTTGCTTTTCTGCTGTCGGTGATTTCTTATGGGACTTGGATATAGATTTATCTTCTAAGTGAGGTATTTCATTCAGTTTCATTGTTTGGAGGGTCCTGACTTTGGAATTCTGTGTCTCTTGATTTCTGTATTGAAATCAGAGAAGCCAAGGGTTCTATGTATTTTGCTTCTACTCTTTCAATCTCTACAGCCAAGGGCAAAATTGCTCTTTTGACCCACTATCCACAGTTATTCAATTGTTACAGAGTAAATTATCAAATTTGGCCACAATTTACTCCCCATCCCAAAACAGACTTTGCAAATCATGGGTCTCAAAAAACACCACTCTTAAATTGCTGACTTCTAAGGAGCTTCCAATATGAGATAGAGCAATGCCTATTTCTTGTATGGCTTGTCATCTAACTTTATAGGCAGTACCTCCAACCCTTGGCCTCACACACAAATTATATGTGTGTGTGTATGCACACGTGTGCATATGTATGTATTTGTACATTTTTTTCCAGGAAAATGGCCTCCAGATTTAAGTTTGAATTGATAAGTCCTTACACTGTTGTTAGTAGTAAGTCTTAGTGTTTGAAAATTACACATTGCATGTATCCAAGTATACACATATATGTAAATATGAACATAGAGGATCTGCAATATAAAAGGTGGTTCTAGCTCAGATGACAATTTTTAAAATAGAATATATATTTCCATGTTTATTAATTTTCATAGAGCTGGTCTTGAGGGAGGAAGTTGTTGCATAACCTCTAGTTAGCAAGAGAAGTCTGCGTGGAGTAAGTGGCATTTTATGAAGTCCTGTAGATGCCAAACTAACTCACCTGAGCCATCCTTAACAATCATTTTTTAATATTTTTTTAAAAAATTGATTAAATAGTTCTAAGTGCTTTTCATAAGAGCAATCCAGAGATGCTTAATTCCTTTGACAGACTTTGAACTAATATCTAAGTCACCTTTCCATCATTATTACTGAAAGTATCTGGGACCAAAATGGTTGTTTCACAAGAAAAAGAGAGTAAAGAGGAGAGACTTTGTCAGCAGTAACTTTTCAGGATCCATTATATAGCATCTGATGCTGAAAGTTTGACAACAGCAAATACAAGTAGGTAAATAATGAACAATTGTCCCATTGATTCCTAGATCCATTTCACTCACAGGACACTCTCTGGAGTGTAGGTCCTTTCCTGAAATCTAGTTCACTGTGGACTGTACAGTCTAGCTGACTCATTTAACATAGTTTGGAGGCCACTGAAAAACTAGGTCAGTTCTATCATCTCCAGTGACCTTAGATATACTGAGGAAGGGCCAAGATGGCATGATGGGCCCTGAATTAACAGATAATATCAGACACAAACTGAAGTCCAACTTGATGCATTCCTGGGATTATCATTTCAGTAGACACCTATCCAGAGTGGGCATGACCTGAAACTTGGTTAAACTTGAGAATAGCTTTTTCCAAAATGTAAGACTGGTTCCATAACACCTTTCTGGCTTCCTTTCCTCTTAAGTGAACAAGGGTACTGGGACTGGCCTTTCCCAATATGAGTTCTTGAGAATCATTAGTCTCACAAGTTGGTCCATGAGAAGAGGTTTCCCATTGTTAGCAAGTGTGGGAAATTCTGAACATTAAAACATTTCTGTGGGATTTGTAAACACATTCAATTGTAATGACCCCAAGAAGCAGAGCCTTGAAGTAAAATAAACCTACTGGCTTTGTTCTACTTTGCATATCTGAAAACTACACAACTGCAAAACAATGTATTTAAGTAATATCAGTTCATTTTGTTCCATAGCATATGCTTTGTGAATCCCTACCTTAACACTGTCCAGAGTGGCAACTCCAGACCTGCCCTGGTCTAAACCCAAATCCTTGGGACAGAAAGGGCAGAGGACAGAAATGGCATCCATGGCTGGGGAGAGAGGCTCAGATTACCATCCTCCCCACCTCTGATCTGCGTGCCATTTAATTTACAACTAAATGTGTTACTCTTAGAAGTTACTCCCCTGCTTTGGGATTCATTTTCCTCATCTGTAAAATGAGTGAGCTGAATGACCCTTTCAGCTCTGTCATTGCACCAAATATCCTTCCCATGGGTGAGTTTACTTTAGAATTTGACCTCTTCCCAGCCCCTTGGGCTGTTGAGTGACAGACAACACAGCTAATCCTCCATAAATAGATGTTCCACATCTTGGGTCTCAGGATGAATTTATAGCTGAAGATTGACACTTAGTAACTTTTAAACAAGACTAATTTGACCTCCAAGAAAAAAATGTTATACTGTTTCAAAACCATTATATTATGTTACATTACATTACATAGCAATGTTATATGTCTTATTTAAGAAATATGAATGATACTCCAGATTATTATTATTTATTTATTTATTTATTTTTGAGACAGAGTTTCACTCTTGCCACCTAGGCTGGAGTGCAATGGCACGATCTCAGCTCACTGTAACCTCTGCCTTCCGGGTTCAAGTGGTTCTCCTGCCTCAGCCTCCCCAGTAACTAGGATTACAGGCGCACATCACCATGCCCAGCTAATTTTTGTATTTTCAGTAGAGACGAGGTTTCACCATGTTGGCCAGGCTGGTCTTGAACTCCTGACCTCAGGTGATCCACCTGCCTCGGCCTCCCAAAGTGCTGGGATTACAGGCATGAGCCACTGCGCCCAGCCTGGATTTTTATTTTTTAAAAGTGTTTAAAGCTAACCAATACTTACTGGTCAACTTCTCTGGACAAGACAACATGCAAGAAGAATTTCAATGAAACTTAGAGCTATTCCAGGAACCACTGGGGCTAATAACGACTTTTTACCTAAAATATTTGTTTCCTTTTGCTTTTCCTTTTTGTGAAAAGCAATAAAGGGCCTTTCAACATGACTAGTACATTTCCTCATTGGTCACAGGTGTGCATCATTTGATCACCCCAGGAGCTTAACACGTAGCAGAAATATTTGGTTCCTCTGTCATTTTGCTTAACTCTAAATGGTGGCAAAAGGAATATGATTCCAGCTGATTGAAAAAGATGATTCCAAGGCTGTAGAGACTTGGAGGAATCAAAAGTAAAATGAAAACCCAATTTAAATGCCCAGGAAAATATGAGTTTCAGGAAAGAGTATTTGTTATGGACTGTATGTCTGTGTCCCTCCTA
This sequence comes from Homo sapiens, assembly GCF_000001405.40. Classification (NCBI taxonomy): domain Eukaryota; kingdom Metazoa; phylum Chordata; class Mammalia; order Primates; family Hominidae; genus Homo; species Homo sapiens. The sequence continues at coordinate 151,755,710 of NC_000002.12, forward strand.
ACCTCTAATGCAATGGTATTCGGAAATGGCAGCTTTGGGAGGTTTAGATAAGCTCATGAGAGTGGAGCCACCATGAAGGGATTAATATATCTATCAGTAGAGAAAGGACTAGAGCTCTCTATCAAGTGATGAATTAATCAGAAGACTGCCATCTGCAAACCATGAAGAGAGCTCTCACCAGACTCTAAATCTGCCAGCACCTTGATCTTGGACTTCCCAGCCTTCTGAACTATGAGAAATACATTTCTGTTGTTCAAGCCTCTCAGTCTATCGTATCTTGGTATAGCAGCTCAAACTGACTAATAGTATTCTAAAAGACTATCCAAGGTATGGTATTTTTTAGTGAGAAAAATGAGATAATAAACTAGTAATGTGCTAATCTCAAGTGAATATCCAAAACAAACCCAGGACCTGATTAGCAGTTTGGAACTGACTTCTACTTCCTGGAATAAGAAAAATAGTCCCACATGTAAGGAAGATTAAAATGCACTATTTCCACAGGCTAAATACCTGACATCCTTAGAATACCAAAAGGAATCCTCCTCCCCATCCCAGCTTAACTCACCTTAGTGGCTTTCTCTTTCTCTAGTTGCACAAAATGAGAATGAACACAGGGTCACAAGGCCCATTGTTGCTTTGCCATAGCCACTTAAAGGTTCAGACCAGGAGCCCTAACAGAGACCATTATTGGCATTTAGCTAGAGGTAACCCCAGATGGTGTTTATGTACAGTCTTCCCCTGGACCTTTGAATATATTCCCACCATTTATAAAGCTAGCACCTGCATCTCTGTGCCTGCGGCTCTTTCCCCAGGACTCAGGGAAGCAAGCTGCAGACCAGAAGTGCTAAGGAATTAACACACCTCACCTGTCACCAAATATAGCACTCAATCATGACTCTCAAGAGTTATTGTATTAATACCCCAGCAGCCTCCCACCTTGGTTGGGATCATTTTGAGCTTTGCACTTACCCCAGTTTTCCTGTGGCTTTGTGACTCCACCTTCTCTTCCCTGTACAACATGCCTTTCTTTTCTGGAGTTGCCTGCACTTCTTAATTTCATTTAAATCCTCTTGGCATCTGAATCTGAAACAACTCACACTAAGACTCATTAAATCCAATGGCTATATCACAACATGAGCAAGGGAAGCGCTCACAAACAGATACACTGCAAAGGCACTGGTTATTTAAAAAGTCTTATCTCTACCACACTCAGGCCCTCAAGAGGCCACTTGAACAGGCAGGACACAGTCTCATATTACTGACTGTCCATGCCATTTAGCCCACCTAACATGCTTTCCTCCATCTTCTCAGCCCATCTGCATCTAATTCCTTCCTAGAAGCTACATTGAAACCTAACCACGCTGTTCTCTAGGATAGTGGTTCCTGATAATGTTCCTGGTCTGAACCATTAGGTGGCCATGGCAAAGCAGCAATGGGCCTTGTGACTTTGCATTCACTCCCATTTTGTGCAACTAGATAAAGAGAAAGCCAATAAAGTGAGTTGAGGTGGGGTGGAGAAATAGAGATTGCTGAGCCCCTACCCAAAAGAGGGGCCCACAAATTTGCATTTTTTTAACAAGTTCCCAGGTGATCCTAATGCTGCTGGTTCTGGGACCACACCTGTGAGGATACAAGAGGAAGATGGCTGTCTTCGAACTATGAAGAGAGCCCTCACCCACTTTTGGGTAGGGGCCCAGCAATCTCTATTTTCACAAGCCCACCAAGTGATTCTGATGTTAAAACAAAAAAAGCTTGAGAACCGCTGCTCTATGAAGTATTTCCTGTCAGCTCCAACCCCAGCTCCCCATTATCTTCCACATTCATTCAGTCAACTCTCAGCACTACCTCCTACCTCTCCTCGTGCTAGCCTCTTTTCTTCTCCTCCATTGCTAGTGCTTTAATTCAGACCAATCAATATTTCTCACCTGAATTATCAATACAGCCTCCCTACTCGTCTCCCTGAATCCAGGCCTCCAACTATTCTCCATCAGCTGCTAGAGTTACCTGTCTAGAAAGCCAATGTGTTAAGTTCCTCAAGTGTTTCAAGAAGTGCCTGAATAACTCCATCACAAGTAAATTCTGCAGGGTTTTTGAGGTCCCTCCAGTGGCCCTGCTTAAACAAGCAATGGGCTTGTGAAAAACAGCCCTTTACAGCAATATCAGAGCTCAGAGGGGACCATAGCTGAAAGCAATTCAGGCTGCAGCAGTGAAGGGTGAAGGGGGGCAGAGCTAAAGACAGATTTTTCTCATCTTTCACAGTATTCCCCAGGGCAGTTCTTACCCTCCAGGCTTAGTCAGCCCACCTGGCTTCTGCATCTACCATCCCTGGCTCTAGGATTTCTCATGTTCCTGAACTCTTCGAAATGAACTCCTTTGTAAACTAGACATAAATATTTGCCTTGTCTACTACATGGCACTGGTCCAGGCTCACATGAGAAAACATTTCCCACAGGCTTTGAAAGGTTTGGCATAAGGCAAAAGTAAGGTATTGTTGTTAAAAAAAAAATGTAATAATTATACTAGCCAACATTCAGAGAGCACTATTTTTTTTTTTGCCAGACCCTTATCTAAGAGATTAACAAGCCTATTTTTTTTTTTTTTTTTTTTTTTTTTTTGAGATGGAGTCTCTCTCTGTCACCCAGGCTGGAGTGCAGTGGTGTGATCTTGGCTCACTGCAACCTCTGCCTCCCGGCTTCAAGAGTTTCTCCTGCCTCAGCCTCCGGAGTAGCTGGGATTACAGGCATGTGCCACCATACCCAGTTAAATTTTGTATTTTTAGTAGAGATGAGGTTTCACCATGTTGGCCAGGCTGGTCTTGAACTCCCAACCTCAACTGATCCACCCGCCTTAGCCTCCCAAAGTGCTGGGATTACAGGCGTGAGTCACTGTACCCAGCCTCAACAAGCCTAATTTTATTTACTTCTCTTAACATCTCATGAGTAAGATATTATGATAATTCTACCTCTCTACATAAGAAAACTGAGGCACACAGATGTGGAAAAAACTGGCCCCAGGTTACACAACTTGCGAGTGATGGTACTGGGATTTAAACTCAGGTAGTGTCACTCAGAGTCCAAACTCCTTGCCCCTGTGTGCTGCTCCCTCACAGGCATGTCTGTGACTGTGTGTACTTGAAGGGCCTGACATGTCCTTGAGCAGGCCAATCAAGCTCTCTGTGCCGGGATCAGTCTGTTGCTCTATTGTCCATCCATCCATCCACCCATCATCCTCCATAGGTCATCATCCATCCATCCACTCATCATCCTCCACAGGGCAAGTATGGTCTGAATGTTTATGCCCCACTAAATTCACGTGCTGAAACATAATACCCAGTGTAAGGATATTTGGGCTGGGTGTGGTGGCTTATGCCTTTAATCCCAGCACTTTGGGAGACCGAGGTGGGAGAATCACTTGAGGCCAGGAGTTTGAGACCATCCTGGTCAATGCAGTGAGGCTTCATCTCTATTAAAAAAAAATTTTTTTTTAAAGGATATTTGGAGATGGGCCTTTGGGGGTTGATTAGGTCATGAGGCTTTCATGAGTGGGGTTACTGCTATTTATAAAAGAGGATTGAGGGAGTTCACTTGTCCTGTCTGCCATGTGAGGTCACATTGAAAAGATGGCTATCTCTGAACCAAGAAGACTCTGAACTAGGGCCCTCAGCAGACACCAAATCTGCCAGCACCTGGATCTTGGAACTCCCAGCCCCCAGAACTGTAAGCAATAAATGTTTGTTGTTTTTAAACCACCCAGTCTATGATATTTTGTCATAGCATTCCCAAACAGAGCAGGACAGGGCCAGAGTGATGAAAATTCCTGTTGCTGGGGTCAGAGCACCTGAGAGTGGGTTGCCAGGGTCTGCAAAGATACTAACAGTGTTGGATGGGCATGGTGGCTCATGTCTGTAATCACAGCACTTTGGGAGGCCAAGACAGGAGGACCACTTGAGACCAAGAGTTCAAGACCAGCCTTGGCAACATGGGGAGACCCTATCTTTACAAAAAAAAAAAATTAGCTGGGCATGGTGGTGTGTACCTGTGGTCCTAGCTACTTGGGAAGCTGAGGTGGGAGGATCACTTGAGCCTGGGAGGTCAAGGATTCAGTGAGCCGTGATTGTGCCACTGCACTCCAGCCTGGGTGACAGAGTGAGACCTTGTCTTAAAAAAATAAAATAAAATAAAAAAGATACTAACAGTGTGGCCTTATACAAGTAACCTACTTGCTTTGGGTCTTGGATTCCTTATCTGCAAAGTGAGGATGATATTTGTTCCTGCCTCATAATGTTTTCTGCAGATTAAATGACAGGATTCATATAAAAAGCCTACCAGAGTGCCTAATACACCACAGTAATTGCTCAATAAATAGTGGTTATTGTTGTTATTTCTCTGGGGCAGTAGCAGTGGGGTCAGGTAAAGCAGTCCCTTGCCTTCAAAATGTGGAGAGTATATTACAGGCACAATGCCTCGGGGGAACACTGGCAGCACTGAGAAAATGGTTCTGAGCCCTGAGCCCTCTCTGGGTCACTGGACAAGAACAAACAGGCTTAAGGCCTGGGGTAAGCACAGTGTTGTTTGCAGAGCTCACTGCTGCAAATAGCAGCCACCTGCGGGCTGGACAGTAGCACGTCCACCCTCTGGCAAAGGACGGGCGAGATGCGGATGAGAAAAGGACAGGAGACAGCCAGGCACTGCTCTGAGTCAGGAGCATGAGGACATGAACAGAGTGATGTCAGAGGAAAGGCAGCGTGTGTTGGCTCAGCAGGTAGAAGGGAAGGAATGGGGCACATGTCAATTCAAAAATGGCTTCTTCCTAAGTGCGAGCAGGGTTATCTGTGGGGAGCCGGTCCCTTGGCCCAGCCTCACTATCGCAACAGGCCTCAAATGTAGGAGTCTGAAGTCATGACTAATGAGGCACACGATTGCTGCCTGAGATAAACCCACAGGATTAAAATAAATTGTCTTTTCTTAGGGAGTTGAAAACTTGGATCCTACTTCCAAGAGTACACTGTAAATTAATATTTTCAAAGTAAATTCTGTAATTATCTTGTGAATAACATAGTTGTGTTGCACTCTATTTTTTTTTTTTTTTTTTTTTTTTTTGAGACGGAGTCTCGCTCTGTCGCCCAGGCTGGAGTGCAGTGGCGGGATCTCGGCTCACTGCAAGCTCCGCCTCCCGGGTTCACGCCATTCTCCTGCCTCAGCCTCCCAAGTAGCTGGGACTACAGGCGCCCGCCACTACGCCCGGCTAATTTTTTGTATTTTTAGTAGAGACGAGGTTTCACCGTTTTAGCCAGGATGGTCTCGATCTCCTGACCTCGTGATCCGCCCGCCTCGGCCTCCCAAAGTGCTGGGATTACAGGCGTGAGCCACCGCGCCCGGCCGCACTCTATTTTTGCGTTATAGATGGTTAAAACATTTGAAGTATCCCACAATATGTATAATCCCACAAATCTTGCTACAGCATTTTTTAAAAATTATTTTTTAGTAAGTCAGGAGGCTTCAAAGAGGAAGTGGAATAAGCTAGGAGATGAATCCTGTGAAACTTTGAAAATCCTTTGAAACAAACTGGACCTAAGGGTGTTACGGGTTTGTGTCCCCCTAAAAGATATGTTGAAGTCCTAATCTCCAGGGTCTCAGAATGTGACCTCATTTGGAAATAGGGTCACCGTAGATACAGTGAGTTAAAATGAGGTCATCCTAGAGCAGCACGGGTTCTTAATCCAATATGACTGGTGTCCTTGTAGGAGGAGTAGAGACAGAGAGGAGAATGCCATGTGAAGAGACAGAGACACAAAAGGAGAAGATGGGGTGTGACAATGGAGGTAGAGCTTGGAGTGAGGCATCTACAAGCCAAGGAACTCCAAGGATTGTCAGCAACCACCAGAAGCTGGAAGAGACAGGAAGAATTCACCCCCAAGTTTCAGAAGGAGCCTGGCCCTTCTGACGCCTTGATTTCAGACTTCTAGCACCCAGAACTGCAAGACAATAAATGTCTATTGCTGCAGGCCACCCAGTTGGTGGTACTTTGTTACTTTGTTACACTGTCCCTAGGAAACTGATACAAACAGTTGTTTTTTCATTTGTTTTCACAGATTCAGGCATCTGTTAGAACAAGGTCCCTTGCATTGTATTATGTAACTCAGCATATAATAGTTGCTCAGTAAATGCATGTATGAATGAATGAATGGATCTCAAAGAGCCTCTGGGATTCACCTTGACTGCCTATTTACCTCCAGCCTCTAGCCCTTGAATACTGAACTGCTTCCCAACTTAACAGGAATGCAAAGGTTCCCAGGTGTGAAAAACCAAGGCAGCAGCAAATAGACCCAGAGGGTACTGGGGCATCTGAGACACTGAGTTGGCCACACAGCCTTGGCCTCAGATCTGCCCCTTACCTCTGAGCAGCCTTGAGCTACACACTTGGTCTTTTGGTCTTTTTCAGACTGAGTGTCACTGTGTTGTCCACGCTGGCCTTGAACTCCTGGGCTCAAGCTTCCCAAGTAGCTGGCGCTACAGGTACAAGCCACCATACCTGGTTTCTTTTCCATCTTTTATAAAGTAAGTCATAGACGATTGACTTGACTGGTTGATTTGCCTGGGAAACAATTCCTTGTAATTAAAGATGAGTATCACTTCAATGTTAAGTGCACATTTTGGGTGATAAAAGCTGTAACTCAGTGTTTCTGCTTCTCCATACACTACACACAAACACTTGTACATATACATATGTAGAGTGTGTGTATGGGTTTCTGATTTTGGTGTAAACACCATTTGATTTGATATACTATGATCTTTACAATTAGTCTAATGCAACTCTTACTGTATATGCAACCATTAGATTGAAAATATATTATTAAACATGTCAGCTATGGAAAGATGACATGTAACAAAAGGAAAAGAAATAGTAAAACAAAAATCAACTCATTAAAGCATATGTGTTTTCAGAAGTATTGGACATTTACAATTCTTCAAAATGTGTAACTTCAAACATATCCAATTTATGCCTCACTAGAAAAAGTTGTATTTTGTTATTTATCCTTAGATGGAAATAGGTTAATTTCTAACAAAGAACCATCGTGACTTAGAACTGGCACCCCCAGTCAACCACAGACAGTTGCTGGGAGGATCAGATGGGAAAGAGAATGACTATGTGCTCACCATCTGTTTCCCATATTGCCTGAGAGAAGATCCAGATAATCTGAGTTTTCAGGGCAGCTAGCCTTCACATCAGTTGCCAGAAAGAGAAATGCTTCCTGCCACTTCTAAACTGACCACACTACCATAAGTATACCTCACGTTCAGTGGTCAGAATCTCCATTGCCTGCTGTGATTTGAATAATACGATGCCAAAAAATCTAGAGAACTATGACCCATCTAGATTGTACACTTTTGGGTACAAGTGTTTTAGATGTGACACTTGGTTACTCTGGGGCCTTTCTCTCTGAATTTACACAGGCCTGTCTACCTGCCAAGCAGTGTGGATTTCAGTAGCTTGCCAGAGGGTTAGCCAGACTGGGGTTTAAATTGGGGGCATGTTGCTTAAAATCAGATATTGGCATAGACCTGACATGAACATACTTTTGTAAACATTTAAAAATAATCTTGCCTAGAGGTTTTCTGACCATGGTCTTTAAAGCCCTTGTGGTTGTACGGAGTTCACTTGGGGTTACTCCAGTGGAAGCTTACTGTAGAATTGCTCTATTTCCCGCCCCTCTCTTTTTACGTATCGCGATTTTTCTCTTGAAAGGCAAAGCAGAACTTGGTTTCTAAAATTTTAATGCATGATAGCAGGCATTCGGTAGTTATTGAATGGCCTAAAATATTAAAAATATATGTACTTCGTGAATTTTGGATTAGCAGATGCTAAATAATGTCACTGCTTATGAAAGTGGACCAGACGAAAAGGCCTAGTCACTGAAAGCTGTGTGAATGGTATACAGGTATTCAGGTATACCTTCCTCTTGACACGGTCTTGTGGGTATTTCACACAGCATGGACTGTACCCCCTGGGAAAGAAAGAGGAAACCAAGTGAAGAGAACTCAGAGGTCTTGAGGTCTCTTCATGACCTTTAACTGCTCCTTGTAAATAGGGAAACCAAACACACATGCAATCAAACAACTCCCCAAGCCCATGTGGCTGAAGCCACAAGGCCCAGCTGCCATGAGGGGGTGGGTGATCTGGGTCCATATGTTATTATTCCCATCACCACCAGCTCTGGTGGAGCCCCTCTCTGAGACCCGTCCTCAACACTGCCTAGAGACAAGACACATCACAGGCAGCATCTCCCTTCTGTTGTAGCCAGGCTGAGACCACAGAGAGGTATGGCGGCCCACCTCACTGGGCACTAGGGGAAACCTGCAAGGCCTGAAGTTCTCAAGTTTCCCTCTGTTTGCTGGCCAAATGGGCTCCTCACCTTGTAGTCATGGCTATTTTGCAATTTTCAAAAATCAAGTAAAAGTAGCACTTTTACTAAGCAATTCTTATGCAAATGCACACACATACATGCACACACACACACACACAACCAGGAGATATAATCAATGCAAATGATACCTGCAGGCATGTGAAACGAGCTTGTGCTGGAGACATTGGGTAGACCAGCAAGTATGACTCTGCCCCACAAATCAAAGCATTTTTCCAGCAAATATTTATTAAGTGCCAACTATGTGCTAGGAACCATTTGCAGTGCTACGGATACAGTGATGACTAAAATAGACGACTTCCTGTGCCTCCTGTGCTTACATCCTAATGAAGGAGATAGACGATATGCACACAGACAGATAAATATTCTTACAGGAGGGACAAGCTATCTGGGAGAGCCAGAGAGACCCCAAGAAGGAGAAGTTGGAGCACGGTCCTCAATGAAATGAGAGGGAGCCAAGTGCATGACTGAGGGAGACCCTTCTGGACCAAGGAAACAGCAAATACAAAGGCCCTAGGGAGGAATGTGCTATTCAAGTAAAAGAGAAACCAAGGAGGCTGGGAGAGAACGATGGGAGAAGATGGGCAGGAGACAGCTAGGAATACCACCTGGATCAAATCTTACTGGCCCTTATGATACTTTTGAAGGTTTTGAGTCAGGGAGTGGCATCTATGTGCAGTGTGGTCCACATGGATAAATCTTGAAAAGGGCATTTATCTGTACTGCTGAGGATTGGGCAGTGTCTTTGGTTGAGTATTTAGGGATGGCCAGAGGGCCACTTTTGCTTACAGAAAGCAAGTTCAAGCTCAAGTCTCAGACATTATGGAGCTAATTAGGGAGTGGGCATCACTCTGTCCACATTTCTGTCCTCCCTCCTGCTCCCCATCCTCTGGGACTCACCCTCCACTCCAGGCTTCTAGGGAAGGTGAGCTGTGAGAAAAGACAAAACAAAAGCCAGTTAATTCGAGTCTTTCAACTTGGCCCAAGTTTAGGTAATGGAGGGGCTGATGCTGATTGGAGGTCTGGGAAGTAGCTGAGCAATGTGGGTCTTTTGTGTTTGCTCTTTGCTTTCTTTAGATTCATTTATCCAGCCCCAGCCTTGCTCTTTTATTTGCTTATTTTTTTATTTTATTGCTTCTTTATTTTTGAGCCTTTGAACTCACCCTTCTGGAAAATAGGTTCCCACTTGTACCAGCCCACCCTGTCCACGCCACACCTCTGCCACCTCAGGAAAAACCTGAGGCCAGGAGAGTTGTGATTCTCTTCTTTGATTTCAAAAGGTTTCATGGAAAAAAATGGCTTTGGGAGATAATACAGGAACACTTGATGCACAACACATAATCATTCAGCCTTGCAAATACTTTAAAAGTTAGCTGAGAGACAAATCATAGGCATTGACATCAATTCTCTCTGTGTTCTAACTCCAGGAGAAAATACAAGGGAAAAGGGAAAAGTGGAGGAAATAGGGCTTATCTCCTTCTTCTAAATAGTGACTTCAGAGCTTGGAAATACAAGATGAACTGGAATGCATGCCCTTTCCTGCCTCTTTCCGCTGCCATCAACTCCACATGCTCTCCAAGAAGCCCTGCCAGACCCTCTCCATCCTTCCCTCCTCCTCACCCCAACCTCCGGGTTCCACCCTTCAGTGTCAAAACCACCACCACCACCACCACAGAGTGGGGAAGGAGATGGGAGGAGCAGTGTTTTAACCTGCTGCACATGGACTGAAATACAGCTCTGAAGGCGGAAATAAAAACAAAGCCCTCCCATTAGAATGAAATCCAATCTCCTTGCCTCAGGCCCACTTCCTGCCCCTCCGTGCTCAGGCCACACTCTGGACTCACTGCCTCAAGTGCTTAAGCTCCCTGCTCAAACAGCGCCTGCCCATCGCTCTCCACGCCCCTGCCTCGCTGTATTGCCGTATTGCCTGCATGCTGCTCATCACCTCTACCTTCCGTTGTAGAGCTGTCTATCTGGGTGTGACCTGACCTCTCCCAGGGGGAACGGGCTGCTAAGAGTTGGGACTGCAGGGGCTTGTTTCATGCTGTGAATTAGTTCCTGGCATGCAGAAGGTACACACAAAAACAAATGAGAACAGAAGTTTGAGTAGCATAATACACTAGAAATTACTTCTTATTTATGGTATTCATTTTAGACATGGAGAAAATGAGGCCTAGAAAGGTTAGAGTGGCTTCCCCAAAGCCACATGACCAGGGAGCAGTGGGGTCAGGCCTAGAAGTCCAGGGGTCCTGATTCTTCCAGACTGGTGTTCATCCAAACACCCCACCCTCACCCACAGTGGCCTTTGGTGTGTTCTCTCTGTGTCTCTCTCATGCACACACACACACACACACACACTCCTTCTAATGGGCCACAAGGGAAATCTCAAGTAAATGATATTCAGTAGTAGTTTCCTGCCCCAACATTCAAAATTTGAGCCAAGAGAGAAAGGAAGTTGAGAGCTACTAAGTAAACATTTAAAGCCTACAAGGCAGAGATCTTCTCCAAATTTGACAGATAAAGCACTGGGCCTTGAAGAAGCAGAGAAGGTAAGAGGCTTTGCTCAGTAGCTCCACCAACAAGCTGCGTTGCTGACTCAGAGCCCTTTGTCATAACAGCACTGCTGGGCCCCTCATTAGACTGCCTGCACCAAGGCTGAGGTCTCCTGTTGGTTGTCCCCATCTCTGGTGGATGCCCTTGTGACTGCATGACCTACAGTCTCTCAAGTTCTTAACAAGCCACATCGGCTTTGGGGCAGCAGCCCTACCTTTGATTCAGAGCTTAGGGTGTGTGCCTTCGAGGCTGAGAGGAGTGTGCAGGCATAGCTGGCACTTTCTAGAATGACAGCTCATCTGCCTGCCCACCCCCCCGTGAAGGTGCCAGGGACTGAGATAACCCAAAGGCACTCACCCTCCCAGGAGTACCTCTCATCCTCCCCTGTGCATTAGCTCCTAGGGTCAGTGGATGCTCCCAGCTAGAGATTACTGGGCAAAGCCACCTTTAAAATGAACAAACTTGCACATATAGTTCCCCCAGCTACTCAGGAGGCTGACGCAGGAGGATCACTTGAACCCAGGAGTTGGAGTCCAGCATGGGCAACATGGCAGGTGAGACCCCCATCTCTAAAAAACAAAAAAGAAAAGAAAAATCAATGAGCCCAGCTAGCACTTAGCAAGTGTGGGCATAAACATGCATGTTCAATGTTCAAGCACCAGAGGACACACACGAACACCCCTCACAGTTTTATTTTAGGTCAGAAGTAGGCAACCTTAGAGTTGGAACTTGGAAACAGGCATATGTTAGTGTCATACAGAGGACAGATGAGACAGAATCTGAGGGCCTCCACAGGGCAGAATGAGGCTTAAGAGAGTTCCAGGGAAGTTAATACAGAGAAAGACTTCCTAACAACTAGAGCTGCCTGAAAAAGCAGCAGCCTGTCTGGCACGGCAGTGGCTGCTGTGGCTCAAAGGGTATGGAACATGAATGCACAGCCCCTGAGTAGAAACGCTGAGGGGACTTCAGCCTCCAGGATCCTTCCAACACTAAGACTCTGAGACATCTTGAAATAGTTCACTTACTGCTGTCTGGTGTCAAATCATCATTTCCTAAAGTCACTATGACTCATGGTTCCTGAGGACAACTTTTGTCCCCATATCCCAGAGGTATTCACTTTGAAGTTTTAAGAAAGAAGACAAACTTGTAAGCAGGGAGTTTGTGTTTGGCTGTCAGTGATAACTTACAGATATTTCTCATCTCCCTCTCCCTGTGATATATTTTAAAAGTATATTACTATAGGGAGTATACTTGGAGGAAACTGTCAAAACGTCTTCAAAACCCAAGGAGTTAAAATTGATGTCCTGCTTTCAGAAACAGCCAGGTAAATCCTTCCATTGACTAAAACTCTCTGCTCAGCACCCTCACTCAACTGTCTGGGAGCAATAAGGAGGACTTGCTAATCCTCTTCAAGGAGCAGAGAAATATTTGCCATTACACTTGTGAGCCTGCCATGTGACCCTGGGAAAGCTGCTTAGCTTCTCTGAGCCTCAGTTTCCTCATGTGAAATGTGGAGGTTAGACTAGTGCCTACTGTACAGAGTTACTGGTAGCATTAAATTAAATAATGCATGGAATGCACTTACACTATCAGACACACAATAAATACTAAAAAAAGAGGTTAGCTACCGTTATTATTAACATCATCAGCATCATCCTTATTAGAAATTACTACTGTAAAGAGAGTACAGTACTTATGAATACAACCAGGTCTCTATTCTGGATTTGCCACTCGTAGCATTAGAATAGCACAAACATGTCAGGTTCATCAATGTTTTTCTTGTTGTGCCTGGGATGTCATCCAGGCTGGCACAGGGTGCATGATACTAAGATAAAACACTTCTGAGACAGGTGACATTGCCTACTCTTGCTACCCAAAGTGTGGTCGATAGACCTGCAGCATTGGCCTCACCTGAGAGCTTGCTAGAAAATCAGCCTTGAAGGCTGGGCACAGTGACTCACCCGTGTAATCCCAGCACTTTGGGAGGCTGAGGCAGGAGGATACCTTGTGCCCAAGAATTTGAAGCCAGCCTGACCAATATGGCAAGACCCCGTCTCTAGAAAAAATTTTAAAAAATTAACTGAGTGTGGGTGACATGTTCCTATAGTCCCAGCTACTTGCGGGTACTGAGATAGGAGGATTGCTTAAGTCCAGGGGGTCGAGGTTGCAGTGAGGTATGATCATGCCACTGCACTTCAGCCTGGGCAACAGAGTAATACCCTGATGAAAAAAAGAAAACCAGCTTGGGGAACAACCCTACCTTTGATTCAGAGCTGAGGGTGAGTGTGGGGGAGGGAATAGAAGGGGAGTTGTATAGAGTTGCTCCCTGTGTATTTTTTTAACTGAGCATTAGAGATATTGTTTCCCTTTAAAATGGTCCAACCCCCAACTCCCCACTCAGCCAAACACTCTCATCAACTTGGTATATTCTAGGTGCTCTTGGGCAGTGAAAGACTGTCTTTCTAATAGCATGTGATGAGCCAAAGTAAAATGGATGACTTACTAGATAGAGGAAGCTCATTTTAGAGTTTTAGACCAGTGAAAGGATTTACCTGGCTATTTCTGAAAGCAGGACATCAATTTTAACTCCGGGGTTTAGAGGATGTTCTGACAGTGCCATTCAAGTACACTACCTATACTGATGTGCTTTATAAATATATCACAGGGAAAGAGAGATGAGAAATATATGTGAGTTCTCATTGACAGCCAAACATAAACTCATATTTAAATGAACCACAAAAGCATCTCTGTATTGTGGCCTTCAGAAAATTAGCTGAACATTCCTCCAACATCTGCCACAATGTCTGACATATAATAGTTGCCCAAAATATAACTGATATATTAATTTTTAAATTGTAGCATTTTTTAGTCTCTAAAGAATTAAAGTAATTTATTCTAAAATTCTAGGCCTACCACAATCTGGATACATATGACAGAAAAATACTAAATAACTGTATCTTAAAATTTAAAATTCTCTCTCATATAAAACAAGTGTGGAGATAAGCAGTCTCAGGCTACTTCAAGGCATTATTAATAACCCAGGCTCTTTCTTTTCTTCTCTATAAACTTCAACATATGCCATTCTCAAATCACCTCCTAGCACAAGACGGCTGCTGGAACTCCAGCCACCCCATCTGCAGTCCATGTAGCAGGAAGAAAGGAGGAAATGGATATGCATCTTCCCAGAGTCCCCCAGAATATTTCTGCCTATATCTCATTGTTTAGAGCCAGCCATGTGCCACACTTAATTGCAAAGGAGGGTGGAAAGTGTTATCTTTAATTCTGAGCATTAAGAAGCTCAGCTAAAAATCAAGGTTGGGTGATTAAGGAGGAAGAGAAGATATTGGGATAGGCAACTAGGGATGTCTGCCAAATCTTGAACCCCCTTCCAGCTGAACCTGCCGTCTGCTCGCTCTCATCTGTCCTGCCCTACAAAGATGCTCATGTACTTGTTGTCTTCTGACACGGCACTTCGGTGTCCTGCTCATCGTGTTGTCCTGGCTTGGCATGCCTCTGGCTTCTCTTCGCTGCCAGCGGCTTCCTCCTTCCAGGCTCCTATCAGGACCCTCCTCCTCCACAGAGCATCATGACCTCATTTTCCAGGAGATGCCACTCCTTGCATTTTACCTTGTTGTTAAAAATTTACCTCTAATGTCAGGTGCAGTGGCTCACACCTGTAATCCCAGCACTTTGGGAGGATGAGGTGGGCAGACCACTTGAGGTCAGGAGTTTGAGACCAGCCTGGCCACCAGGGTGAAACTCCATCTCTACTAAAAATACAAAAATTAGCCGGGCATGGTGGCATCCGCCTGTAATCCCAGCTACTTGGGAGGCTGAGGCAGGAGAATCACTTGGACCCAGGAGGCGGAGGTTGTAGTGAGCTGAGATGGTGCCACTGTACTTCAGCCTGGGTGAAGGAACAAGACTGCCTCTCAAAAAAGAAAAAAAAAAAAAAAAAGAAAAGAAAGAAAGAAAATTTACCTCCAAAATGATAGGATGAGCTTGTCAGGCCCAGGACCAATTTTGTTTTTTAACAAAGTTCCTGTCACAGTAAGCTCACCCCTTTTTGTGAATATGCCATACATATTTGGTTTTGTTGTCAATGGCGGTGATAAGCAAGAGCTTGATAAGCAGAGCTGTAAGGTTTGGGTAATATTTCGGTTTGTCAAACTCCCTCGGCTCCTACGAATAATATCACAAAACTGTACTGTCTCTCTAACCCTCTTTGGAGTAGAACTAGTCCAAGGTGCTGTTAGCTAATCTTAAAGGAATATGGAGATGTGGAGAGTGATAAAATTATTGTATAGACTTTACAGAAGACATTAAAAAAATTTTATAAGCCCTATTTGTGGATGAAGTCTGGGTCTCCGGGGTAGTTTTTGGTCTCTGCTTAACTTTGCAGAGTATTGAAGCTCTTAGAATCAGAGGTTAGAAAATTAGAAAATTATCATATTATGAAGTCTTATCTTCCTATTACACAGATGAGCAAACTGAGATAAACTGGGCTTAGAGAGAAAATGTTATGGCCAACATAGAACCAGAGTTAGGAGGCTCTTCTCCAGACACACTCCAGGTTCCTTAACACTGCACCACATCACCAAGTTAGACGACCTTTGTTTCCTTCTCTAAAGACATCTGAGACAAATACTCTATTGGGCCATTTCAGTACCCATTGTTCTTTCTTCTCTAGCCTCTCCTCCTTGTCAGAAGCCCAGACATAGACTCTCCAGTTGAGCAAGGGTAGAGTGAAGAATTTACATGTTAAACTAATCTAGGCCTTTGAAGACCTCGATTTAGAAATGGGGACCCTCAAATCTTGGCTTAGCCTCCCTTTCCTGCCTAGGGCCTGGACACTATGAAGCATTCCCATGATCTAAGCCAACAAGCCATTGTCATTGCCGTATTACATTTACATTTAGACCTTGCCATTGTTTTGGTTTTTTTCTTTTCTCAGATCTCTATTTCTGGACTAAATAGAGAAGTGACATGAAACAGTTCAGCAAACACAGCTGTCTGGGGCAGCCCCATGCCTCTGGGAATGCAGTTGCTTCTCCTCCAGTAACACCAAGGAGCCAGCTCGCACTGAAAGATCATTGGCTACCAAGCTGGCTCTGAGGTGTCTGAAATGCGACAGTTGTTTGGCGTCCACTAATGCTGGTTTTACTCATGAGTTTGGCTTGTTTCTGGAAGCAACCACGGATTATTATGACTACCGAGGCATACTATTTATTGAGTGCTTACGGTGTAAACAAAAAAGGGAATATGCCTGCTTCAAAAAGAAGCTAGCGAAGGCAATGCACATGTCTTGGGAAGAGAAATACATTTCATTTTGGCCGCTCAACAAATGATCCCACAATAGCTCTTGGAGGTCTCCCATCTCACACAAACCTATTCCTCATTCCCTGCCTGAACCAGGGAGGGTGCTGGTACCTGTGAGAGACAGAGGAGGTGTGAAGGAGGTTGGCCACAGCCCGAGTCACACGTCCCCAACCTCTTTTCTTTCCAGAGGGCCACATGGGCTTACATCTCAGCCAAGACAGAATCTCCCTTACATCAAACACTACCCACAGGACATTACAGGGATTCAACAATGCTCCTTCTGAAAGACTGAAAAATGACTCCAACCAGACTCTTCATAGCACCATCAGCTTACTGAAAAGTGGAAGAACTCTAATATCTTCTAATCCAATCTTCCTGGCTTCCACACAACATTCCTATCAGATAATTTTTTTTCCCAAAGACTGGGATTCCCCAGTTTTGTGAGGCAAATTTATTAGCAATGCCCCAGTTTGGTTCTGTAATTGTTCAACACAAAATCTTTGAGTGGCAAAGACTCAGGCTAGAGTAAGAAAGAAACTTAAGACAAACAAATTCTACAGTCTTGTAACTTAAAGATGAGGAGCCAGCTAAGGCTTTTCAGCAGAGGAGTCTCTGGTTCTATCCCTTGCAGCACGTTAGGATCACCTGGGATCTTTGTTCTTCATCTTGCCATTGACGATACGAAGCTTGTACTTCTTCTAAATACAGACTTCTCAACTATCTGGTCCAAGAATGGAACAAAAATGGAAGGCCTCATGTGCTACAAAAGAGGGTTACATTCCATGTCTTTAAAGAAAACCTTCAAACACCTGAAAGTCTCTCTATAAAGCTTCCTCTACTATCTTCCTCAAATGGAATTGACTATTCTCTGCTTTGTGTTCCTAGCATGGCCTAAGAATGTTTTTCATAGCACAACAACAATACTTTATTTGGTGGTATACCAGAGCCGGCTAGTAGCTACTCTCTAAAAAAAAGTAAATCTGAAGAAACTAGCCATATTAGATATTAAACCATATTATTAAACTACAGAAATTTAAAAGAGTTTGTGATATTGCAAGATGACTCAGAAGATCACTGGCTCAGAATAGAGGATAAAATAGAAATGATAAAAGCAGCATTTCTAAGCAGGGTAAGAAAGATTATTCAGTAAATGCTGTGAGGACTTACTGCAATGAAAAAAAAAGTTAGATTCCTATTTTGTTTCTTACATGAATATTAATCCCAGATGAATAATGATGTAAGTACAACATAATGAAACCATGAAAGTACTAGAAGGAGATATTCTTGGCCTGAGGAGATACTTTCTTGAATAAGATACAACCCAGAAATCATAAAGAAGATTGACAAATGTACTACATAAATTTTGCATTAAAAATGCCATAAGTTAAAAGAAAATGAAGTGGTAAAAGATAATTGCAATTCATAGGAGAATGGAGTTAATTTCCCTAATATATAAAGGCCCTTATATAGCAATTTGAAAAAGGGGCATAAATGAATCTTTAAATATATTTTAATGTTTTATTTCATTAAGAATATATCTGTAATATTCTTTAAAAATATTTAGAGGAAAAAAAAAAGAATAAAAAAAAGGAAGACTCATTTGACTCCAACACCCGTTAGTCTTTATAAAAGGGGTTCAATCTTTTTTAAAAATGAGAAAAGGCTTTGAATATGCAGTTCAAAGGGAATAAAAGGGCCAATAAACAATGAAAAGAGTTTTTATCTTATATAAAATTAAAGAAATGCTAATTAAAATGCCATTTTTCACCAATGCTTGTCTAATGTTAAGTCATTTGATAATACCGAGAATATAATAGACAGTCAAACTTTTTGAAGAGCAATTATGTCTTTAAAAATATAAACTGAACAAATCCTTTGACCTGGCAGCTCCATTTCTAGTAATTTAGTTCATATATATACATATATATATATATATATATATATGTATATATATATATATATATATGTATATATATATATATACTTTTATGAGTACATGGAAACATCTTCAGCAATATTTGTAACAAAGAAATGATTGCAATAGGGGAAAGTAAACAATTAAATGCCCATCAATAGGAAGTTGGGGTAACAAATTAAGGTACCTCTAACATGAAATGTACAGCTATTAAAACAAATGAGGTAGATCTGTGTGAATATAAAAAGTTATCTAAGATACAGTAAGAGAACAACACAAGGTGTAGATACATAGAAGCTTATTTCATGTAAAATAGATATGTATGCTTGTATATTTGTAGACATTTCTATAAGAAGACACGAATTATTAGCAGTAGTTACCATTTTTTAAAAATTTAACGTATGCAGAGGCAGTTCTGTACTTCATTTATTGATGCTACATATATAGCAAGTAGAAAGCATACTTGAAACTAAGACATAATATAGTTTATTTTAGGGTGAAAAGAGTGGAATGAAATTGGAGAGGGGCACATAGAAATCTTTAAACATACTTTAATTTTTTTTAAGAATATATCTGTAATACTCCTTACAAATATTTGAAGGGGAAAAAAAAGAAATGACTTACTTGACTCCGACACCCGTTAACCTCTATAAAACTGCTTAAAATAATCAGTGATACAATGATGACTCACTTTTTTTTTTTAATGTGAAAGCCTTTCATGCGTAGGGATTAACATTTCCTTTGAGAAATTGGATCTACTTGGTGGAACATTCTTGTACTGATCTTTCTTGTTTACCAGATTTTTTCTATTAATACAGTCTGAAAGGAACAGTTGTGGTTTTATAGTGTGTCTCTGTTTGTTGTCAAACAGCAGCTGATATTTTATTAAGTTACTAGTAGTGCTGGGGAAATAGCCCCATGAACCCCTTACCTCCCTCACCTGCCTTGGAGATCTCTCACCAAAATTACTGGATCTTTTATAAGACATGGTTCTCCAGCAAAATATTACTGGTAGATATTCTTTGAAACCTAGGAGGGTAAGTCTTCATGTTCTGGAAAAGTTAAAAGTTAAAAATTGTTCACTCTGAGCTGTGGGCTGGGCTCTCAGATCTGCACGGCAGAATTCTCCCTTAAATATTAGGAACTTCTTCCTGCTTACAAATCCCCACTGACACCTTTGGGAACTCTCTGTGCAGGATGGTTCAGAATCCATCACCCAGACTGCTCCCTAAGTGCAAAGAGGAGGGCTGGGTGATGTGGCATTCACTGCCCTCTTGTCTCTCTGATTCAGAAACTCATAGCGACAAAAGATAACAGCACCAAGCAATGAAACTAACATTAGTCAAATGTGGGTGGGAGGCAGCTATTGCTTTGGATACCAAATTAAGTGGCTTATCTTCTTGCACGACACACATTTTACCCTCATAGCATTAAAACGGAGTTTTAAACATGCACGGTGGATTTTCTCCCAAGCACTGTGTCATCAGTATGATGAATATTACTTAGTGAGGGGCACACATCTAAGTCACTTTTTGTATTGTTTTGTTTTGTTTTGTTTTGGAGACAAGGTCTCACTCTGTCTCCCAGGCTGGAGTGCAGTGGCATGATCACAGCTCACTGCAGCCATGACCTCCCAGGCCAGTGATCCTCCCACCTTAGCTTCCTGAGTAGCTGGGACAGAGGCATGTACCACCACGCCAGGGTAATTTACTTATTTTTTATTTTTTGCAGAGATGGGGTCTTGCTACGTTGACCAGGCTGGTCTTGAACTCCTGGCCTCCCAAATTGCTGGGATTACAAGCATGAGCCATGATGCCTGGCCCCTAAAAGTCACTTTTAAGGAGACAGTTTCCTACCCAGAAACCTGGGACAAACTCATTTCAGTAGACAGCCCAGTTGGCTAGTACCAACATCCCAATGGAAAGCATGCTAGCCACAAATTAGCCAAAGAAAGTATTATCGGAAGAAAAAAATTACATTACATATTGCTAGCGTCTGAATATGTCCCCCCAAATTCATATGTTGAAACATAATTACCAATGTGATAGTGTTGAGAGGTGAGGCCTTCAGGAAGTAATCAAGTCATAAGGGCAGTGCCCTCACGGATAGGATTAGGGCCCTCATAAAAGGGCTTAAGGGACCAGGCCCTCACCAGACACTGAACCTGCCAGCACCTTGGTCTTGGACTTCCCAGCCTCCAGAACTGTGAGAAATAAATCTTTATTGTTTGTAAATTACCCAGTCTGTGTTAGAATGTTACAGCAGTAAAAAATGGACTAAGACACATACCCTGCCACGACAAATCCCAGAACAGTACTGTCAGTGAAAAGAGCCAAAGTCTGTAAAATATTTGAAGAGTTTTATTTTGAGCCAAATATGAGTGACCATGGCCCACAGCACTGTCTCAAGAGGTCCTGAGAACATGTGCCCAAGGTGGTTGGGTTGCAGCTTGGTTTTATATGTCTTAGGGAGACAAAAGACATCAATCAATACATGTGAGGTATACATTGGTTAAGTCCCAAAAGGCAGGACAATTTGAAGGGTGGGGACTTACAGGTCACAGGTGGATTCAAAGATTTTCTGATTGGCTGAGAGTTAAGTTATTATCTAAAAACCTGGGATCAATAGAAAGGAGTGTCTGGGTTAAGATAAGGGGTTGTGGCTCCAAGGTTCTTACTATGCAGTGAAGCAGGCAGTTTCCAGTAGTCTATAGGTGGCAGGCCTTTCAGACCATAGATGGCAAATGTTTCCTATTCAATCCTTTAAGAGGTGCGAGACTCTCAGTTAATCTCTTCAAGACTGGGAGGACCTGGTAGAGGAAAGACCTAGTTATGTTAATGGAGATTCTTTACAGAGGCAAATTTCCCCCCCAAAAAAACAGCTTTACAGAGCTATTTCTAAATATGGTGATGAAACATATTTTTGGGGTAAAACATTTTGGTTTCCCTCTTCATCTGTCATGTGATGTTATGAGAGTCAAGTTGGAAAGTAATCCATGTTACATAGGGTTAAATAAAATCCATCTTCTGAGACTTTCTGTTTGTACTGTGTGACTTCTCTGACCCCTTAGGTAGGGATTTAGACAAGAGAGAAAAATGGTCAGAGTTTAGTCCTTGGTATGTTTTGGTGTCTGGGTCTTGCTCTGTCAGCCAGACTGGAGTGCAGTGACACAATCATGGCTCAGTGTAGCCTTGACCTCCTGGGCTCAAGTGATCCTCCCACCTCAGCCTCCCAAGTAGCTGGGACTACAGACACATACCACCATACCTGGCTAATTTTAAAATTTTTTTGTAGCAACAAGATTTTTCACTTTGTTGCCCGGGCTGGTCTTGAACTCCTGAGCTCAAGTGCTCCTTCCACCTCAGCCTCCCAAAGTGCTGGGATTACAAGAGTGAGCCACTGTGCCCAGCCTGGTTTGCACTTTGAGATGCTCTGTTGGCAGACTCCTCAGCAAAGCCTGCTGCCTGCTGTGTCTTCCCACTGGTGCAACAAGCCTGTTGCTCTTTGGGTGTCCTCTGCTCTCCTGTCTCTTTGGGGCTCTGGGAGACACAGGCTTTTGCATATTCACCTCACTCCTGGTCCAGTGTCCTTACTCATTCATCATGGGCACTTTAGGTCTTTCTGCTGTTCCAGATGTTAACAGGTGAATGAAGTCTCATAGTCACCGTATCAACCAGTGGGTACGGCAGCTTTCAGAATAAAACTTTCTTTCTCCAATTCTTTGCATTGTGCTATTATCTATCAACTGGCATATATTGAACACTAGGAGGCTCCAGACCTGCCCTGTCCAGTACAGGAGTCATTAGCTACTTTAGGCTATGGAGCACTTGCAAGGCACCTAATACAAATTGAGATGTGCTCTGAATGTAAAATACACGATGGATTTTGAAGACTTAACACAAAAAAAGTAAAATATCTCAATAATTTTTATACTGATTACATGTTGCAGTGGTAACATGTTAGATATATTGGGTAATTAAAATGTATTAGTAAAATTAACTTTATTGTTTCTTATTACGTTTGAATGTAACTACTCAACAATTTAAAATTACATATGTGGCACACATCTTACTTCTATTGGACAGCACTGCCCAGGACATGTTTATTCAAATGTCTGTTGAGTGCCTATGAGGGTTTAGTCACTAAGCCAAGTGCTAGCTGCATGATGGGGCTTATGAAGAAAATCAAAGCCTTTGCCTTCATGAAGACAGATAGTAATGTAAACACCCTGTGGGTTCTTGCCGGCTTCCCAGATAGAGCCAATTTATCAAGGCAGGGGAATTGCAATAGAGAAAGAGTTTACCACTGCACTCCAGCCTGGGTGAAAGAGTGAGACTGTCTCAAAAAAAAAAAAAAAAAAGAGAGAGTTCATTAGAGTGAATAGGCAACCTACAGAATGGGAGAAAACTTTTGCAACCTATCCATCTGACAAAGGGCTAATATCCAGAATCTACAAAGAACTTAAACAAATTTACAAGAAAAAAACAACCCCATCAAAAAGTGGGCAAAGGAAATAGACACTTCTCAAAAGAAGACATTTATGCAGCCAACAAACATATGAAAAAAAGCTCATCATCACTGGTTATTAGAGAAATGCAAATCAAAACCACAGTGAGATACTATCTCATGCCAGTTAGAATGGCGATCATTAAAAAGTCAGGAAACAACAGATGCTGGAGAGAATGCGGAGAAACAGGAACACTTTTACACTGTTGGTGGGAGTGTAAAATAATTCAACCATTGTGGAAGACAGTGTGGTGATTCTTCAAGGATCTAGAACTAGAAATGCCACTTGACTCAGCAATCCGATTACTGGGTATATACCCAACCCAGTGGATTATAAATCATTCTACTATAAAGACATGCACACGTATGTTTATTGCGGCACTATCCACAATAGCAAAGACTTGGAACCAACCCAAATGCCCATCAATGATAGAGTGGATAAAGAAAATGTGGCACATATACACCATGGAATACTATGCAGCCATAAAAAAGGATGAGTTCATGTCCTTTGCAGGGACATGGATGAAGCTGTAAACCATCATTCTCAGCAAACTAACACAGGAACAGAAAACCAAACACCACATGTTCTCACTCGTAAGTGGGAGTTGAACAATGAGAGCACATGGACACAGGGAGGGGAACACCACACATGGGGGCCTGTTGGGGGGTGGGGGGCTGGGGAGGGATAGCATTAAGAGAAATACCTAATGTAGGTGACGGGTTGATGGGTGTAGCAAACCACCATGGCACATGTATACCTATGTAACAAACCTGCATGTTCTGCACATGTACCCCAGAATCTAAAGTATAAAAAATAAAAAAAAACCTAAAAGATTCAAAGAAACTAGTTAAAAGGCAATAGCAGTCATCCAAGCCAAGTGTTGATAACTTATACTAAGGTGGTAGCAGTAGACATGCTCAGTGGGGAAGTATGTTTCACCTGTCCCCAGTCTTCCAGTTATCTGGGCTCAAATAAATACAAAGACAAGAAAATGTAAATAAATTGATAACGAGGAGAAGCTCAGCTCTCTCTCTACTGTTTCCAAGGAGCTCCAGAGAGGAACTTACATTTTCCCGGTGATCTCGCTCACCCTCGCTCCTGTTCCTTGCTCTAAACTCTGTACTTGATTCTCTGTTCAGCTTGCTCTGAATGTGACCTTCCCGTGCTAATACAAGTCTAGGCGGTGCTAATACAAGTCTAAGGAAGTAGTAAAGCTTCACTGAAGACTAGGGAAAAGGTAACAAAAAACCAGAGTGTGAAAGAGAAAACAACCTTTACTTCATCATCCAACAAGCCTGTTGGCAAAGATCACTTTGGCCATTTCCTCCTCTCTCCTTTTCCTCCAGTTCCAGGGTCCAAACTCCTTTTCTTGAGTTTCAAAGAGAAAATGTAAAAGTCTCCCACCTTCTTACTCAGAGCCAGTTAGTGTTACTGCCCTCTTTCTCTTGACCTTACATCCAGACGCAGCTGGGGCTTTGCCTTCTAGAAGTACATGGCCCCAAAACAGAAGGATACATTTTCCTTGGTCGAGTCCCTTTAACATGAAATCATCTGAAATTAGGTTTTTAAAGAGAATTTTCTTTTTCCCACATTGGTATGACCTCATTTAATCCTCATATGAAGTGGATGTTGTGAAGCAGAAAAGAGAAGCTAAGAGAGGTGGCAGAGTAAGTTGCTCCAAATTATATAACAAGATCAAGAGAAGATTCAAAACTGAATCCAGCTGAAACCCTGGACCCATCACCACCAGCCTACACCACCTCCCCTGCAGAGATGGGCCCAAGGGCAAGGTCATTATTATCTCCTCACAGCACCACCACCTACTCCCTCTCCCTTTTGGAAAGCCACTTTTCACCTTGATGACTAGAAACTCAATAATAAATTTTGCAGAAATTGTATAACCAAAACCGCATTCTAATTTAGTGCCATTTTTCCTCTTAAGGTTGTTATTGTTGTTTTCTCTAAAGGACAATTATCTGTGTGCCCAGGAGCTGGTAAGTCACTCAAATTTATTCTATTTCAATAAAAAGCAATAGTCGGCCGGGCGCGGTGGCTCACGCCTGTAATCCCAGCACTTTGGGAGGCCGAGGCGGGCGGATCACGAGGTCAGGAGATCGAGACCACGGTGAAACCCCGTCTCTACTAAAAATACAAAAAATTAGCCGGGCGCAGTGGCGGGCGCCTGTAGTCCCAGCTACTCGGGAGGCTGAGGCAGGAGAATGGCGTGAACCCGGAAGGCGGAGCTTGCAGTGAGCGGAGATCGCGCCACAGCACTCCCGCCTGGGCGACAGAACGAGACTCCGTCTCAAAAAAAAAAAAAAAAAAAAAAGCAATAGTCACCTATGGAGATCCCAGGTGAAATTGTAACAGAATTCTTTGAATTCTCCTAAACAAGGAAGAGACGGTCAGAGTTCAGAACACTTCCTCTAAGTAGGCAAGGATATACTAGCATCTTAGTGGGAAATAGAAAACAAAAAATTGCAAAGGCTGTGGTGGTGGTGATAATGGTAAGAAGAAGAAAGAAGAAGGAGAAGGAGAAGGAAGAAAGGGAGGAGGAGAGGGAGAGGTAGGGGGAGGGGGAGGGGGAGGAATCATCAACATTTATTGTCACTTGGTGCAAGCAGGAGGAGGAAAAGTCATCAACATTTACTGTCATTTGGTGCCATGCACTGCACCAAGCACTTTACATTCATTGACTCATTTAACTCTCACATCAACTCTGTGAAGTTGTTCCTACTGGTATCCCCATTTTACTGCTGAAGAAACTGAGTCTCAGACAAATTTACCAACTTGCCCAAGATCACAGAGTCTAGATGTTTTATTTTTAAAACATATGAACTTCTGGAGCATTTTAGTAAGATAACCTGGACAGAAACATGTGAAGACTGGTCCTCAGAGCCTCTTCCAGATAACAGAACATCTAGAAAAGACAACATCAATTGGGTGTTACTGAGAATTGGTGTATGAACCAGATGCCACTGCCACACCTACTGATAAATTAATTAGGGCAGCAATTAATTTAGTTTTGGTTGCACCGATTTAATCATTGAATATTTATTCAAGTCATCACAGTGGAATGAATTTGGTTGATGCATTCATTTACTAATTTATTAATTCATTGATTAGCTGACACATGCCAGCTACTGCAAGGCACTGAGGATACAAAGATTCATGAGACTGTACCTGTCTTCAGGTCGTTCAGAGCCTAGAACGGGACCATAGGCTTGGCAGGGTGGGATTTTTCCTGTCTCTGCCCTCTCAAGCTGGCACCTTCAAGGCTAAGGTAATAGAAGGAGTCCTTGTGTATTGCCACAGAAATGCATTCTTAGCATCAGAGAAAGGATTGTGTCAGCAAGTGTGTAACCTTCCCCATTTGTTTTTCAGACTTTGTATTCTGAGGTCAGACCTATACGGTGCTTCCTTTTTCCTTTCTTTTCCGTTTTTAGGAGCAGAAGCTACCTTTCCTGCGTATCCAACAGGAGACCTGTGTGGAGCATAAAATGGAGACAGATGCATGTGGCTGAGACACAGCAGACAGCGAACCTTTGCAGGGGATGGCAGTGAGGATCCAGGAGAAGGGAAGGACCATCCAGGAGGGGAGAGAGGCCTTGAGAGAACTACACTTGGTGCCAGGTATTGGGGGGTGGCCAGGAAGGTGGTCCTGGGGAAGGAGCTGTACCCACAAATGTTTTACATCCAGCAAAATAACATTGTCCATCTTATTAAATAAATGTTGCTTCTTTGAATTGTATTGAATTTGTGGTGTTTAAAATTTAATTTGTAAACGTATTTTGGTTTAAACGTATCAGTAATAAATCTGATTTATAAATAAAAATATACTTGACTTTATATATACAGATAGTCTTCCCTTATCTGTAGTTTTGCTGACCGACAGACAACTGAAGTCCAAAAATATTATACACAATAAGACATTGAGAGAGACACCACATTCACAGAACTTTTATTGTAGTAAATTGTTATAATTGTTCTATTTTTTATTATTCATTTCTTACTGTGCTTAATTTATAAATTAAATTTCATCATAGGTATGTATGTCTAGGAGAAGCTTAATATATATGGGTTCCATACTATCCATGGTTTCAGGTGTCCACTGGGGATCTTGGAACATAACCCTTGCAGGTAAGGGTGCACTACTCAATGTACTAGGATGTGGAAATTTAGTAAAAACAACTCTGGTATTCATAGACTTATTTGAATAATTTTTCCATTTTCAAAATTACAGTATAATTAATATATAGTAAAACGTACCCTCTAGTGTACAGTTCTGTGAATTTCGACAAACATGTATAGTCGTGTGGCCACCGCTGTAATCAAAATGTCAAACGATTTCATCATCCCAAAAATGTCCCCCATGCTACTTTGTGGTTAACCCTGCCTATCACCCTGGCTCCTGGCAACCACTGATATGTTTTCTGTCTCTATAGTTTTGCCTTCATAAGAATGTCACATTAATGGACTTGCACATTATGTAGCCTTCTAAAAAACGAAAAAATCTTTGTTGAGGTATAACTGACATCTAGTAAATTGCACATATTTAAGGATACAATTTGGTGGTAAGTTTTGACATATGTAAACACTCATGAAACCATCATCACTATAAAGATAATGAATATATCCATCATTCCAGAATGTTTCCTCACACCCCTTTGTAATCCCAGCTCCCATATTTCCCTGGTCTCCCATTCCCACTAATCTGCTTTCTGTGACTATAGATTACTTGGCATTTTCTAGAATTTCATATAAATGGGATTATTCGGTATGCAATCTTTTTTGTCTGGCTTACATTCAGCATAATAATTTTGATATTCATGTGTCTTGTGTATCAATAGTTTGTTCCTTCTTACGGCAGAGTAGTATTCCATTGTAGGGACATAACACAATTTGTTTGTACTTGCATGTGCTAAGGGACATTTTTTTTTTTTTTTTTTTCAGTTGTGGACTATTGTAAATAAAGCTCCTATGAACATTTGTGTACAAGTCTTTGATTGGGCTTTTTTCACTTGGGTAAATACCTAGTAATGAAATGGCTGGGTCATACAATAGGCACAGGTTGAACTTTTTGAGAAGCTACTTATTATTTCCCTAATAACTAATGCTGTTGAGCATCTTCTCATGTGCTTATTTGTCCTCTGTATATCTACTTTGTTGAAATGTCTGTTCAGATCTTTTGCCTTTTTTTTTTCTTTGAGACAGGGTCTCTGTCTGTCACCCAGGTTGGAGTGTGGTGGCACGATCTTGGCTCACTGCAACCTCCCCTTCCTGGGCTCAAGCAGTCCTCCCACCTTAGCCTCCTGAGTAGCTGGGGCCACAGGTGCATGCCACCATACCCGGCTAATTTTTTCTATTTTTTGTACAGACAGGGTTTTGCCATGTTGCCCAGGCTGGTCTCAAACTCCTGGACTCAAGCAATCTGCCCACCTCATCCTCCCAAAGTGTTGGGATTACAGGTGTGAGCCACAGCACACTGTTCTATTTTTTTAATTGAGTTATTTTGTGATTTTTAGATATAAGTTCTTTATAACATATGTGATTTGCAAGTATTATTTGTTCCAATGTGTGGCTTATCTTTTGATTTTCTTATACACATCTTTCAAAGAGCAGAAGTAAAATAGCTCCCCCTCATCCAGGAGGAATACATTTCAAGACTCCCAGTGGATATCTGGAATGGTGGATAGTACTGAACCTTACATACTATGTTTTTTTCCTATATATAATACCTACGATCAAGTTTAATTTATAAATTAGGCATAGTAAGAGATTAACAATAATAAATCAGAACAATTATAATAAAATGCTTCTATAAGTTATGTGAATGTGGTCTCTCTCTATCTCAAACATCTTACTGTACGTAACAATTTTGGACCATGGTATTCACTGCGGGTAATGAAACCACAGATAGTGAACTACAGATAAGAGGAGACTACCATACTTAATTTTTATGAAGTTTAATTTTTTTTCTTCTTTTATGGCTCAAATTTTGGTTATACAGCTAACAAATCTTTGCCTAACCCAAAGTCACAAAGATTTTCTTCCGTGTTATCTTAAGAACTTTTATAGTTTCAAGTTTTACAGTTAGGTCTATATTCCATTTTTAGTTATTTTTGTATAGGTTACAAGATACAGAACAAGGTTCTTTAAAAATAGTTTGGGTGAACTCAAGTTTCAGAAACATTATAATGTTTTCTCAAGGCGCTTGGTTGAAAAGGGAAGGGAAGAATCAGGTAGTATCAAGAAGGAGGTATAACATTAAGAGAGTCTAGGATTTTATTTTTTTTATACAGCGGAAAAGTTGGAAATGTCTTAGATCACATAGACCACTCGAGGGGAAGAGATTGAAAAACCAATAAAAAAGATTCTCCTCATTACAATGGAAGCTCAACTTTGACCATCTTAATTATGATGACTACATTCCCAGCATCAGCACAGTGGCATGCATATAGTAGGTGTTCCATAAAATGTTATGGAAGGAGAAAAACAAGGCATGAATGCAAAAGGAAATGGAACTAAGAGTATAGTTATGGAAGGAGACTTGAATCAGCCTCAGTGACTAGAGAGAACAAACTCCCAGAAAATGAGCAAACGGAGATAAAATGGTAGAGAAGTCCAGGAGTTCACACCGCATAGCCTTTATCATCTTTTAAATTATGAAGCAAGGCTGTCTGCTGGGGATGGGGAAAGGAATATGGAGGAGACCTGAGGAGTCCGCAGCAATACCCCATGCGGGCAGGGAGGAAGAGCATCCACTGTGTGCTGAGTTAGGTGTTTCAGGAGACACTGTGCAAGATGGGATTCCCTACCATTCAGCCTTAAAAAAGAAGGAAATGCTGTCATTTGCAACAACACAGATGAACCTGGAGAACACTACACTAAGTGAAATCAGCCAGGCACATAAAGAGGACTACCACATGATCTCACTCATATGTGAACACTCTATTTAAGGGTGTTGCTACTTTGCAGGGCCAAGATCAGTGGTACCAAAATTTGAGAAATGGGAAAGAAGGAGGCAGGAGGTGGAGGGTAGGGAAGATGAATTCACTTTCTGACACACACATTACCTTTCAGACATCATCTGAACAATCACACAGGCAGCATGAATCTGTAGGTTACTAGGGTCTAAATAAACACTGAAAGGTCAAGGATGGAGAGGGAAGTTTGGTAAAACCCTGAGTGACTTGGGGTAGCAACAAGTGGGGGCATGTGATAAGGAATGTCCCACAATACAGAGGTGAAAGAGCAGTAGGCACAAATAAGAAAAGAAGAAAACAAACCTACCCTAATAGAAGAACCAAGCTTGCTACTGACATCTAATAAAAAGTGGAGATGCCCTGGCACTGACCTATTTCTTACAGGCCTTTAGGCTATTTCAAAAGTATGTATGTCAGGAATTTGATTACTAGAAGCAGAAATACTTACCTGTGATATATTTCTAACACCACATAAGCTATTTGTTCATAAATCTGTCCCACCAGATTAAGCAACTGGCAACATACATGGTTTCATTCTCTACATCCCTGACTGCTAGCAGTTTCTAAGTCAGAGTAGCTACTCAAATGTCTACTGACTTTTATTTTGCTATAAATAAAATTTTGCTATTATACATAAGAAGCCAAATGACACAATTTTGGACTCCCTAAGGGGGATGGGGTGAGGAGATACATACAGCATCAAAAGAATCATTTGTAGCTAAAATATTGTCCTCAGAAAACTGGACATGCACTTACTGATTTTTGCCCTGTTGATTGGTCCATTGAACGCTGTATAGTTCACTTGCGTTTCCATTGAGCCAAGGAGGGTAGGAACTCTTGACTGCTTTCAGGCCACTGGGGCTCCTGCATTTATATGCTTGACAGTCTTACACTGCGAGGAAACAGACAACTAACAAATGCCTCTGAAACTCATTTCTTATATGTCTGAAATGAAACGAGCAACGTAGGTTTAAATTCCAGACACCCAAATAATTTTTTTACCCCAAAAGATCTATCTCCAAGGAACTTCTCCAAAAAGTAAAGTAAAATTTTTAACAGTGTCACCTTTTTCTGAATTCCCAATATGGGCTATGCAAGCTGGTATAGCTACACTTTGAAGAAACAAATATATTGAAAAGAAAAAAAAGCACAAGGTTTCCTTTGACTTTAATGAGTAGACTTTCAGCTCATTTCCTTTAAAATGCTGCCCCTGAATTGCAAATTACTTCATGGTCTTTATTTAGTGAGCTCTCTTCCTAGACTGACAGAGCCAGCTGCAGAATTGTACTGTCTATGGAAATAATATCATCAGCACTTTGTCGCTGAATAAGACCACAATCATTACATTTGGCTTCTTTTCACACAGGAGGAACTGAATATATGCTTGTTTACAGCAACAATATTCAGAAAGTTATCACTTTTGTACTCTATCAGTTGGTAACTTAAAATCAAAGGAAAATTTAGCATGAAATACCTGAATCCCTTTTTAAGGTCATTTTAATTTTAGTACATTACTAATACTTAAACTATTAGCTTTTTTTCTAGGATTCAAAGAGCATATTAATTAATTTTGATATTCAGTCAGAGTAGAAAGTATTAAGAAATCAATTTATATTCATTATACATATTTATATTTCTTATCTTTTTCTGTTCCAACTTAGAAATAAAATTTTTGAGAACCACATTCACTGTGAAAAATGTTGTATAAATTTATGTGACATATTTTATTCAAGTGAAGTTCTTATCTAGCAAATATTAGAAAAGTAGCCCATTAAACTATAAATAATTTTAATTTGGCTCTCACCAAGTATGAAAATAAGCAAGTAATTTTATAATTTGAAAAAAGATTTTACATTTTCTTTACAAAATAACCACCACTCTCTCTGACACTATTTAATAAAAGCTTTATTAAAATGAAGCCAAAACATTAACACCATTTATATGTACAAGACCATTAAACATTTTTTCTATCTTTAATAAATGTTCTTCCATTTTTGTCATTTATTACTTTCCTAATTTGAAAAATTGATTAATGTGAAGAAACATTACTAAATTAAACAAATGTAAAGTTTAAATTTAATTATTAAATGGTTGAGTTTAAAGTTGACAGCTAGTTTAAGGTAGAAGACCTTCATAATCCAATTACTTTTACTTGGTTTCAGAACTACCCCTAGGCAAATTCTCCTAAAATAGAAACTACATGCAAGAAAAACACAAGCGATGTTCATCATTTAAGATAAACTTTAAAAGTTAAATTTTTAAAATTAATTTTAATAAAAATTGGTTTGTTACCAGTTAGCTATATAACCTAGAGCCAATCAATCTCTGTGTGTTTTCTCTTTTGTTAAATGTAGAACTTAATTCTTGCTCTATATACCTCTCAGGATTGTGAGAATAAAGATGATACATGTCAAATCAACTTGGAAATTATGGCACTATTGTAGAGGTGGCAAGAAATGGGAAATACTTTAGCAGACATATTGGACTAAGTTCCCAGCCAAGAACCAAATAATTTAAAAAATATTTAAGTGCAAAGAAACCACTAAGGCAACATGTAACCTCCTTTTACTAACAAATAGATGTAGTAATAAGACAAATCCAGGCATATAGTACTTACATCACTTTATGATAATACATGCTAAGGAAAAGTAAAATTGGCCAAACCCTGAAAGTTTCTGTTCTGTATATGTATGGACACCCCCAATGCATGCCATGCTGGTAGTGGGGATATGGAGCTGAATGGGATCGAGTCACTGCCCTCCAGAGGCTTGCAGTCTGGAACGACCTGCTGAAAATAGACAAAAATCCCGCACTATGGCAACAGAGAAAGACGTGCTGAACCGTCTTCCAGATCAGGCCAGGCCTCCCAGGCTGATGGGAGAGCTCAGTCTTCAAGGATATGTCAAAGATTGCTATGTGAGAAAAGGAAGGAAAAGGCATTCTAGGTGGAAGGAACAGGCTAGATCAAGGCATGAGACAGAAAGAATAGATGTTTAGAATACATTTAATTATAATAACCAGTATTCAATATTTTAGAAATTGTTAAAAAGACAATCAGCAAAACCACTATTTATTGAGGTTCCAAAATATATTGGGCTTGTGTTAAGGGCTCTGATACATACTTAGTTAAAAATATAATGAAACTAAGGTCCAGGGATGTTACTTAGCTTGCTGATAATGTTGTGGGCATATTAATAGGGTGTCTTTTTTTCACAGTATCAGGCTGATGATTTTTCTTGGCACCATATCCTACTTACAGTTAGCTTTCTAAGAAAAAGATCAGGTAAAGTTAAAACATTTTTAAAGTTCTCCAGTTTGATTCTTATCTGTAGGCACATCTTTGTAATAAACGTAAAATAGCAGCATTCTTTACATGGCATAAGGTAGTTACAATTCCTTCCAAAGGAATAAGAACTAGGAAATTCCTGGGAATAGTCATTATAGGTCAATTTGACTCAACCAATTGTCTACTGTTTCTGAAGAACTTTTAAAAAGCTTTATTGCTAATCATTCTTCCCTGCCACTTGCCTTCTTACCTCAAATGTAAAAACTGAGTAACAAAAACTTTAAGGCAAAGCTCTTATTTTACAATATCATTTCAGGATTAAAAACAACAACATGAATTGAGTCACAACTATGTGCTTGGATCATAGAACTAGTTTACTTTCTTAATTGAATTAACATAACAGCATCATTTTAAGATTTGTGTAACTAGAGCAGGGTATGGTGGTGCAGGCCTGTAGTCCCAGCTATTCAGGAGGCTCAGGCAGGAGGATCACTTGTACTGAGGAGTTGAAGTCCAGCCTGGGCAACACAGTCAGACCTTGTCTCTAAAACTAAAATAAATAAATAAATAAATAAATAAATAAATAAATAAATAAATAAATATGTGTGTACCTGAGGCAAAGAACAGGCAGAAATACTGATGATCATTCTGCCAAGTTGGCAAAGAAGCCTTGCCCTTTTTTTTTCTATTAGCAGTACTTAATGTTCACTACATTCATTCATTCACGAGTTATTTTTTATATAAAGGTCATTAATGACATTAAATTGCCTATTATAATGGCCCAATGTAAACATCAGCAGTTTGTCAGCAAGAAAAGCTTCATTATTCACAAATGCTGGTCAAGTCTTGCTACTAATTCATTTGATGACAGAATGACCAACTGCCCCTTAAGCTGACAACCCTTCCCCTCCACTGCTATCACTGCAAAAACACATTGTCCCCTATCTGAACATGATAACCGAGTGTCGTTTCTGGGTAACACTGAGGTGATTCAAAACACACTTCATAATTAACAATGTGAATTATTTCACATCATCCCATCTCTTTATCATACCGTCATTCTTCCAGGCAGCAAGCTCCAACTGCTCTGTGCCTCCTTCCTCTCTTTCTCCTCATATCTAGTTACCACAACTCCTCTTCTGCCCAGACCAGTCCTGCAGGAATGTTTTTCTTCTTCTTATCCCCCTTTTTCATGAATTAAAAAAAAAATTATTTTTAGTTGACAAATTGTATGTATTTATGGGGTATAATGTGGTATTTTGATATGCTGGAGTAATTATTAATAGTGCCTTCTTTGACTCTTAAGCATGTCCCATTTTGGCTGATAACTTATATGGTTACTTACCCATATTCCATTAGATATCAAGTTTATCTTTGCCTTCTCTGCCTTGTTTCAGGCCTTCATTTTCTTTCACCAGGGATAATATAATAATCTATTTATGATGTTATCCCCAGTTTCCTCTCTTTTCAACCCATCTTTTAGAAGTTGCCACAATAACTTTCATTTTAAGAGGCTGGCCTTAAACTGTTATTCCCAGGCCAGGTGCAGTGACTCATGCCTGTAATCCCAGCACTTTCGGAGGCCCAGGTGAGAGGATCATTTGAGTCTAAGAGTTTGAGACCATCTTGGGCAACATAGCAAGACCACATCTCTAAGAAAAAAAAAAAAAAATTAGCCAGGCGTGGTGGTATGTGCCTGTAGTCCCAGCTACTTGGGAGGCTGAGGTGTGATGATCACTTGAGCCCAGAAGGTCAAGGATGCAAAGAGCCATGATCATGCTACTGCACTCCAGCCTGGGAAACACAGCAAGATCCTGTCTTAAAACAAAATAAAACAAGCAAACCTTCAGTGGTTCCCCAATGCCTACTACTACTGCCACCTCACTTTAGTCTATAAGGACTGTTGACTCTTGCTATCACTGTCTCTCTTCATATAGCCTCCAGTACACCTGATGTGAACTATTCACTTTACATTTGGAGTGGGTTTTTGTTTGTCTGTTTGTTTGTTTGTTTGAGATAGTCTCATGGTCCCCTGGGCTGGAATGCAGTGTTGCATGTTGCAATCATGGCTCACTGTAGCCTCAACCTCCCAAGATCAAGTGATCTTCCCACCTCAGCCTCCCAAGTAGCTGAGACAACAGGCACATGCCACCATGCCTATTTTTTTTGTTTGTTTTTTGTAGAGATGCGGGTCTCACTATGTTGCCCAGGCTGGTCTCAAACTCTTGGGCTCAGGTTCTCCTCCTGCCTGGGCCTCCCAAAGTGCTGACATTACAGGTGTGAGCCACCACACCCAGCCCCTTTGGGTGTTTTTAAATATAACTTTGGCATTTATAACAAATGCAACCACATGTTAGATCTTATTAGAAGTACTAAACTTTTAGGACACCAGATCAGGTTGAAGAGTATTTTGAGTACAGCAGTTAAACCATTTAAAAAGACCATTACCATTTACAACTAATTCTCTGCGGGCATTTGATGTCATTACTACACAGCCAAAAAGAACCTATCCCACAAACCAACCAACCACCAAACCATCTAAAGCAAAACACATAATATCAAGGCATAAGCTAAAAAGGTAATCTCTTTACATCTGCAATAATTGGTAAGAACTCTGTCAAAATCAGACTTGCACTGAAGGTTGCAAATGGCATTGCATCAGTGAATTTTTACCAATCACCTTTTGTTGTTGTTGTTGTTGTTGTTTTTTAATTTCAACTTTTATTTTAATTTCAGGGGATTTATGTGCAGGTTGTTACCTGAGTGTATTGCATGAAGCTGAGGTATGGGGCATAAATGATCCCATCACCGAGGCACTGAGCATAGTACAATAAAGCTTTTCAACCTTTGGCCCCCTTTCCCTTACCCCTCTAATAGTCCCCAATATTGCTGCCATCTTTATGTTCATGAGTACCCAATGTTTAGCTCCCACTTATAAGTCAGAACATGTGGTATTTGGTTTTCTGTTTCTATGTTAATTCGCTTAGGATAACAACCTCCAGCCACATTGCAAAGGATATTATTTTGTTCCTTTTTATGGCTGCATAGTATTCCACTTACCAATCATCTTGATCTCTGAACTGAGAGCTTCATCCCATTTACTTAATACAACTTTTGTATTCCTTCCCATCCCTATTAGATGATTCTTTAAAGACAAAATGATTCAGCAATGTTTTCTGATTATTGGTATAATGCGCTCAATATAGAATATCTGTAACATACAAAATCGTAATCAGAAAAATACTGGTTGTAATGTTGCCGCCTACAACTCCTAATGTTATAATACATTTCTTTCTTCTTTTTTTTTTTTTTAAAGACATAGTCTCACTCTGACACCTAGGCTGGAGTGCAAACACAGCTCGCCGCAGCCTTGAACTCCTGGGCTCAAGTGATGCTCTCACCTTAGCCTCCTGAGCAGCTGGGACTATAAGGTACCTGTCACCATGTCTGGCTAGATTTAAAAAACATTTTGTAGAGACAGGGTTTCGCCATGTTGCCCAGGCTGATCTTGAGTTCCTGGGCTCAAGCAGTCCTCCGGCCTCAGCTTCCCAAGGTACTTTCCTATCTTTTTTCTATGTTTTTTGTTCTCGCATAATTCAGATGATAGATGTAAAAGTTTATATTATAAAAAAATTGTTTATCCTGTTTAACATGTCACAACCATTAATAATTTCCTCATATTATTTAAATCTGTTAAAATATTTAATGGTAGCATGTTTTATCATATAACTCAACTGTTTTTAATATGATGGACATAAATGGATGGACACTGGGTGACTTTTCTGAATGAACACAGGACTTCCTACACAGGACTGGCATTTAGGGCTGACAGCATAGATGGACACATTGGTGGGAGAGCATCCTAGAAGCAGAAGACTGGCCGTCTATGGTAGATAATAAAAGTTGTTCATTATTCTTCCCCAACATTAAAAAAAGGTCAGCTGAGAGATTGTATACATCTTTTACCTTCTACCCTTCCCAAAAGGAGTCAATGATTAGCATAGGCTGAATACATTATAAGCCGGTTAACAAGTAAACTGCACAATAAAGGCTAAAGATCACAGAAACCTTGTGGGCGGAGGGAAGCTTTGCACTGCCCACTGCTGGAAGGACTGGTGAACATGTAGCATGACCTGAAGATGCCCAGAGTGGTGGTGGCCTGTGACAGTAGTCAACAGGTTTACAAATCTTAATATAAAGTGTCTTAATATAGAGATGGCCGTGTATATGCTGAAGAATTGACCAGGATGTGGGGAATCTTTTCGGAAGACAATTAGGCAACAGGCTACCAAAGCCTTTTAAAAGGCCATATGCTTTGACACAGCGATTGGACTTGTGAGAATTCATTCTATGAAAAATAAATCCAAATGTTAACTACAGTAAAATTACTGCAATGGTAAGAAATAAGGAACAACAATGTACATCAACATTAGACTGGTTAAATAAATTATGTCATGTCCAAACAGCAAACACAATATATCCATTAAAATGTTTTATATGTAAATGATGTTTACAGTATATCATGGAAAAATAAAGAAGTTTTTGGAATTCTGTATTCAAAACAAACTAAGAAATGTATACTCATTTGTTGCATAAGGATGGGGATTTGTTCTAAGAAATGCATTACAAGTGATTTCATCACTGGGTGATCATAGAGTCTATGTATGCAAACCTGGATGGTATAGCTACATGGTATAGCCTATTGTTCCTAGGCTACAAACCTGTACAGCCCGTTACTGTACTGAACACTGTAGGCAATTCTAACACAACGGTTATGTATTTGTGTATCTAAACATAACGTAGGTACAACATATGTTACTTGGGTGATGGATACACTAAAAGCTCTGACTTCACCACTATGCAACCTATAGATGTAACAAAATTGTACTTGTACCCCATAAATTTATACAAAATTTCTTTAAAAGATAAAAAAAATGGTACACCTGTATAAGGCACTTAATGTGACTGCAGTTTGCAGGACTGGAAGTTGCTCTGGGTGAGTCAGTGGTGAGTGAAAGTAAAGGCCTAGGACGTTACTGTACAGTACTGTAGACTTTATGAACACCCTACACTTAGGCTAAATTTATTTTAAAAACAAACCGTGCTACAATATTACAACAGTTACAACATCACTAAGTGATAGGAATTTTTAAGCTCCATTACAATCTTACAGGACCACCACCGTGTATGTCATCCACTGCTAACTGAAACCCTGCTATATGTCCCAAAGTGTTGGTAACGGTTATCTCAATTTGACTTATGTCTCTTTTCTGATTTTCACTCAAAAGAGTCATGTATATCTTATGTAATTTTTTAAAAATTTTATTTATTTATTTTTTTGAGATGGAGTCTCGCTCTGTTGCTCAGGCTGGAGTGCAATGGCACAATCTTGGCTCACTGCAACCTCCACCTCCTGGACTCAAGCGGTTCTCCTGCTTCGGCCTCCTGAGCAGCTGGGATTACAGGCACGTGCCACCGTGCCCAGCTAATTTTTGTATTTTTAGTAGAGACGAGGTTTCACCACGTTGCCCAGGCTGGTCTTGAACTCCTGACCTCAGGTGATCCACCCGCCTTGGCCTCCCAAAGTGCTGGGATTACAGGTATGAGTCACTGCACAAGGCTGATTTTTTTTTTTTTTTTTTTTTTTTGAGACAGAGTCTCACTCTATCATCCAGGCTGGAGTGCAGTGGTGTGATCTTGGCTCACTGCAACCTCTGCCTCCCAGGCTCAAGCGATTCTTATGCCTCAGCCTCCCAAGTAGCTAGAATTACAGGCGTGCACCACCATACCCAGCTAATTTTTTGTATTTTTAGTAGAGAGGGGGTTTCACCATATTGGACAGGCTGGTCTCAAACTCTTGACCTCAAGTGATCCGCCCACCTCAGCCTCTGAAAGTGCTAGGATTACAGGTGTGAGTCACCAAGCCTGGCTGTAATTTTTTAGGCCAGGTGCAGTGACTCACAACCGTAATCCCAGCACTTTGGGAGGCTGAGATGAACAGATCACTTTAGACCAGGAGTTCGAGACCAGCCTGGCCAAGATGGCAAAACTCTGTCTCTACCAAA
Organism: Homo sapiens; assembly: GCF_000001405.40. Taxonomy (NCBI): domain Eukaryota; kingdom Metazoa; phylum Chordata; class Mammalia; order Primates; family Hominidae; genus Homo; species Homo sapiens. Next base: position 151,794,763 of record NC_000002.12, read on the forward strand.
AATACAAAAAAATTAGCCAGGCATGGTGATGCATGCCTGTAATCCCAGCTACTCGGGAGGCTGACGCAGGAGAATTGCTTGAACTTGGGAGGCGGAGGTTGCAGTGAACCAAGATCACACCATTGCACGCCAGCCTGGGTGACAGAGTGAAACTCTGTCTCAAAAAACACACCACTTTATATGCTGAAAAGATAATTATAAAAATTTAAGCAGTATACTAGGATGTGTTTTGCACACACATCTGCAAAAACATGACAAAAGATAATATATTCACTATTTAAACAGAGCTCCAGTGGTGAAATTGGTTAGCACATGATACTTATATTTACTGTTTTAAGAATTTAATTTATTCACAAGAACACCAAGATTATAATAAATGAATAAAGCAAAAGAACAATTCAGAGGGTATTAAAACAGCAAAGAAAAATAGTCTCAATAACTAAATAGGTGCAAAATATAACAATATGCTTATCTCTCTATTAAATCGGAAAGGGTTTTGTTGTTTAACATATAGTGAAAATTTGAAATAGGCACCCTCAAATCCCATCCTACCATTTAATCCAGTAGTTTCACCTGAGATTACAGCCAGAAGAAATAATTTTAAATATGAAAAAACACACTAAGTAGATGGCCATTGCAATGTTATTTGTAATAATATAGGAAATACAGTAGAATATAATTTGGGGATCTAAATATATTGGAATTGTTTCAAAAAGATTTTTTCAGTAAACATCTATTTTGGTATAGAATAACTGGCTAGAATGCAAAGTATGTAATGATGAAAATAATGGGTCACCTAGGCATCCCAACTCATGGAATCCCAAAAGGGTGGTAATCAATCATAAGGAACACATTCAAAAGGACTGTTAGAGGTTATTCTAATGTTGTGAAAATCTCATCAATTTCATGGGACAAAAGTTATTTACTAGCAAAAAGGGGATATTCCAGATATTAAAAAATGAAGAACAAGCATAAAAGATGAATAAAATGACACAGCTGTTTTTCCAAAAAAGCTGGTATACCATTTACTATTTCAGTATCTGCAGATGCTGACAACAAACTCTGGTATGTTACTTACATTCCTTGATGTAGGCCCACACAGATTTCAAATACATAAAATTTGTATATATCTGCCACTGCATGATGCTTTTAGACCATTTTTAAGGAAATAAGTGCTATTTCTACTGAAAGAATGAATGAGAAAAACATACAGTCACCTAAAAACTCTTTTGAAGTTAGGCAGAATTAAATGAGAATTGAGGTAAGTGTTACGTAAGAATTAAACGAGGCAGTATGCTGCAATCACATAGGTCAAAAAAAAAAACCTACCTATGAGAACAAAAGAGGTAGAAAAAAACAACAAAAACGTTAGTAGTCCATTCATTCATTCGTCAACACATATAAATTGAACACCTGTTACATACCAGGCACTGTGTTCAGCACAGAGAGATATAATTGCCATCCTGGGGCTTACATTCTAGCGGAGGGGACAAACACAACATTCAAGTCAGCATGTCACTGGGGCTGACTCCTCTCTCCCTGCTTTTTTCCCTTTTTTCTTCTGTTTACTATCAACTATGCTCATGAATGTTCGCTTTAATAATATTCATTTTAAATGACTGAACTTTTCTCAGATTTTAAAAGAAATCAACTATGCAAACTGATCATTATTTGTCAGGCTCATTTCCAATTCTAACATTCAGAAATACAAGATAGAGAGCACTCTATAAATTGACCAAGTGCCAGAAAAGTTTCCTAGAGAAGATCAAGACAATCTTTCTGTCATTTGTACAATGCAGCTGTCATACCTTTTCAATTACCATGTGGATCCCAGTCTTTCCAACACTGAATCTGTATGTTTAGAGAATAAACCAGAATAAAAACACTGACAACACAGAGGTGTGAATAGTAATTATAATTAACCCTTTCTAAAAGAAAAGGTATATGTAATAGTACATAATAGAGTAACAATTGTAACTCAAGTCTTTTTTTTTCCTTTTTACTCAAAGCATAAACCAGACACAATACGTTATACCAGATTAACATGCAACTTAAAAAGAGGTTAATGTACATACTAAGCATGGAAATTCACCAGTAAAATCTCATTTGTCATTTTACCCCCACTACCTTGACATTATTCTTCCATTTCATAATCAACAAGGTTCTACTTCTGGTCACCTGATAAATGCCTTGCATTCCTGGAGCTTGACATTTCAGTCAATTATGGACACAAGAACAATGTTACAAGCATAAAGAAAAAATGCATCTACGAAACAGCTGACTGCACTGCTTTCAATGGAAAGGTCCCCACTCCAACCTGCCCACTCCCTCCCTTTTCTCAGCACAAACATAAATATCCCCCAGTCATTCATGAAGCTGTGTTGTCAAAAAGGTCCTGAAGCATTATTTCCCTAAACACCTAACACATCAGCACTGACCAAATAAAAACCACCCAAGCACTCTAAAATTCTCACTTTTTCAAACATTCCTTGTGTGTAAAATTTTCTAAGCATACAGAGAAACACAAGTTCACAAAATGATAAAAAGATAAGACAAAATTTCTGCCTCTTCTTGAATGCAAATCTTGAGTCAAAACCTTTTATTGTTTTGGAAATTCAAATACAAGAAACCTAAGGTTTTCTTATTTGCTTGTCAATATGCATAGAGCCCAATTGGCAGGGATGGAGAGGGGACGGGGGAAGGTGTTATACAAACAGACTAGGTGGAACCCATTTTTACCTAGGCTTCTCTAGGACAATATGATAAACAAGAAAGATTAGTATCTACTAGAAGAATTTGTCATATTTAAAATCAATATGATTAGTAAAATGTATTTTAAGTACAAATTAAAATGATTAGTATACATTTCTCTCATCTCTAGCAAACAAGAGAGCCCTCATTAGACATAGCTGCCTCCTCAATGCTGTATCTTGGACATTAGCCTAAAAAAATATCTTTAAAAGTGCTTTGCAGGTATCACCTCATCTCATGGAACCATAGAGGGATCTAAGAAAAGGCTACTCCAATCTAAAGGACTATTTTCAAGCAAAAATAGAGGAATTCTGTGTATCATCAATGAAAGAAGTTTAGGGGAAGGGTATAGTACATATTACAATAATTTAAAATCATACGCACATTTCACTTTCCATGCACGATGATTTTAACATGAAACAATGTAACTATACATCACTGAAAATACAATCAAGCTTTGCCCCAGAACTTACAGCCACTCTCTATAGTCAGTTAAGAAAAACCCTGGAAGAATATATGATAAATGTATTCAGATTCTATTAGTTTTATTTGTAAGCAGATTCTAAACAAAGAGGATGAATTTGGGCACATATACACATGCACAAATGAAATGGTTCAACATCTAAATGATATGACACAAAATTACCACTATGAGAATCAAGAGGCTACTCTTATGCAAGCAACAAACTTTTACTTATGATTTCAAACATACAGTTTAATTTTCTGTTAAAACTGTTTTAAAAAACAGTACTAGGGTTCAGTTTTCTAGTCTCGGCATGAACTAATGCCAGGGACCTATTTGAATTAGGAAAGAGACAAAATGGTGTGATTCGTGCTTCATTACATCATGGTTTGTTGAGGGTTAGGTGAATATCTTCCATTTCAAGACTTTTTATTTAGGCCAGGCGCGGTGGCTCACACCTGTAATCCCACCACTTTAGGAGGTTGAGGCGGGCAGATTACGAGGTCAGGAGATTGAGACCATCCTGGCTAACACGGTGAAACCCCATCTCTACTAAAAATACAAAACATTAGCCGGGCGTAGTGGCAGGCGCCTGCAGTCCCAGCTACTTGTGAGGCTGAGGCAGGACAACCGGCGTGAACCCAGGAGGCAGAGGTTGCAGTGAGCCGAGATCGCGCCACTGCACTCCAGCCTGGACGACAAAGTGAGACTCTGTCTAAAAAAAAAAAAAAAAAAAAAAAAAAGACTTTGTATTCAAATAAAGCACAAATTGTGACAGAAATCCTCTAGGCTGTGTCATCAGTTAAGACAAGCCATACGATACCATAGAAAATACATATAATTTATTAGATGGGCTTAAAATCAACACAAATCCATTTTTAGGCACTTCTTGAGTACAGACTATGGGAATTTTCTACCAAAGAACAGGATATCTAGCAAGCAACAGCATAAAGATTTAAACTTTAGTTTTCAGAACAATACACAAGGGCTAGACATTGATAAGAAATACTGCATAACTAATCCAAGTGTATCCTGGAACATTTCTTCACAATCTGACAGGACTTTAGGGTTAACTAGAAAGTTACTTTTTAGCATCCAAAATTGTAATTTCTGGCTTTCTTTCCTTTTTACTCTATTATCATGGTCTTAAAATAATCTATCGCACATTCTTTGAGGGAGCATGATATACAAGTTTTATTTTTGTGTAAGTGGAGCTTCAAAGACATATTTCTCTATCTGCATTTACAGTCAATGCATGACAAGTGATTATTTCGATGTCTTTAAAGCCCATTTCAACAGGTTTATTTTTTAAGGATAGGCTTTTCATTACTAACTCCTTTAGACATCTAATGTTTATCTCTGTTTTGTAAGTAAACATGAAAAAAAAAATGGGATGTGGGCAATAGTTTCAAGAATGCCCTTAGATTATAGACTACATATAAATTTGGTTTGGCATCTTTTTCCAAATCAAACTGAACTGGTATTCTGTGAAACATAACCATTCTTGGTAGTGGGAAGATAATACACATAAAACTTAATCCTGCCCATGCCTAACTAGTAGCTCACGGAAGTGGTAGAGTCTGGGTATTTCTCCTATCTTTCTGAATCTACTTCCCAACATGTGAAGTTAAATTAAGAAGCATGAAAATGTTAAATATAATTTAAAGAATTCTAATATTGGCATCTATATGCTATACACACTGCAAGCTGGTCTTCTGATGGACTCCACATCTCTGATAATGCTCTCTAATGAGCAAAGTCCAAATCACTACCTCAAGCCAGTGGTGAGAAGATAGCAAGGAACTAGAAAAGCTACATAGAAACCACTGGTTTGGAAACCATTGTCTATAACAATAGTTACAAAGAAAGTTTAGAATAACCTCCAGGACAGAGATCTCTTCACTAATAGTAAATGAAGATACAGGAGAGCAAAGGATACCTGAGCTATGGGGAAGCTGACCTTGAAAGCAATGAGGTCCAGATTACATTTGGAGAGTGGGAGAGGTCAAAGTTACGAGGAGAAACTTGTCTCTACCCAGCCTTGAAAAAGTGATTGATGACAACATACAACTGGGCAGTTGAGAGAAGACTGGAGTTTGGAGATAACCGATGATGTGGTATTATCTCCTGTATACAAAGCAGAGCCTATTACACGTACATTCCCAAAAATGCCTCCAGAGAAAACTAGAAAGTTGTCTATAGATTTTCTATTTACACTAATATAAACAGGTTTGGAGGTTGTCTGTACTGTATGTGGTTGCTGTAGTGACAAGAAATGTAAAGTGCCTATACAAGAGGGAACAATAGAGTCCTATTTCTAGGCATCTTAATACTATATGCTGAGACAAAAAGGAAAACAATGTCAGGGACTTCATGCCTTTGCTCAAGCTCTGTGCATTTCTCTGGGTCTCAAATGACCTACTAGGCACTTTTTAAAGGCCAGAAAATAAAAACTCTTCTTCCCTCTATTTCATCCCATGCTTCTAAAGTCACTTTCACTGCCTATATTAAAAATGCCAGCCATCAGTGCTAAAGCACTTTTATATTCTTAAGGCAAAATGTCACATAAGAAAATGAATCCCCTATCCACTTCCCCACTATAACCCCTATACAACCTGCCTTCGTTGTATCCTTTGCCCATTATGAGGACCAAGAGGTACTGGGAAGATAAAGAGAACTGAAAATTTCAAACAAGAACCCTCTATATAATGTGTAAGATGTACTTTTACAGATGCTATTATGATAAAATTAAACATATTCAAATGCTTATAGCATATGGTTACTTTTGCCCAGATATCAAAAGAAGTTACATGACTTTCAAAATTAGTATCAAAAACAGGATATTTAAATCCAGCCACATGTACAGAACTATGAATCTTTGTTCTTCTCAGAGCTGAACACAATGACTCCACGAGATGTTTTCACTCAGAAGTGGCATATTAAAAACCCAAAAGCATCTCCCTCTGCTTAATTCCACTTAAACTACATAAAAATTGCCAATATGACTTTTCACCAGCTTCTCCATTTTATTTGAAAATAATACTTTTAAAATGATTTTGACATTTTCATATATAAATTTATTTTTTTCCCAACTATAATTTTGGTTTTATGTACAAGTACACAAGTACCACCTTATTTTTAATGTTTACCTTGAAGGGTAGAAAACAAAATCATGTTTTATAAATGTGGTATAAAATTACACATCTTCTCATGATGTCATGTCAATAATCCACTACACTAAACCAACTGTAACAAGGTAGTACATGCTTTAAACATCCAATTAAGAATAAATCTGAGCCAACACCTTGATGATGACAAGGGAATGTGCTGATATCGTGTTAAACTGATGTGGCAGTAATCCAAGGGACTAAGCACATGATTATTCAAATTAAAACATAAAAAGGACAAAAGGTGTGGATTTTCTGGGCTACATCACATAATATTTGTCTGGCGAAACCATAATACAGATTTGGGTAAAGGAGATTTTTAATAGATAACAAGTAATTCTTTATAGGGATTTGAGAAAGTACGAGAACATATGGGAAAAGCTTAGTAATTTAAGATTTACTTTTGTAAAACCATGTGGACAAATATTAAATGTTATGCTTGCATTTTGAACATTATAAATATAAAACATAAAACATCCAATGTTAAATACTGATATCCCATGCCTGACCTGGATTTAGATATTGAGTATTTCCCATTTTAAAGAAAGAAACTTTCAAAGTTTTGTCAATACTTAAACTATATACTATTATTCCTCACCAAAATCTTCATGAAATTTAAAAGGCTGATATTGAAGGTAGTTTTTTTTTCTCAAATATGCTAAAACATGTGAGTTTGGATTAACCTTCAGATTTTCAAGGCATGAAAGATACATAAATAGAGTACCCAAGAATATGTTTTAACACATTTAGGATAAGTTTGTTTACAGTTGTGACAGGAATACCTTTGACTTTCAGACACTGAAAAAATATACCCTAAGCAAACATAAAAGGTGTTTTGGGTCAAGTTACTTCTTAGTACAAATAATACGTTGTATCAATCAATTTTTAAGCCAAATTCTTAAAATCATTCAAAAAACACTTGCATTTTATAATTGTCAATGCATTTATGTAATAGAAGATACAACAAAATTTAGAAATAAAAAATCTCACACTATATTCCAAGTACCAAAATAAGAAGAAATTTGCAAATTAAGAAATTATCAATGTTGCTCAGAAACATGCCTTACTTTTACTCTGAAATTCACTTTAACTGCTTGACATATAATTTAATACTTAAAAATAATATAGCTAAGTTGTTTAATAGTATTTATAGAATGCTACTTTTCTGGGTAGACATGTTTCACAAAACAGTTTTCAATTAATGCTGAGCATTCATTTGATAATTGTAATCATAATTTGATTCACTGATTAATGGATTAATAATTTATTCAGTAATTTAGATGCCATAAGAACCACTGAAAGGAATAATCTGATAGTTGCTCATTGTACAATCCTGCCTATTAGTAATACTAAGCCAAGAATCTGCTAGCTTTCCCACTCTGTTGAATTACATGTTTCCATGTGTGTGATTTTGGTCAACAACAAAAAATCGATACACAATGTCATGCTTTTTCCTTTTCCTTTTTTTTTTTTTTAAACAAGCAGCTCAGCGATTTGGGAGGTTGGTTAGTACAATACAGAGAACACAGAGAGAAAGTATAAAATGGCACTGAACACTAATGCCAATACTTATCTCATTGTGGTTATAACGAAGGATATTATTATTTGTGTTATTTTTGTCTGGAACATAAATCAATGCCATTAACTTGAACTTGAGGTATATACACAATACACACACAACCTTAAGCAAAATACTTTTCATAAGTAACATTACATTTTAAAATATTGGAAACATTCGAATATCTGTGCTGATTTGTATTCTGACTTAATGGAACAAGAAGAAAATAACATTCAACTAGGGAGGGTTAAACTGATAATAAAGCTCTTAAAATTCAAAATGTCTTCCTCTCCCTTTGTACTTACCATAGGCTACACAATGTCCTGAGAGGATTCATTATGAGAAAAATGTCAATCACAGCTTCAATAACTTACTTTGGAAAAAACTAATGAGAAAGCAAACTGGAAGGTGAGACTTCATCTTTGTTTTCAAATAAGTGGTCTTAATTTTTCTTCTTATAGAAAAAGTTTAAATCAGTTTATTATAAATATATCTAAACCATTAATTTTTGCAGCTTTCAGGTAAAGTCCAGCACTTCATTTATACAAAATCTATGAGAAGAGGTCAGTAGAGATCATCTAATCTTAAGTCGTGACATCATCCATTCAAGTCCTTGGCACAATCTATAAAGAAAACAAAATCATTTGATTAAATTCTGAACTAAGAAGCTATGAGCAGCAAACTATGAACAGCAAACTAAAAGAGAGCATTTTTCATTTAGCTAAATAACAAAGATTTAAAAATCAATAATATTCAGTGCTTGGGCTGCTGCAGTGAAGCCATATTCTCATACACAATACATCTGTGCTTTTTTTGTCTTTCCTCTTTTTTAGACAGGGTCTCACTCTGTCACCCAGGCTGGAGTGCAATGGCACAATCAATGGCAGCCGTGACCTCCTGGGCTCAAGCGATCTCCCCACCTCAGCTTCCCCAGCAGCAGGGACTACAGGCGTGTGCCACCACACCCAGCTAATACATCTGTGCTCTTTTGGTTCAGTTATATCTCTAGCACCCAGAACGCTGTCTGACACTTTAAAAAAGCTTTATAATTATGCAATGAGTGCCCACAGAAAGCAACATATGTCAAAAATATATCTGGCAATACGTATCAAAAATATTTAAAATATCAATACTCTGCATCCTTTTTTCTACTTCTAGAAATGTATCCCAAAAAAGAAAATCAGACATAAACATAGACTTACATACAAAACTGTTCATTAAAGTACTTTTAATAGGAAAATAATTTTTGTCTAAAAATACAGAAAAAAATAAATTACAAGACATTTGTATGATGAAATATTTAAAATTTTCCTTTAAAAAATGATTTCATAATTCTCATCACCAGGAAATGGAGGAAATAAAACCATTTTATAATAGGATAAAATGCTCATGATATAAATGAAAAATGGCAGGATATTCAACAAAATATATATTGTAGTTATTAAAACAAAGTATACACATGTTACATAAATATTATAAAATGTAAGTATGTAAAACTTTTGAAGGCAATAAAATTTCTTATCAGTAACATCAGTTATCACTGAACAACTGGTAATTGAACATAACCCAAAATATAGAAAACGATGTTCACTGTGGGAAAAGAAACTAAAAGTTGAGCAAGAGAGAAATGGTTGTACACATTAAGTTGCAATAAAATGAAGAACTGTTATAAGTATTAACTATTATCTATGACAAGCTTTTGCAGACATAAAAAACTATGTTACAATATTAAATTTTTTTCAATTCAGAGTTTTGTTAAGTATGAGTCTAATAACGTAAAAGAAGACACAAATAGAAAAAAGATGGCAATGAGGTAAATAAATGGTTGTTTTGGGGTGGTTGTCCCATACTTTTCTCCTGTGACTAGATTCATTACTTTTAAACTACTGATAGGAAACAGTACACAAAAATAATAGATGAAGAGATTGTTTAACTCCAAACTGATAAATGAACAGTAGTTACCTAATAGCAAACTAGAAACTAACTTAATATCCATTCTCTTAATTAATCTTTACAACACTGAGATCAGAATCCTTCCAATGTTACAGAGGAAACCCAGGGTTGGCAATGTTAGCAAATGGGAAAAGTAGGAGTCAAATGAAGCCACACACTGAAGTTTGTGATCTCCAATCCACTGAATCAAAACGCTAATCAATACTAAAACCAATAATTTAGATCAAGGTAGCTGAACTATAAAAGAAAAACAGAACATTTCTCTCAAAACCAAACTCATCTATTATTTTCCTATTTTTAAAACAAAATTGCTTTACCTCTTTTTAAAATGAAATTGAGTTAATATCTATACTAATGATACATTTTCCATACAATTATCAAAGTATATAAATTAAATCTTATGTCAATCCTAGATGACGTGTCTTTATTGACAAATATTATAAATCCATGCTTTTGCTTGACAAAGATATATATATTAGACTATTTGACAAAGAAATACTTAACATATTTTTACTTAAATGAATACATGGATAATTGGTATTATCTGTGATTTTTTTAATGAACAGTTTTTTTTTAATTAAAAAACCTTTTTTAAGGTTCTAATTATGCTCTTCCAAATGTCAGTAACAGTGCCTTCTATTAAGATTTGCCTTCAATAATTCGTTATATTTGGTTCACCCTTCATCGTGGTCTTGAAAGGAAAACAATTTCTCCCACTTCAGCTAATTCATCTATACCCCATGCTTTTGTCCTTTCCTAACACCTCAAGAACCTCAACCCCAAACTTAAGACTTCTATTTAGAATTCACCGCTTATTTCTCTTTTCCTCTGCTTTTAAATGCAATCATGCATCATTTAATGACAGGGATACATTCTGAGAAATGTGTCAGGTGATTTCATCATTGTGTGAACATCAGAGTGTACTTACACAAACCTAGATGGTATAGCCTAGTATGCACCTAGGCTCTGTGCCATACAACCTGTTGCTCCCAGGCTACACACCTATACAGCATGTTACTGTACTAAATTCTGTAGGTAACCATAACCCAATAGTAAGAACTTTTGTACTGAAACATATCTAAAAATAGAACAGTTATTGTAAACATATAGTATTTTAATTTTATAGGACCACTGTCATATATGTGGTCTATCACTGACCAAAACATCATTATAGGGTGCATGACTATATATACAGATGCACCATATTTTGGAAAAACAGCAACAAAAATTGTACTTTAGTTTGGTCCTCCTTTTAGCTTTTTATCCTATTTCCAACCTCCTCTATTTTATCTTTCCTTCCTCTTCTTGCCACACTCTAGAGTTTACAAAGCTATTTTTGCTTCCTAAAATCTACCTCCTCTTTAAACTACACTTACCTCATGCCCACTTTCTCAATGCACAGAATTTGTTCTGACAAACTGGTTGAATGTACTCATTTGTTGTTAATTGAATGGCATCCTCTCCATCTTCCTGGTCCTTGACCTTAGATTTGACAATGCTGACCACACCACTTCCTTCTTGAAATACTTTCATCTCTGGGTGCTAGACAGGGCAAACTTCTACTATAGGCACACACTTCTCTTCCAACATCTATCATTCCAGAACCAAGGACCATCATTGCTACACTCTCTCCAATTCCCCCAATCCTTCTTTTGTTTAAGTGCATCAGTTCCAACAGTAAATAAACCCAAAGTAGTCTCAGACATGAATTCTCTTTGATTTGAGCTTCTTTATGCAGAAAATATCACTTAAAAACAATTACTCTGTAGGACTGTTATGGGGATTAAATGAAGCACTATATGGAAAACACTCCAGACATAGGACATGCTCGGCACATGTCAGGTCTTCAGTTCCACTATCATCGTAAAATGTATTTCCTAACTTCTCCAGCTCTCACTGATACTCCCATTTCTCTGAGCTCCTATAGCAATTATAACAGCTACATGCTTCCATGTTCAGTAGGTTTATGTGTATTATGTTTATATTGTTTTACTATTTACAGAACCACCCTAAAAAGTCTCTGATTATAGACATGAACTACAGCTTACGTCTGTCCCTTACGATGTTTTATACACAATAGCCTTAAATATTTAGGAGTTTAAAGAAGATATACATGTTACTAAGCAAAATAAATGTTCGATAACATTTAAGAGGAAGATGTCTTACCCCTCGCCAGTTAGAGCACAGCATGCCTGGATATGCCACTGGTGATCTTTAATAGAAGTTAGCTTCAAAAACTGGGAGATTTCTGCTACAGTCATGCATTCTTTAACATCTTGTTTATTAGCAAAAATCAGCAATCCAGCTTTTCTTAGGTCCTATTAAAGCAAATAAAACTGTAAAGGCCAATACATTTTCCACATATTTTTCAACTTCATTAACAGAATCTTTTTCACAATCTTAGTAAACAAGAATTTCTCAACTATGTGACATAAAAGCATCTCAGTGCCTAGGCTGATAACACATTTTTTATACTTGTATGTGTTTACATATTTCTTATAGTCTCAGACAACAATTTTTTATGGTCCTAAGTGCTGTATTTAACAGTCATGTTTCCCAGTATATACACCACCCACCCCCTAAATCCAAAATTAGGCTTAAATGGCTAAGAACTACCTTTTAGCCTAATACTTGAGAGCTCTCCAAAATTTTATCTTGCCTATACTTTTCTGCTTTACCTCACATCACTCCTATATAAGTACTCTGCTGTAATTAGCAACCTATCCTACTGCTCTCTAAACAGTTTTGGGCACTGCCATCTCTATGTTGTTCAAATCATTTCTCTTGCATGTATTTCCTTCCCTCCAACCTCCTAAACCAGCCTTTCCCAATCAGGATTCCACAAGAGAATTAAGCTCCAAAGAAAACGATGAGTGACTACATTGCAAATCTCCCAATAATGTACACAGCTAGTACCTTCTAGCTGCATAGGAAATAAATGAATTCATTACAATGTATGCCTTAAAACCTTAGGGCTTAATTCTCAGTTGAAGTTCTATCCTAAACCAATCCTATTCACCCTAATTTCTGTCATTGTATATGAAGATTTCTTAGATTTGAATATGTAATACAGCCATCTTGGAGTGGCATTAAACTTATCAAGTTTCCCCAATTAGAAGTTCTATCACTTCAATGCTATGACTCAGAGGCAAGTTCTTTAAGCTTTCTGAATTTGTTCCTCATATCTTTTACTGAGTATCTGATCTGAGCAAGACACCTACTGCATTAACCCTTTTCCGAATGTAATTGTGCACACTCCAAATAACTGGTATAATGTTTTACTCACTAAACAGGCCAAAAGTTCTTAGTCTCTTCCTGCCCCACTCCTCTCTACCTGCCAGTTTTAAAGCCAGGGACTTCCTTGATAATCTGTTCAAAATCACAGATCTTTCCCCCCAAAACACACATATGCATATACACAAAATTTTTTTAAGTTTATGTACAATTTGAGGGTGTTAATAAATAGCCTAAATTCCCTACATGGATACTGGGCCAAGAATCCATGAAGGATGTACTCAATTAGCAAGTGAAACCCTCATAAAATTCTGCCTGTTACATATTAAGAGATATAAAATTAAGGTTTTGGTGCCACACTTGCAAGTTTTCACAACTGTTGAATGGCATTTGTCTTCTTAGGGATTTTACTGAGATATTTTGGTTTCAATAATGTATGTGTTTGAATAAATAAAATCTTCAGCAGATACAAAATGACTTTTGTTAGAATACAGTTTTGATGATTCTTTCTGATGCAAATAAAAACATTAGTAGTATATTTGTATTTCTTATTTGGTTAAAGGAGTTATGTAAAATATTTATATAACAATCAAGACTGACTTTAATTACAGTGCCCTCTGCAGGATGGCAGCTATTAATGCTACCACAGTTTATATAGTTATCTCATTAAGTATGGTCAGAAAGGAATACTGCTACAATGTTTGCAATTTTAAGATTTCATGTTCAACTAGTTTCACCTATATTTCAGTTCACCTGCCTATATCAAAGGCAAAAAACTTGAAGAGATAAAGTATAACTTGTATACATATAGTCATTATCAAGGATATACAGTAAATATTTTTTCTTTTCTCCTAAACAGAAAATGAAACCATTCATCAGCCAGGTGTGGTGGCTCACACCTGTAATCCCAGCACTTTGGAAGGCCGAGGTGGGTGGATCTCTTGAAGCCAGGAGTTTGAAACCAGCCTGGCCAACAGGGCGAAACCCCGTTTCAACTGAAAATATAAAAATCAGCAAGGTGTAGTGGTGCACACCTGTACTCTCAGCTACTTGGGAGGCTGAGGGATGAGAATAGCTTGAACCCAAGAGGTGGAGGTTGCAGCGAGCAAAGATAGCGCCACTGCACTCCAGCCTGGGCAACAGAGTGAAACTCTGTCTCAAAAAAACACAAAGAAACCATTATCAATAGTTGTTATGTGGCTGAGTCAATAAGTAGATGGACTTTCCATGGGATTTAATTCCTAACTTCCTATCTTCTCAGTTTCAGTACATCTTGCTAGTGTGTGCTGAAGTCTTATATAGGTCAAGTTTGCTAATGTTGACATGTTGAAGGAACAACCTTCTGACAAATACTTGGCACAAGTTAGGACACACGGTTTATATTATTATAAGTAATCTGTATTCACTCTTAATGATGAAATTATTTGTAGAAGCCCCTGAACTGAAAATTGAAAAACACAAAAAACAAAGCCATTTAATAAAAGGTCTCCAAATATCTTAAATCAGTTTTTCTAGATCTAAAAGGTTCAAACTTTAATTTAGAGTTCTTGACTTCTAAGAAGTTATTTTATCAATTTTTACATATTTAGAAAGAGAAGAAAATCTTCATTTGCTTTTTATTATATAACCTCAAAACCAAATATGTATATATTAGAACAGTAGAAAATAGATATATTAAATTAAGGCTGTTCATCAACGTGACTTAACAAGAGGTCAAAGTATAAGGTGAACAACGGTGATCTTTTGTACATAAACCATTTCAAACACTTTAAAACCACTTCTGCTACAAATTTCTAGTCTAAGATATATTTTAGTTTTATCAAGGAGATGAATAACAGCAATTGCAAGACACATTTACTTAGCATCTTCTATATACCATATATAGTTGTCAATTTGTTTCTTAAAACTTCATTTGGGGACTGGGCGCTCACGCCTGTAATCCCAGCACTTTGGGAGGCTGAGGCGGGCAGATCACCTGAGGTCAGGAGTTCGAGACCAGCCTGGCCAACATGGTAAAACCCCGTCTCTACTAAAAATATAAAAAAATTAGCTGGCGTGGTGGTGGGCGCCTGTAATCTCAGCTACTCTGGAGGCTGAGGCAGGAGAATTGCTTGAACCCAGAAGATGGAGGTTGCAGTGAGCCGATACGGTGCCACTGCACTCCAGCCTGGGCAACAGAGTAAGACTCTGTATCAAAACAACAACAACAAAAAAAAAAACTTCATTTGTGAAGGTAACTCCTAGAAGTTGAGTCATTCTGAATAAAATTTCAGACTTTGGTGTTTGGAACCATTTTAAAATTAATGAGTTCTAAAGTTGTATACTTCATTTATGATAAAACTTTGAAAATTATTTTAAAATTTTTACAGTTTTGTATTTTGTAATAATGTAAAGAGTCATTATCAGTGATGACAATAAGATTTTGTTGATTTATGTAGTATGTAAGAAACATCCAACTAACATCATGTCTACATTTATTTTTCACTCACACATTCTCACTCTTTGATCCATTTGTCTCTCTGCAGAATTTTGCCTGTTTGGCTCTTCTTGACCCTACTGAGTACCTTGCTCAAACTCCCAACTTCATCTGTAATTCCTTTCTTCTCTGGTCATCTCCTCATTCAGTCTCCTTTCACTTTCCAACTAGGCCCTACTTAGGTCTTCTTTTTACTTCTGCTAATAAAGAGTCTGAATGAGAATACTCAAGTTCAAAACCTGGCTCTTAAAAAGCTAGTCAAGTCACATAACCTTTCTGGGCCCCAGTGTAGTCACCCATAACAGATAACGTTAAGTGACCTATGTAAGTTAATGCCCCCAGCTAGTAAAAATCAAAGACTTTGAACCCTACTACTGGGCTCTTCATATAGTGATCCTGCTGCATATTGGCCAATTAGAGTAAAAATCAGATAGGGAGACTACCTGTCAACAAAGTAAAAGATATAGTCCAGAGACAAATAACATTTGTATCAGTTTTTCTTTTTCCAAAGTCTTCATAAAACCACCCTTTGGAATAAACTGAAAAATGCTGCATTTTTGCAAAATAGGAATTTGAAAAGAAAAAAAAACAAACAAAAAAAAGCCTTTGTCTTCTGCCTCTTTTACGGCTTATTGCTTGTATCCCAACTAGCAATGAATCTGGCGAATGAACACAGAATGGCAAGACGTATTTCTGTAAATCTCCAGGAGGTTTAAACACAGCTGCTGGAATTAGAGTCCAAAATAGGAAAAGGTGCATCTTGGTGGTCATAAGGAAATGAGGAACCTCAATTTACAAAACTACTTTACTAGCTTAGGTTCCCTAAAGCCCTGAAAGGTTGCCTGAAATACACAAAATTCTTAAAGCAAATCTCAAAAGCAAATCATCAAATCAATAACAAAATTAACATAAAACTTCACTACAAAGATATCCGTGTTTTCCTAAGCTTTGCAAAAAATTCCACTGAAATAAAAAACTCTATATATCTAAATATTAACTTTTCTATTCCTATCTATAAATGAGTTGAGAAAGTAGCATCTGCAATAAGATATCCAAAAATAATCAATTTTACTAAATACTATATAAACAGTATAATGTTATAGTTATCAAGTTGACTATATTATTCAGTTTTTTAAATTTATGTTACCGTAATATTTTTCTATTTAAAAAATTTTAATTTTTAAATCTATTTTTATTTCTACTTATTTATTTTTAATTTTATTTTTTGAGACAAGGTCTCACTCTGTCACTCAGGCTGAAGTGCAGTGGCAAGAACAGCTCACTGTAGCCTTGACCTCCTGGGCTCAAGCGATCTACTCGCCTCAGTCTCACGAGTAGCTGGGACTACAGGTGCATGCCACCACACCTGGCTAATTTTGTTTATTTTTCGTAGAGACAGGGTCTTGCCATGTTGCTCAGCTGGTCTTGAACTCTTGGGCTCAAGCGATCCCCCCACCTCAGTCTCCTAAAGTGCTGTGATTACAGGAGTGAGCCACTGTGCCTGGCAGGTTATTTTTCAAGGACTAAGAAAATGTGGCTAGTCATCTAGTTTTGTTTAGTCAAAGGGACAATATCAGAGAAACCTAACAGCAATTACATTTAAATATTAGTCTGCTGAGTAACAATCAAGAATTGCTAAGCACCCAGGTACTTTAAAATCTCATTTCCAATGATAATCCTCTGTATAATTAATCTATTCAAAATGCAAAATGAAAGCCACTTATAGAAATTACTTTTGCCCAGGAAAATTGTGAAACCAAATGTACCTAGGATAAGTGAAATAAAGTTCTGCAACTTACTCCATAATCTTTCTGCTGCTTCTGGATACACTTCCAAACTGGGAGATGTCAGAGTAATTGAGCAGTGTGGCCCGCAAATAACTAATTATTTTTAAAAATTTGAAATTGATAGCACCCTCATGAGAAACTAGAAAACAAAGTATCGATTCCCATACCCTTCCCCATATCTAATGTAAAAAGACTACTTACTTACCTCATGCGCTAACATTTTATAGAGTTCTTCTCTAGTTACAGAAATCCTCTCTCTGTCTGTACTGTCCACAACAACTATTACAAACTAAAATAATTACAAAAAAATTATTAGTGATTATACAATTTGGTATCTGTAAAATTTATAATGTGTTTATTTGACATACAGGCTATTAATATCAAGAAATTGGAATCTTATGGTATTGTTGGAAAATCAGAGCTACCTATACATTGTGAAGCCAAAAGGTCTGATCGATTTTAATATATTTACTAATTTTTAAGAGAAAAGAGAATATGATATTAACATTCTAACTAATATATATAACGCATGTCTGTTTTCTAAACTAGTATCTTGAATGCTAATGGACCTATATCTATCTATTTGCACTACAAATCAACAAGAAAAACATGCAATATGATCCTGAATTTATTACTTCCAGGTAGATATTATTTATTAATATCAATCTGAACACCTAAAAGGGCACGGGTATGGGAGTAAAGTAATGTGACAAGATAAAGAAATCAATTAAAAAAAAATTCAACCAACTGAAAGAATAAATCTCTATCTAAAAACAAGCTCTCTTCCTTACATAAGTATCGCCTGCTACCTGCAAGCACAACCCCTTCATAAACTGATGATGAGACTGGTATCAGAAGGTGCGATGAAAGACTTGTGATTGTTGTGCAGGACTGAGCTCCACCCCAGCTCTTCCTCAACTCCGTGAGCACCCAAAAGCAAGAGATCAGCAGGAACAGATGGAGATTTAACTTACTTACTTTATGATAACATTTATGATGCCCAAGTTGGTTCTGACTGCCTATTAGTAACATGCACTATTTATTTTTGGGACCTAGATCTTAATTTTTAAATAAATTATTATGATTTTCTGGATCTTTTCAATTATTCAGACTTCATCAACCAAAAGGCAGATGTATGAGAGAACTGCTACTTTACCTCTCCTCTCACTTGACAGCTTACTGATAGGTGGCTTTATCACTGTAAGGCCCATTTTATTCCAAGGTATTTTAATAAAACTGTTAATTTTCAGGCTGTTGGCATGAATTTGAAACCTATAGCATATGTATACAGTAGCATATATACCTTTATAATCATACATAACTTCCCTTATTAAAAAATGATTAAATGCCTAATGCAGTGTTAGGAAATCAAGTTGTCAGATACACTTAATGGTTTCTTAATGACTTAAAAGTCAGCTTTATATACTTATAAACCATGCTTTATTAACTTGTAATAATGAACACTACAAAAACAACGGTCAGTCTTTTAATTCACAGGTCTATGCAATGAAGCACTCAAATGTCAAAGGTCTGAAATTTCCTTTGGGAAATAATGTGTAAATAAAAAGATATGACTATGTCTAAAATGCCTTATAATCAAAAGAAAAACAATTATTTAATGTGCAATTGTGTTTTGTAAAAGAAAATAGTAAAACTGGCTAGGATTCAAACCATCAAAACCCTCTCATTTGGTGAGCTAAACTCAGTCAAACATAAATAGAGAGAAATGAAATTATAAACTATGAGATGGAAGTCATTAAAAAAAACTATTAAAGACAAGTTCTGAGATCAATACACAATCAGAACATAATTAACCACCAATTCTCCCTATAGAGGTTCAATGATAGTGGACATATTGAACAATGACCTTGGAATAGGAAATCAGATTTTACTCTGCTTAAACTCTCTATGTATTAACATACTGTGATATTTCAAAAAGATTAACTATAAGGACTCAAATCTAGATGTTTTCCAAGCATTCTGTTTATAGAATTTTAAATATTGTAAGAAACATTACCTCTGTGTTAGTATAGTAAGTGTTCCAGGAAGAACGAAGAGATTCTTGGCCACCAATATCCCACATTAGGAAACGTGTATTATTAATCACTATCTCTTCTACATTACTTCCTATTGTAGGAGATGTATGTACAACTTCATTCATAGAACTGGGGAAAAAAGTTTATATACATTACAATTAGCAAGGAAGCTAACTTGCTTGAACAATTTTTTAATCAAGGACAAATCAGCATGACCTCCTTTTATAATTTATACCTAAATATCTTTTTCCCACTAGTTTACAACATGAGTGAGGGTTTAAACAGGGCTGGAACTAGGTCGTAGGCTATCTGGCATATACTAGGTCATTCCAGGAAACTTTATAGTTTCTACTTTATAGTTTTCTACTTTCTTTTTTTTAATGTTACCCAGGCCGGAGTGTAGTGGTGTGATCATACATAATCAGTGGCATGAGGTTCACTGCAGCCTTGACCTCCTGAATAGGATCAAGCAATCTTCCCACCTCAGTCTCCTGAGTAGCTGGAACTACAGGTGTGCACCACTACATCCAGCTAATTTTAAAATATATATATATTCATATATATCTTATAAAGAGATGGCATCTCACTATGTGACCCAAGCGGTTTCTCAAAGTCCTGGCTTTAAGCGATCCTCCCACCTCTGCCACCCAAAGTGTTGGGATAAAGGCATGAGGCACCGCACCCGGCCATATTTTTCTACTTTCTACAAACAAAAGAGCTTTAGCACAAAACAAGTGGACAACTCAATGCCAACTATATGCTCAATATCATATAAATTTCTTGCTTTCTACTAACTATTGCTGAGATCTGGCTCCAGGTTTATAGCCAACCTGCTTTCTTACAGGGTAACTTAGGTTTCATGTAATTTCTTACTGCATTCATTGATCGACTATCACCCAGGCCAAAAAAGTAACTAGAAATAAAATAATTTTTAAAATAGTTAATACTTACAATTGGTAAAGAATGGTAGTTTTCCCTGCATTATCCAGCCCAACAATGATAACTTTGTGCTCTGAAATAGAGAAAACACCAGTGATTTTTTTTCAAAAAAGGAAAAAAAAAGATTAATTATAGGAAAAAATATACTCTGTATCTCACCCTTCTATCTATGGCATAATTCAGTGCATGGCACTTTATACTTTCTCAGAAGTCAAAAGAACATCCTAGCAAGACCAGCAGAAGTGTGCCATTATACTCACCTTCCCCATCGCCATTATTCTAGAGACAACTCTCATCTTTCCAACCACCTCTCTAGGAAGCCATGGCACTACATTTCCTCTATTCCTAGGCAAGCCTACTCTCAGTAAAGTAGACCAAACATAATCACAATTTACAAATGACTTAAAGTATAAATGTTTCACATTGGATTACATCAATGAGGTTCTAACTGGAACTTAAGGCATCAACTGGGTGCATGTGTGTGGAGTGGAGTGAATGGGAAGGAAAAAGGTCAGTTTTTTAAATGGGTAATCGTAAATTATGAGTACCTTAAAACCACAGGGCCACTGTAACATGAAAAACAAATCTAAGAACCTATGGCTATGGTGGCAGCGACTCCCTCCCCCCATTTGGCTTCTGTGGCACCACTTTCTCCAAGTTTTCTTCCTGTCTCTAGTCATTTATTTTTTTTCAATGACTCCTCTTCCTTGAGTCTTCTCTCAGACATTCACGTTCCCCAGATGTTTTCTTGCACCCTCTTCACATTTCAGCCAGGCATTTGTAAGACCCATCTATTTCCAGCCTGTCCGAAAGCAATTCCCAAAGACAGCACAGCATGTGGTAGAAGCTAGTGTCCAAGATGGCCTCTGGATAGTCATGCCCTTACGTAGCCGCCTCCTCTTGAATCTGGGGTGGCCCTGTGACTTACTTTTAACCCACAGATGCAGCAGAAATGACCAGACGTGATTTCTGAGCCTAAATCATCAGAAACATTGCAGTTGCTGCCTGGCTGTCTTGGACAAGTCCTCCTAGGGTAAGTCAGATACTATACAGCAAGCCCAAGACTGCTGTGCAATTTAATGAGTAAGCCCAAGTTGATCATGTGGTGAGACCCTGTTGAAAGGGATGACCAGTCAGCCCCTATCTCTTCCAGCCATTCTAGCTGAGATGATAGACAGACAAATAAAGAAGCCATCTTGGACGTGCAGCCTGGTTGAACCTACAGAGTACTTTAATTTTAGCTGCTATCTGACTGCAACCAAAGGAGACTCCCCAAGGTAGAACTTCCTAGCTGAGCTTAGTCGACGCGTAAGAAACATGAAAAATAATAAATCATTGCTTTAAGTCATAAAATTAAAGAATAGCTTATTACACAGAAACAGATAACTGAAGGAGATATTAATGGCATTATATGACCTTGAGCAAATGACTTTTATTATTTCTCTGACCTTAAGTTTCTTCATTGTAAGATAGGGGAAATACCACCTATCACTCAGGGTTGTTTAACAATTAAAATAGCACACAGCAGTGCCTAGCACTGAAGAGGAGAGAGTTCTTAACCTGTTTTGCTAGCCCAGAAAAAGATAAAAATTTACTAGAAACTGTACTTCAAA
Organism: Homo sapiens; assembly: GCF_000001405.40. Classification (NCBI taxonomy): domain Eukaryota; kingdom Metazoa; phylum Chordata; class Mammalia; order Primates; family Hominidae; genus Homo; species Homo sapiens. The sequence continues at coordinate 151,816,740 of NC_000002.12, forward strand.
GTTTGAATTTTGATCTTTTCCAAGGCTAGTGATATCTAGTACAACACTCTCAAGACACTGGGCAGTAGCAATAAGCTGCAGCTCCCAGTCGGCCATTCAATAACGAGGGTAAACAACCAATACTGCATAATAGTATACACTGTGCTATCAAATGGTTTTGCCCTACTGGAGGCTAATGTCTGTGTATTGAGCACATTTAAGGTAGGCTAGGCTAAGCTATGATGTTCAGCAGGTTAGGTGTAATAAATGTGTTTTGACTTAAGTTACTTTCAACTTACAACAAGTTTATTGGCACATAACTACATCACAAGTTGAAGGGCATCTATAAACTAAAGTTCAAGTCACTCTCCCTACACAAGCTGCACATATGTTCACAGCAAACATTTCTCTACAGCTACTCATGGTATCACTAAATGTCGGAATTATCCTAATTCTCCATTTAGGGAATTAGACCAATCCTTTAAAGTCTAGCTTTCCATGTAGAATCACTTTCTCCTGCTTTCCCACACTACCTCTACTCTAGCACTTATCCTAATTATTTACATGTGCACTAATCTCCGCTTAATGAGGCATCTTCAACTGTATAGAATACATATTAATCATCTTTACATTTCTAGTGACTACAACTATTCCTGGCATAAAGTAGGTACTCAATAAATGTTGAATTAATATTCATTCTATAAGTAATAAATGTTGAGGATTATAACACCTCAGAGTAAGATCTTTATAATTCAAATGGTAGATGTTTTCCATATAATTGCCACTTACCAGAGGAAATTCCTAATGATCTATAGGCACCTCCTATTATACAAAAATAGGAAGATCAAGTAAATAAAACATTTTAATACAATCCATTTTATCCAGTCATCTATTTCTTTGTAAGAAAGAGCAGGCAGCTTAGAACCACTAGGGTCCTTAAGTGACATGACCACCTGCCCCTTTTATGAGTTATTAAGAATAATTTAAAGACCTAGGGCCCAGGCCAGGTGTGGTGGCTCATGCCTATAATCCCAGCACTTTGGGAGGCTGAGGCCGTCGGGTGGATCACCTGAGGTCAGGAGTTCAAGACCAACATGACCAACATGGTAAAACTCCATCTCTACTAAAAATACAAAATTAGCTGGGCGTGGTGGCACATACCTGCAATCCCAGCTACTTGGGAGGCTGAGGCAGAAAAATCGCTTGAACCCAGGAGGCGGAGAGTTGCAGTGAGCCAAGATCATGCCATTACACTCCAGCCTGGGCAACAAGAGCGAAACCCCGTCTGTGGTCTTTAGTCTCCCAGATCCACAAACAATTCTGCTACTATCCCAGAATAGACAGGACTCAGAGAGAGCAATTCATGGAAATGACTAAGACATAAATAAGAACAGCAAATGAGTAACATACAATAAGATCAAATGTTGAAAAATGAATGACAAGTAACAAGTCTATCCCTGAGGATATGTTACATGATGGCTGAATTAAAATCAGATGATTACTTGGGGAGCATGGAATCCCAACCACAAGGAGTGTTACAGGCTGCAATGACTGATGTGAATCCTTTCTTTTTTTTTGAGACAGGGTCTCACTCTTGCTGCCCAGGCTGGATTGCAGTATCACAATCACGGCTCACTGTTGCCTCAACCTCCCAGGCTCAAGTGATCCACCCACCTCACCCTCCTGAGTAGCTGAGACCACAGGTGTGCACCACCACGCCTGGATATTTTGTTTCTTTTGTAGAGATGGGATGTCCCTGTGTTTCCCAGGCCGGTCTCAAACTCCTGGGCTCAAGCAATCCTCCCGCCTCAGCCTCAAAAAGTGCTAGGATTACAGGTGCAAGCCACTGTACCTGGTCTGAATTCATCTTTAGAGCAAGGCCATGCCTGCATGAGGGCCAGGTAATCGAGTCCTTGGGACAAGGTACCTTTGCACCTAGAAAGTTTTTAAATAGCATGGCAATTCTGCCTAACTCCATTTTTCTATGTCCCAAAATTAAGCATTCCTTTTTTGATGATGTAACTCCTCTTCAGTTTTATTAATACACGCACTCATAAACATTTTTAACACAACTAGAATTCATTATCAGGCTATACTCTGATCTCTGACTTGGATAAGAGTTTTTAGCTTCCCAGGAGAATACTGATTTTTAATCACAGCATTCTCAAAATGTCAGCTTATTTTTAAGTTACGGGAATATATCCCGCCCCCGCCTCCACCCCATTCCCCCAATGTATTAGCTACGGGGCAGAATTTAGATGGGCTTCTCAATACTTGGGAAGAAAATACAATTACTCTGACCAATGAAATACCAGAGAAAATACAACTACTTTGACCCTAAAAACAGTACAAAATTAGCAGGAAAAGTCCAAAAGGAAACAAAAACATAGGCAAGAATCTATAATATATAACAATAAAGAATGACTAAAAAATGTGTATATGTATAAATAATGTACACAGAGACAACGAAGTAAAAAACAGTACTCTCTCAGTTTCTTACAAGGGCCGTAATCAGCTAAGGAGGTTAAACACTTATTCCAACCATGTTACCATTTTTTCAAAATAGTTTGCTACGGTTCTTTTATAATTGCTTTCAGAGCCTGAGGTACACCATTTTGAATATTGCCACCTAATGGTGGCAAATCTTTTAAACTCTGAAGATGAACTTGACTTTAAAGTGGGAGATGAGCCACCTCGTATCATCTTGGTCATAAGGTAAAAGGTATCTAAAATGAGTGCCATTTTTTTTTTGTTAAGTGAAATATGAAGAATTATTTAAAAATTTGTTTCCAAAGAACTTCTGAGTTTCAAAGAATAGATTGAATAATAGTAGGACATACCAGTGGAAAAACTATATAGCCTCCTAAAATGATAGCTTTAAAGTAAAACCTCATCTGGCTTTAGTACAGGTATTTTTTTAAGTGGTCTCCTTACTTCAGCCATGTCCTTAGGACTTGGTTACTATGTCCTAATTCCAAACCTGGTGCTTTTCTAACAGTTCTGTTAGGAAAAACTAGCTAGGCAAAAACTACTGAAAAAAAAAAAAAGACTCTTAGGCCAGGCATGGTGGCTCACACCTGTAATCCCAGCACTTTGGGAGGCCGAGGCAGGTGGATCACAAAGTCAGGAGTTCAAGACCAGCCTGGCCAAGATGGTGAAACCCCATCTCTACTAAAAATACAAAAAAATTAGCCTGGCATGGTGGCGTGAGCCTATAGTCCCAGCTACTTGGGAGGCTAAGGTAGACGAATTGCTTGAACCTGGGAGGCAGAGGTAAAATTCTTTATCATACCTGGCCACTAGCTGAACATGATCACCAAGGTAAAACTGCTGTGAACAAAACCATGTGCTATAACACACAGACAAGTCTAAGATAAAGCAGATGGCAGAAATTACTCATTCCAGGATTTCATCTTATAACACAACTTAGTTGCCTACTGAGGAAAGGAAAAGGTTAACAGTTTCAAGATGCATCATCTTTTACAACCACTGTATGGAATGAACTAGAGTATCAATAAGCTGAAATTAGATAACCTATCCTGTGGTGGATTAGGATTTAAACTGCTTTAAATCTTTCTTTAACAGTGCCTAGAAATAAAGAAGGCACACTGGAGAGAGAAGGTATAGTAGATGATACAGGGTAGGAATCCACATGTCTGGGCCAGGCACAGTGGCTCACGCCTGTAATCCCAGCACTTTGGGGGGCTGAGGCGGGTGGATCACTTGAGGTCAGGAGTCCAAAACCAGCTTGGCCAACATGGCGAAACCCCGTCTCTACTAAAAATTCAAAAATTAGCTGGGTGTGGTGGCACACACTTGTGGTCCCAGCTACTTGGGAGGCTGAGGCATGAGAATCAGTTGAACCTGGGAGTCAGAGGTTGCAGTGAGCCAAGATTGTGTCACTGCACTCCAGCCTGGGCGACAGAGTGAGATCCTGTCTCCAAAAAAAAAAAAAAAAAAAAAAAAACAGAATCCATATGTCTGGCATGGTGGAAAATGTTAATAGAGAAAAGCGTGTCGGAGACAGTGATAAGAAAGAAATGAAGTGGCTAGCCATGGAATTTGGGCCGGGAAAGAAATCCAGTCCTGCCCTACAAGGTTAAGAATGTCCGGAAGTCCTAGCAGGTGAAAGGTTAGGTTATTGTTAGGGTAGAAGGAAAGATGAAAGGTAAAATGGCTATGAACAAGAGGAGAGAAATTAGCCAAGGTCTGAAGCTTTGGAGGACCCATAACCTTCTGTCTGCACCTGAAAGTGAATAACTAAATCCAGGTAAGATCATTAGATAAACATGATGAAAAAGGATGAGTGTGACAAAGCTAGCTAAGCCTTAGCCCAAATCTTCCCCTAACTCTTCTTGACCTACGTACTAAAACTTAGAAAAGCTGCTCTACTCAGTCTCTAGAACATGTCATAAACTTTCCAATCATTTAACTTTGCTCATGCCATTCTCCACACTACAATCTTACTCTTCTGCCTACCTATTTTACAAATTCAATGAATTCCTATATACTTACAAATGCATAAATATGCAACCATGCCCCCAAACTCTTAAGACCTAAGCAGATTTCTAAAGTCAATCAAGGGAAACCAAACTAATATATTTGAACATATCATATTCTTACCAAATGGTTAAAATACTTCAAAAACAAAAAGGAGGAAAGAAACTCCAATCAAACATAAGCAGAACCTGGAAAATATCCAAAAAAACCACATGTAGTCATGTGGTCTGAGATCTCTGGAGGGCCATTCCAATGAAGAATCCATGATCCAGAGGATCTTTACCTCCTTACTCCACCCAAACACCTACAAACTACATTCATTACAAAGTTCTAGTTGCTTCCTCCCAAGACGTAGCTCTATTTGAGTTTTTTTGTATTTTCACAATAAAGCACCAATGACTTTTTTGAGACGCAGTCTCGCTGTTGCCCAGGCTAGAGTGCAGTGGTGTGAGCTTGGCTCAATGAAACCTCTACCTCCCAGGTTCAAACGATTCTCCTCCTGCCTCAGCCTCTCAAGCAGCTGGGACTACAGGCAGGCACTACCATGCCCGGCTTTCTTTTTTTTTTTTTCTTTTTTTTTTTTTTTTTTGAGACGGAGTCTCGCCGTATGCCCAGCTAATTTTTTAATTTATTTATATTTATTTATTTAGAGATGGAGTCTCGCCCTGTCGCCCAGGCTGGAGTGCAATGGCATGATCTCGGCTCACTGCAACCTCTGCCTCCCAGGTTCAAGGGATTCTCCTGCCTCAGCCTCCCGAGTAGCTGGAACTACAGGTGCGCACCACCACGCCCAGCTAATTTTTGTATTTTTAGTAGAGACAGGATTTCACCATATTGGCCAGGCTGGTCTTGAACTCCTGACCTCATGATCCACCTGCCTCGGCCTGCCAAAGTGCTGGGATTACAGGTGTGAACCACCTGCACGTGAATCATCAGAAGTTTACTGTGCCTGGCCTAATTTTTGTATTTTTAGTAGAGATAGGGGTTTTGCCATGTTGGCCAAGCTGGTCTTGAACTCCTGACCTCAGGTGATCCATCTGCCTTGGCCTCCCAAAGTGCTGGGATTACAGGCATGAGCCACTGCGTCCCGGCCACCAATGACCATTTTTAATAGCTTCCTAAATCTAAGACATAGCATGTGGGTCACAATGAGAACTATAAAATTAAGACCAAACTGTGCAATGGGCTCAAAGACAAACGTGTCATCTCAATAATAGGGTCAGATTAGTCACAAAGTTTTTAATAGTAGATCAATTTCCTCTGAACATCCTTACTCTCACCACCACAGCCTGTTCCTTTCATTAGCAAGATGGAAAAGCATCTATACAAAATGTAAATTTGTAGCCAAAAAGTGCTATAATGCACTTCGAAATAAAGACTTCATAGAATCCCAATATGCCTACTACAAGAATGTTATTGTGGACAAATGCAATAAAACTTTCAGCCATTCCAACTCTTTGATGCACAAGAATCATCAGAAGTTTACTGCTTAGTATGATTTTTCTTTTAGACTATGTCACAGCATTCCTGTATTTACTCAAATAAGCCACAACAACTGCACTGTTCTAATGCTTTGATGGAACTGTGAGTTACCAATTAGGCTTTAACATACCAATCAATACTTTACTGTTTTGTCATGAAAATTGCTTCTTGTTTCCCTTTTCCTTCATTTCCTTTTGACACAGGCAGTCTACCAGTTCCATTCATTGCCAGTTTTTAAAAGTTAATATATATTCCCCCAACTCATCAGTCAATAAATTAAGCATAATAATAATTGTTATTGTAGAGAATTACTATCTCTGTGAATCATACAACATCAGAAAACACAAAAACACCAGGGCAAATAAATGGAGAGTCCTCTTGATTCATCATTTTTACCTCATATCTGAACTATCACTAAGCCCTATTAATTCTATGTCTCTCAGAGCAAAAAATTCCATTTGTCATATTCACTATAGTTCTCTTAGTCCATAGGACAGCTCCTGGAATAAAGCATGAGCTTAATATTTTTCATGAATAAATAAATCAGATCTGGAAAATATAAAGGTTAGGAGAGAGATATCTGCTTAAGTCGTTTTGTATTAAAAGTTCAATTTTTAAAACTTAAAAGTCTTAACAATAAAAAGAAAGTTTGAAAATAAACTTGCTATTACAGTAATGGTAAATTAAGTTTCAGGGGAATAACCAAATTTTCTTTTGCACTATGAGGTTGCTGAAAAAAAAAAGCAATGATTACACATGGCAAAATTAGAGATCCAATCAGGAGGCAGAAATCACACAATAATTTGAACTTGGAAAGTTCAACATCAAAAAAATATTACAGGGGACTGGAGTAATGAGAGATTGGCTAAAAGATTATGGGAATGTCAAATTTAAGAAGCACTCACTATCCCTAGGGTTGAGATAAAGGTCCTCCCCCTCCCTCCAGACTTAAGATGCAGATCTCGTTGGAGGGCACAGATAGTGGCTCACTGAATGGCAGAGAAGTAGCTGTGGTGAGGTGCCAGTGGAACCTGCCCAAAAATCCTCCCTCTTCGGTGCTGAGGAAAACTGTTTATTGAGAGGTATTTCACTGGAGACCTTCCATTATGAAACCAACTAAGACGGGTACTAGGGGAAGCTGTTGGCTGCTGCTGACCACTATGCAGTACAAGAGCCAGGCCTTGGAGACGGTGTTCATGCTACAAGCAGAGCCCGTCAAGAAAGCACACTATAACTAAGTACAAACACCCTTTCCTCCTACAATGCCTCTCCAGTGCAGCCTACTGACAAAACTTAACATTTTGCCCAGTGGCAAAAGAAAAACGTTTAAAGGACCTAGCTCCACTTCCACAGAGCATGCAAAAAGGGTTTACAAATGGTCTCTGACTTGTGATGTTGTAAAAGCAACACACATTCAGTAGAAACCATACTTCGAGTACCCATGCAAAGATTCTGTTTTTCACTTTCAGTACAGTATTCAATAAATTACACGAGATATTCAACCTTTATTATAAAATAGGCTTTGGGTTAGATTTTGCCAACCTGTAAACTAACATAAATGTTCTGAGCACGTATAAAGCAAGCTAGGCTAAAGCCATGGTTTTCAGTAAGTCTGGCATATTAAACTCATTTTTTACTTACTGTATTTTCAATTATCTATCTATCACAAATTATCAACTATCACAAATTGAGGAGCATCTGTATTAGAAGCTAAGACACAGTCTACCCCTTGGCTACTCAGCTTCCATATGTACTCTTCTCTACACATTTAAACTCCCTAATAATAATAATAATAATAATAATAACAACAATAATAAGCCAGAAACAGAGGTGGCTTCCTCAGCATCAGGTTCCTGAAGCACAGGCAGCTTCTCCTGCACCCATTCATACTTATAATTCCTTTTCTAGCAACCAACCAAGAGAGCAATACAAGGCTATTAATGAGGAAATTCCACAACTTCTTTTATAGTTCACATCAGTCAGTTCTTTTTATCTGAGTCCTTCTTATACAAAGTCCTTCTTACACGAAGTTGTGTGCAAATGTGCGTGCGTGCATGTGTGTGTAGAACTAACTCTGGCACTAGATAATCTTGTTAAAATCCAGGTGTGTGTGCGTAGGAGAAATAACTCCGGCACTACGTAATCGTGGTTAAAATCCAGGTCTATCACTTTTACCTATAGTGCTTAAAGCAAGTTACCTGTTTCCGTACCCCTGTAAAATAAGGGGAATAATATCTACCTTGTAGGGTTGTTGTAAAGAGTAAATCAACTAAGTGAATATTAAATCAAACAACCTGTGTGAACCTTGCACAAGTGTTAACCACTATTATTTTACTTGTAGAGACAAAGTGAGTTAATTTCCTGTCTCCCAACACTACATGAAAGCTCCATAAAGGCAGTGGAATTTGTCTGTTTTGTTCCCTTATCCCACCATGTAGAACACTTCCTGGACTAAATAGGTGTTAAAATATTTGTTTATTGAGAACAAGTAAACCACTGATCACAAGCTCTTCTATAAAAAAAAGTTACTAATGGCAACTTTTCGAAGTTCTAAAGACAACTTAGAGATTAGCAACTGAAAAAGTTAATGGGGGGAGGAGGAGGGAGGGAAAAATGATGTCAATCTCTTCTTTAAGAGATTCCTTCAGGGTTTTAACTTGCCTGGCTCTGGCATATACCAGTTGCATGGCCTGGGGAAAAAAAATCATTCCACTTAAGCCTCAGTTTTCCCTTTTCAGGGGAAATAACTACTTCAAAAGATTGTTAAAACATAAAATAAAATAAAATAAAATGATTTAAATGACAGCATCTAGGATAAAGTTTGTACTCTACTGAATCTCAGTATCAACTAAATGTGACCTCTGGTTTTTCTAGTTCGAGCGGTATACAAATAGCTTTCACTGTGCACTCAATCTGAGCTTTAACTGAAAAAGCTGTTCTCGAGGGGTTTCAGAAACAGGAGATACTGCATAGTTTAAGTTTCATCAGATGGCAAATTCTGTAATCTCCCGAAACATACTTTCCAAGAGTTTCTATGAAAAGAAAGTAAGATTGCATTCTGAATCCACTGAAGGTAAAACAAGAGCATCCAACACATATCTAACTTATATATGTCCTATACAGAAAAAAAAAAAAACAACCCTGCTGGGCACCATGGCTCAGGCCTGTAATCCCAGCACTTTGGGAGCCCAAGGCGGGTGGATCACGAAGTCAAGAGATGGTGACCATTCTGGCCAACGTGGTGAAACCCCATCTCTACAAAAAATACAAAAATTAGCTGGGTGTGGTGGCACGCACCTGTAGTCCAGCCACTCGGGAGGCTGAGGCAGGAGAATCGCTTGAACCCAGGAGGCACAGGTTGCAGTGGGCCAAGATCACACCACTGCACTCCAGCCTGGTGACAGAGCAAGACTCCATCTCAAAAAAACAAAAACAAAAACAAAACCCAACAAATATCTGGCATTAGATTAAATGGTGGATATTCGGAAAAGTGACCCTATTGATAAGACAGCCACACTGTTTAGCAGAAAATAAATAATTTATTCACACTTTCACAATATTCATATCTAATTTTCTAGAACTTAACTTCATTAATTTCTCTATTAATTTCCGCCAAACTGCCATAAATGTCCCGTCAAAAATTACCACAAAATACAGGTTATAAAAACACTACTATTAGCAATTTGTAGTGATACCAGAGCACACACCCTTATTATTTACTACTCCAAGGAGCTGTTGGCAAAGTTCTCATTTATTCTTAACTTACAGAAACAAATAATTTTATCATTGACTCAAAATAGAAAGTGGTGATAACTCTTTTTCTGGCAGCACTAGAGCTCAATTCACAGTCTTGCTAAACCTCACAGCAGATGAAACACTAGCTTTGCTAAAAATAATACAAAATGATGGATGTTAAAACTAGAATAGATCTTATCTACTATAAGTACCATCAGTCTTACAGCAATGTACGTTTTAATATTTGCAATGTAGAAATAAAGTTTACAAGATTTGGAAGCTCCACAGATCCCTGGTGTTCTAGGTGAGAAAACCTAGACCAGAAAACCTGAGAGTTCAAGTGACTGCTTCCCACTCTCCTGCTCCCAACACTAACAGCCAGTCCAGTCAGAGACAGTGCTGATTAGAACTGATTTTCTCTACTTTATGAAAAATCCTCTTATCAGAAAAATTGATACTGCCCTTTCTTTCGGTATCACGTGACCTACACATCTGTGTGTGTGTGTGTGTGCGTAAAAGATACATTAGGGATCACAAGTTCTAGTTCTGCTTGCTTCCCCTAAGCTTCTTAAAAGAGCAGCTAGATCATGAAGGAGGAGGTGGTAGTAGTAGGTGTACATAATAGATGCCACCATTCACGTAAGTCTTTATTGGAAAACTGGGACGTGACACCATCAGCTTACACAACAGAAAAACACAAACTAAGTTCCTGACAGCGGAATGATGAACCACCCAACTTGAGTTAAAAAGAAACAAAAGTACACCACTGTATCTTAATAAGTATCCAGTCTTTGGGTTAAAATTGTATTCTCTTTCCCCAGTTTTAGTCATTTTGTAACAAATTTTAACAAGCCTGATAGGTATTTCATGGCCATGTCTGAAGTTGGCTGAACTTAAGCATCCCTATATAACACACTTTACACTTAGTAACTTGCTAGTTACCTATGGTTAACAAATGTTTCATATGGTATGTTTTTAAAACTTTCAGTGAAACACTTTAACATTTTTAACCCAGCAAAACAAACAAAAACTGTGTCTAATAACCCACACGAGTAGAAAAATGACCTTAAGCTTAACCTTAAACACAGATATAATAAGTAAAACAAATGGAGAGAAGTCCATCTCTATTCAGGAGGCAGAAGAACCCCCCCTGCCCCCAACACACACAAAGACGGGTGGCAGTGGAGGGCAGGCTCATAAACCAGAGGTGTAATGGACAAGTCGAGCGATTCCTCCCGTTTTCCGCATTCTGCAACCCTCGGTCGCTCAGTGGTGCGGTTAGGGCAGCAATCTATAACCTTCATTCCAGAAGACCCCAGCACTTCTATGTGGTGTCCAAACACAACTGGTGAGCAAAGAAAGGGCTGAAAGACAGGCCAGGCCGTGCTACTCAGGGACGTCGGACCTAGGGCAAGAAACCTTTACCACTCTCATTCGAAATCGGAGCAATGGGTCTATTACGGAAAAGACTTCTTAGGAAGGTCTCCTAAGACAAAGGGCTGCGAGTCAGGAACCATCCCCAAGCTCGGGAGCCGGGACCGAACCGTCCCGGGCCCGTATCCGCGCAGCCTGCACCCCGCGCTGAGCTGGCGCCCGACCGAGCCGCCCACATTCCGAAGTATTCGGAGACCCCCACCTAGCCGGCCCGAGCTGACCCTCTCCCCAACCCGTACGCCCGCGGACCGAGCTCCTCACCCTGGTGATTGAACAGTCTCCATATTCTAGTGAAGAGAATTCCCATTCTCGGGCAGCGGACCCCCCCCCTCCAGACACCCGGGCCGCCTGGCTTCCCCCGGCTCAGGCTGAGGGGGAGGAGAGAGACGCGCTGGAGCCTCCGCCTCTGCTGCTGCTCCCGCGCTGGTCGCGGGCCCGCTTCCAGGGAACCGGAGGGAGGCCGAAGCCCAGGCCGCCCTGCCGCGCGCAAGGCCCCGCCGCTGCCGCCGCGGCACTCGCCTGGCTCGCGGACATCGCCGCCGCGTTGTCTGCGACGAGCCTCGCGGGCCACCGTCCTCCCCCAGCTCCTCTCGGGCGGCTGCGGTGGCGACGACCACGCGGGCGGGGGAAGTGAAGGGGCGGGCCTGGAGGGACGTGAGTGCGCAGGCGCGCGGCCAGAGGGGCGGAGCGTAGGAAAGGGCGCCCGCCCTGTCCTCGCTTATTTGCATAACCAAGACTGCGGAAGGCGCAGGACTTTACCCTGGGACTGAGGCTGTGAAGACCGCAAGTTGGGGCAGATGGCTTCCGACTGCTTGCTGTTGCGTCCCCGAGTATTTATATTTCCCTCGAATCTTCTCCACTGCGCCATAATGTAAACATATAATTGAGTACCCCATGTCCATCCCCAACCCTTCACATACACTACACTTAAAGTTCCACGTCATGACTCTTTAAGACATTGTGTCCCCTGTGGGTCTTTGAGGGAAAAGTCTGCTGCCCTCTGACACTCAGCTGAAGTCAGTGGCCTTACCTAGATAGTCACCTTAAAGCCATTTTTGCACTTCAGGGCTCTTTTCTCTCCAATCTCTTAACTCTCACGTCAGTATTGCCCAAAACAACGATTTTGATCAAGTCACTACCCTGTTTAAAAACCTTTAGTGGCCACCAAAGCTCCATCCCTTTCTGTTCTCGTTAACCTTAGTAAAAAGGAAAATAAAGAAAAATTGGGAGACTTGTAGGAGCCATTTGAACTGCTTTGCACTCCCATCCCCAACAGCTGAATGAAATTAAGCAAAATCAGCAATAAACCGCACCTTCCCAACTCACTTCTCCTAACTACCCAGTATTTTACCTCAAAATATAGAAAAGTAATTTCGTTGACTTCTTTTGGGGCTTTATGGTTAAAAAGCCAAAGTTTAGAGGAGCCATACATGAAGGGAAGGAAAATCATAGTAATCCATATTAATTTATGTATTATCATGTCTGGATTTACTTAATATTCTGTACACTGTTTAGAAGAACAATGTAGTTTGTATAACCAATTTGCATTAACTCTGTAATATTTCCATTCTCGCACACCGTAGGTAATGCTTTGGTAGCTCTAAGACTTTTTCAGACTCCCACACAGATGTCAACTTATGAAATGGATGTCATATACACATTATGTGATGGCGGAGCTTCATATTTTACAATCTACCCAAGGAAATGGTCTCCCAGGTTATTTTCCGAGTGAAGAAAGAAGAGAGAGAGAGAGACAGAGACAGAGAGTTTAAAGACCAATTTATCTATGATTACAGAGAAATGCAAAATGTCATTGGAGAGACTTCTGACTTCAGGCATGAGAGAGTAGGATGGTTTGAATATATCCTCCTACCATTAGCAAATAGAAAACTGCACAAAGTACAGGCAACGACATTTCAGATATTGAAAAACACATCACAGTACTGTGATTCTTTGCAAAAGAGAAAGGAACAGGTGGAGTCTTACCATTTCCTGGACTTTATCCCTAAAAGCAATTCCCAGTCAACTACGGAGGAAGTGGGAACCCAAATGAGAATCTGGAAACCTCTTAGAACTGAAGACGCATATCAGCATTCCCAGAGATCAAGGTGACTAGAATTTGTGAAGCAGAGTAACTGGAAGGAGGGAGCTACACAGAGAAAAGCTCTGGAAACCTGTTAAGGGGCCATTGAGTCTTTGGCTGCATATCAATTTGTGCTCGTGCAGTATGAACCCCCAAGAGGCTGGTCAGTCACAATTCCTGAGGAAAAATAAGTACCAGGAAACTGTAATGCAAATGATTCCCAGAGATTACAACGGGTCAGGAATCATTTGAGTTCCCTTCAGCCAGAGTGAAGAGAACTGAATATATAGGACAGGGGTGTCCAATCTTTTAGCTTCCCTGGGCCACACTGGAAGAAGAATTGTCTTGGGCCACACATAACATAAGCTAACACTATTGATAGCTGATGAGCTAAAAAATAAGTAAAATCACAAAAATACTCATAATGTTTTAAGAAAGTTTACGAATTTGTATTGGGCCACATTCAAAACCATCCTAGGGCCGGGTGCAGTGGCTCACACCTGTAATCCCAACACTGGGAGGCCAAGGTGGGCAGATCTCTAGAGGCCATGAGTTCGAGACCAGCCTGGCCAACACAATGAAACCCCGTCTCTACCAAAAATTACAAAAATTTGCCGGGCATGGTGGCGCAAACCTGTAATCCCAGCTACTCTGGAGGCTGAGGCAGGAGAATTGCTTGAACCCAGGAGGTGGAGATTGCACTGAGCCAAGATCAAACCGCTGCACTCCAGCCTGGGTGACAGAACAAGACTATCTCAAAAATAAATAAATAAATTAATTAATTAATTAATTTTTAAAAAGCCATCCTGGGCTGCATGCAGCCCACAGGCTGTGGGTTGGATAAACTCGATATAGTTGAGTGGACACCACCAGAGACCTTAGAAGAGGAGCTAACTGGCCTAAGAATAAGCCCTACACAAGACCAATCCTAAAGGAGCTTAAAACCAAACCTTGAAAGGGCCAAACTAATTCACAATTGCCTGCCAAAACAAGTATAACATTCTTTAAAGGAATATGAGATCAAGTCATCAACAATGTAAACTTTACATTGTCCTAAATCCAATAAAAAATCACTAGACGTGCAAGGAAACAGGAAAATGTGATCCATAACCAAAAGCAAATCACTCTACAGAAATACCCAGGCATGGGGACATTAAGTGATTGCCCCAAGTTCATGGCTAGTTATTGCTGGATCTGGGCTTTGAACCCAGACAAAGGTTAGATCCACACTCAAACCACTGTGCTAATCTGCATGTTGTATCAAAGTACAAATGAGATGTTTCTCTCCCTCGTACATTTTATTATTGGAAATGTGCTGATGACAGGAGAAGTAGCTTCAGGCATATGGCTGGTAGATGAGTTTCAGATTGTTGGCTGAAATACTTTGATAGTTGAGACAGCCTTATATAATACCTCTCCAATAACTGAGGTACTATTCATTCAGTCAACATTTATTGTATTCCAGGCATTGTTTTGTATGCTTCAGATGATTACCTAGCTTAAAAGTAACATATCAGTACTTTTTTTTTTCTTTTTCTTTTTTTTTGGTGGGGGGATGGACTTTCGCTCGTTGCCCAGGCTGGAGTACATTGGTGCATCTCGGCTCACGGCAACCTCCGCCTCCCGGGTTCAAGCGATTCTCCTGCCTCAGCCTCCCGAGTAGCTGGGATTACAGGCATGCGCCCTCACGCCCGGCTAATTTTGTATTTTTAGTAGAGACGGGGTTTCTCCATGTTGGTCAGGCTGGTCTCAAACTCCCGACCTCAGGTGATCCGCCCGCCTAGGCCTCCCAAAGTGCTGGGATTACAGGCAGGAGCCACCACGCCCGGCTATGAGTACGTATTTTTAAAGAAAAATTCTTGGCTGCGCGCAGTGGCTCACGCCTGTAATCCCAGTACTTTGGGAGGCCGAGGCGGGCGGATCACCTGAGGTCGGGAGTTTGAGACCAGCCTGACCAACATGGAGAAACCCCGTCTCTACTAAAAATACAAAATTAGCCGGGCGTGATGGCGCATGCCTGTAATCCCAGCTACTTGGGAGGCTGAGGCAGGAGAATCGCTTGAACCCGGGAGGTGGAGCTTGCCGTGAGCCGAGATCGCACCAGTGCACTCCAGCCTGGGCAACAAGAGTGAAACTCCATCTCAGAAAGAAAAAAAAAAGAAAAATTCTTTTGAGAGAGAAGTTTCAGTGAACTTTGGTTTCCTCATTTGTATTTGTATCTCATAATCCATGCCCGGCCTACTTTCCTGGGTGATCAGATGAATTAAATGTGATAATTGTGAAATAACTTGACTCTAATAAATCACTGTATAATCCTAATGCAGTGATAAAAATCA
This sequence comes from Homo sapiens, assembly GCF_000001405.40. NCBI lineage: Eukaryota > Metazoa > Chordata > Mammalia > Primates > Hominidae > Homo > Homo sapiens. The sequence continues at coordinate 151,832,289 of NC_000002.12, forward strand.
ACATAGTCCATATTTCTTTGGAATCTCCTATACAGTGAAATGACAAAAAAGTCAAATTCCAATCAAGTCTTAACATAGACAATTGACCCCAAATACATACTATGGAATTCTTACAGGTACAAGATAGCTTTGGAAATGTCTGATAACTGCAATATTAATCATTTTGGAGTGGATGACTTGCGAACAATATAATACTTCATCTAGTATATTTTTCTATATCCAATCCTATTTTGCACATGTATTCGAATGTATTTTATTTCACATGTGTGTGTATTTAACTTATAAACCCTTTCCTAATACAGTACTTATTTTGTGATCACTCACAGCACCTGGCAGAGTATTCAGAAAGTAGTCATTTGATTGAATCCCTTTTTAGGATAAATGTTTAGACTTTTTCTTTTTTTCATAAAAGAGTACCTATTGATTTCCAGTATTTCTTCAATATATTTCTAGAATAATATAAAGGAGAGGTATAACGCTGGTTTCAGTGTTTTTTTCATTTATTATATAAAAGAAAAAAAGTAATGCAGTTGTTTTGTACACATTTAAATTCCATAAAACAAATCCATAGAAATGAGGATACTCTATGCATGCACTCTGCATTTTCTTTGTTAATGTTTTTATTCACAAAAATAACACCACGTTTTTTTCTTTAAAGCCACTAAAGCAGAGGGAGAACAAAACATGCAGCACTGTACACATTTGCATAGTATATTTTACCCAGCATGCCTTGTAGAATGCTACACATACCTAGATAAGAAAAATAAAAGGGGACAAATTATTAAAATAAATAACTAAAATTTAAAGAAAGAAAAAAAATTATTTGACAAAGGCATTTTTTATCCCACTTTGTCAATGGAGATATAGCAATAGCCTGGGATTTCAACAGCCCTCAGAATAGTAGGAAAAATCTTTTTACATCATTTTGCCATATTTCTGTTTTAGTATGTTTTATGTTAATACATTTATTTTTTATTCCTTCCCACCATCCCTACAAAAACACAGCTAATGGCTTTAACTTATGTTTCAAAGTAGTATTCAGTACAAAACAAATTAAAGAATCCCTAACTAATATAATTTTTTGTGGTTGGGACATCTTTATTGATCATTCTGACTCGAGGCTGTGAAAAATACAAAAATCTCACACATGTCCAAAATTCAGAGGAGCCCTATGAGCTCACTTGCTGTGACTTTCTGCTGTTGTTATTGAAAGAGAAGAAATAAGAGGAGAAAATATGGTATGAGTGTTATCACAAAATAAAATTTAATAAATTTTATGGAAGGGAATAAAACAAAAGAAATTACATCCACAGATTGCAAGGCTATGAAATAAATTGCTGGAAAAGTATCAAGCAGCAAGTTAAAAAGATGGTAGATGAAGTAAATCTGACAAAACTTAGAACTAAATCGACATACTTTTAAAAAATATGACTGCCAAATTTAACGGTGGATTTTGTTATAAGTTTGTGCTATAACAAATGTGCTTCTTTCTCCTCAATCTATTTTTATATTATTGGCAAAATATATATTTTATAATTTTGTACTGTACAATATGTTTTTGCTACATTATTTTTCTACTGCTAATGCAGATTATAAGTAACAACATAGATTTATTTTGGCAATAAAATGCTTTCATTTTAATAACATCCCAGAAAATATTGTAAGGCATATGAAAAATAGTATGCAACGATATAGCGTTAATGATCCCGCCTCTTTATTACATCCCTTATGCATACAGAATTCACACTGATTTCAGTTAAAAGTCAAAGTGGCATGCAAGTAGGGCAAGGGTGGCCCCTACATAAATATAGACATAGCCATTTGTTGAGAAATTTAAGTGTTCAAAACATAACCAAGAACACTTATCAGGTATTGAAAAGCTAGAGGCCAGCCACTTCTGGTTCTTAGTTCCCCTTGTAACTCCTTATAATTTTCAAATGAGGAAGTATCAGTGTATTCTCCCAAACCACTCTAAATTCATTAGTAACATTTTCTACCATCCTTCTGCAAACATTTTACATACATCATGAGAAACAAAAGAAAGTTTCATATATAACTACGACTCCCCAAACCAATTGCTACTCACTCTTAATTATACTTTGTTTATGGCAAGTAGAAGTTACAGCCCTTAGGATTATCTGATGAGATACTTTCTAGTCTTCTCATAATGTCCCTCAATTACATGAAGCATTTAGAATTAATCATTACAAGTAAAAAGAGATAGCTGCTATCAGAGGATGTATTTTATTTAAGAAAGTCCATTTTAATAAAAGAAGAAACTTTTAAAAGTAATTTTTGAATGCTGTAGTTCTGGGTGCCCATATAAGCCAATTTTTCTATTTTGACTAACTTGACTGCTTAAGTCAAAAAGAAGGTTATCCTTATTGTCTGTCTAACAGCTAATTGGATTGACTTGACTGGTTTGATCATGATTATTTTAAAGAAGAGGACTGTTCTCTGCCCCATAGACACAGCTTGAGTAAGTAACTTACTAACAGTTATAGTATTGACAGTATTTAAAGGTATGAGAAACTAATAAAACAGATTTTATTACATAATTTCCTATAAATTTTTCATTCATACAGTCATTCAAGGATGAGTTTTATATAATTTAAAAAAACACAACATGCAACATTGTCATAAAAGACAAAGGCAGAAATGTAAAAGGAATAAGGGGTACATAGCATTTATTTGAAACATTGATATGAAGTTTATTCCAATTACATGGGAGTCCAAGATTATGCATATCCTTACCCAGTAAATGGCTAAGTCATGCTCTGTGGAAGTCAAGGACCAACAAAATGTGAATTTGCAAACCAGCTGCTCTTAAACATAAAGTCTTTGGACTTTTACTCCTTTAGACTTAGAACTAGATATTATAACAAGTTGCACACAAAGGCAATTCCCTTGCAGTTTGTTTTGTTCCCTATGATGACTTATTTGTTAAATTAACCTTGCCTCATGATAAACTGTGAACCAATTCAAAGAAAACTTCACTAACGTGGAAGAAATGAAAGGGTGCCAAACAGCATTTTGGAAACAGTTTAAAATCTAAAGGGAAGGCATATTTTAATAATCTATGTATTTAGCTTTGCAGCAAGGTTAGCCAGAATAGTGATAATTTTGATCACTACTTATTGACCAGTGTTTTTCCCTTTAAAGACAGATTGTCTTCTCTAGAGAAGAGGTAGTAAATATATCAGTACATAGGGTAATTTCTACAATGGTATTACATTTTTTAAGCAAATACCAAAATAAAACTGTGTAACTAAGAAAATATATACTAACATGCAAATTAAGGTTGCCAAGACACATTCTTAACGGACATCCTGGGTCTTAACAACATTTTGTGATATGTTCATTTAAAGAATTTAAATTTGCAAACCATCTTTTAGCATAATTTCCTTTTCTTACTTCCTTTCACTGCCTCCACTTCCTATTATGAATTTTAAGGCCCCCACACAAAAGACAAGTTCAAGTATGCAGGTATGAAAAGAGGTTAACATTCCAAAAATACATTTTGCAAACAACGACAATAATAATTAAATAGCAGATTATTTAAAGGAAACAAATAATTGTCTCAGAATTTGTTTTACATTAATAAAATTCATTTCATTAAAGACTAACTGCAATGACTTATATAGTCACAAAATTAAGACTCTTATTAGGAAAGACCATCATCTAAATTGTGAACAATTTCAACCTTCTCTCCAATAGAACTGTATAAAGATAAGAGAGAATCATCATTTATAAACATTTCTAAGTGTTGCTTTAAATATTAAACAAGATAATGTTGTTGGTTATAATATTAGAGTGACATTATACCCTTGAGAATTAACATCAGGATTGACAAATTGCATTCGTTTTTTTCCAGAACTACATTTCCACATTGTCACATGAGTCCACATTATTATATGTCTGTGACTGAAATTACAGAATTCTAGTATGTGGCTTATACTGTAAGTTAAAACAGCCTCAAAACAGTAAAAGACTTGTTTCTCTTGCTTATAATCATTTGCTATCTTTAAATGAAATTAATTAAAAACAAAGTATGGAGTATGTATTTTTCAAAGGTGCTTGGTGTGCTTGGCAAAAATAAAACTTTTCATTTAGTATATATCTAGATTTTAAGTATCATTTACACAATAAACTCTTAAGTCTTTAAAAAAAATAAGATGTATATCCCCTTATTTGAGGAAGATAAACTTATTACAGAAAGAAGGGGAAAGAATATTCCAAATTAAAGTAAACATTTAAATATATCCATCAATAAAATATACATTATACCCTTTCCAAGATTGTCAGCTTTTGAATAAGAATGCAAAGCAAAACAGGTATGGACATCTGATGGTAATTGATAGATTGGTTTTGTGCACAGATATTGAATGAGACTCTCTTTATCGGCATGACATGGAAGACTAAAAACAAGGCTTTGAAAAACCTTTAAAAACAAGTGACTTTTAAAAAGTTGAAAGAAGATGGTAATCTTGATGACTAGGAAATATATTTAAATGCTGTTACAGCTACCTGCCATAAAATGTAAGTATCTTAAAGTAGTTAAATGACCAAACTGCTAATGCTACTACAGAAAAAGCTGAACAGCTGTCTAGTCTAAATTTGTACACCTTGGTGCACTCTTTGCAATTAAATACTTTAATGCGCATAAACAAGAAACCAGTAAAGCATATAGAAAAATGTTTTGGCTAATGTTTTCTTTCTCATGCAAGTATGTGCTGTACATGTAATAAATATATTTTTGTTTGCTGGAAGATGCTCTTCTGTGTTCTAACAAAGTATTCAGTAATGGCAGGTTATATGTTTATTAAAGTGCCTAATGGATATAACTCTTTTAAAATGTCTTAACTGAAAGTTTTATAAGCTTCACTAGATGACAGAAGAATCTCACAAGCCAGTATCACATGTTAACTTTTAAAATTTACTAAGCCCATATTTTTTAATTGTATCAAATATTTGAAATGACTTACAGAATTATAGGTATCCTCATTATCAGCTAAACAGGTTCATAATGGGGTACAAACACTGAACATAAATGCAGGGGGATGTGGTGAGGTTGTAATGGGGTTCAAGATATATATATAACTCATCAGTAATGTGGAACTTATTTCCATGGTCAAGAAGATTACTGAACTGGTGCATGCTTTGAGTGCCTGAATACTGAAAGGCTTGGGGAGAAAAGAAGATACTATAAAATTAATTATCATTATTTTCAAAAATAGGCTTCATGACATGTACTAGCAGAAAAGAACTTTTATGGCTGGACTTATTGGGGTTTTAGAAAATGCATGCACTATGGACATTTAGAAATAAGTTTTTTTTTTTAAAGACATTTGTGTAAAAAGGGTCAATTTCAATAATTTCTTAGATCAGAGTGAATCTAAGGCTTCCTTGATAATATAAAACATAGGTCACCAATTCCATAATTATAGCCACTGGAAAAACTGTGAAGACTTAATAAGATGAAGAGGAGTGTTCATTAGAAATAAGGCAGCTCAATCTCCAAATTCTTTATAATTTTCTGCATTAAAAATGCTATAATTTTAGTCAACAAATATTTGCTGAATCTATGAGTTTATTTTTTACTGCAAGCTTTTAAAATCATTTGTTTCAACTTTTTTCAATTAGTCATTTTGTAAAAACATCTCCTGAATATCAAAGTTGAGTGTGTCCACATAAAACGAAATTCCTTAGCATGATTTAAAGAATTTGTTGAAGGGCCAGAACATTCAGATATTCAAAGACAGAGACTGAGAGAAGCAATGGAAAGATACTCAATCTTGTTGGCAGGAAATACAGACCCTGCGTTTGTGTTAAGTGAAATAGATGAATTCCCACCTGGAAGTGTTTAGCATTGCACTCGGGAGGATTGGTACCACATCCTTACTATCTGACTTCAGATTCCTGGATGTATGTAGTTGTGCTCAGATTGATTAAAGGGAGAACAACACCCCATTTTATATTTCACATAACCAGCTATGCTTGGGCCTCTCTTTACTATTCTCTCTCACTGCTGAAAAAAATTTGAGGTTTTTTGCTTGTTTGTATTTGTTTTTGCCAACTTCAAATGAGCTAACAGTACTGACCAAACAAAAAGCAAAACACTTTGAATACAACAGCTGTGCCAGGAAAGAAATAAAAATATTAAAATCTGAGGAGACTATATAATTTCTGCATTAAGATTTCTGAGATTTTTTTTTTGGCACTATCAATACATTTGGTAAGTCTGAAAAGTCATTCTGGCAACATTAACATATATTAAAATGTTTATACACTCCAACTTTAAGTGTAAATTTAGCTTCCAGCAAATAAATACCAAAGCTGGATTTGGCTTCTATTGGTATTTCGATTTTCTTATTAGTTTTTTTTTTTTCCCCCCAGATTTTTCAGTTGATTACAACATGCTCAAGTAGACTTTCTAGTCAATTCACCCAAATTCCAACAGGAATTGGTTTATAAATTGGTTCCAACTGGAACTGGTCATTTGGAATTTCCAGCATGGGAAATTATTTTATATGTGCCTTGTAAGTACCCTAAATTACAAATTGATGTGTCTAAATCTATGAAGAAAACAAAATGTACTGTTATCATGTAAATGTTGCACTTAAAAATATCTATATGATCGGGCATCTAATATCCATCTAGACTCAAGGGCATAATGTAATTTTTTTTTTTGCCCCTTACTTAGCATAAAATGACAGCAGCCCATTAGCACAGTAAATACTGTGCTATGTTAGCCAAGTTAAGATGATTGGTTTATCCTAGCACTGCTATGGCAAATTGTCAACAGATGAATATTTTTTGTTTCATTAGACTCAAAGCCTATGTCGGGAGTCATGGCTATATCCCCCAGGTGATCCTCGGTTCCTATGGGGTTTGTAAGTGTCCTGGTATGAGTCAGGGTAATCTTCTTCCACAAGAGGGTAATGATCTCGGCTATGCTGAGAACTGGAAGACAAGCGGTTCCTACTCTTCCGAGCCCTTTCATTGTGATAATTTTCATCAGAGGTCATTAGACTTCGTCTTTCAATTGGAGAGTTCTCTGTGGAGTGGTTGCTGTGCCTCATTCGCTGACTCTAAAAATATCAGATAGTTCATTGATTAAATAATGTCAGCTTCATTCATCTAAACATGTAAATGTATGTAAAATCATAGGATCTGTACAATAAGATGCTAAATATCTGACTTAATAAGGCATCCTGATGCACCAATGATCTGCTTAGAATATCTGGTCTTATTTATTTGGGACACAACATGAAAAGATGCCAGAGTGTTGATAGTTTATGAGTTTAATTCCACAGTGCTGAATGACTATGCTTCCTATTACAAATGTAGAATTGAAAGCTAACTGTTAAATGGAACTTAATATATTTAGGAAGTTCTAATAATTCCATTTCTATTGCAAAAATGAAAATTATTTTACTATTGGGAAATAAAGTTCAGAATAGCATTTATTATTTCTCTCTTGAATTGATATAATCTTTCTCCTTCTAAAGTAACACACCTCACCTTGATCTAACTGAATATTCCTTATACCTTTTAAAAACATTTTAATAAAATTATTATTTGTGCTGTTCATAAAATAAAGTGTTTCTGCATCCTACATAAATGTAATAATCTTTCCAAGGGTGTATACAATAATTATGAAGCCAGCTAATTGATACATTTATAAATCTTGCTTCCTCAACTAAAATGTCCTGCAAAATAATCTTCCAATATAAACGAAATTCCTCTAATACCATTAATTGAAATTAGCATCTTAAGATACTTATTTGAAGGCTCAGAAAATGTTATTCAACATTTTTCTCCACTATGAGAAAACATTTATCTACTTGTGTCTACTGGTTTAGGTAGGTCACATCAGTTAAGGCACAGGATCCTGCTGAAACCATGGGCCCAGACACATCTCATCTAAAGTACACTCAGATTCAGGCAGAAGGAAATTCATTTGACAGGTCACAGACTGTGCCTTTAACCTCAGGTGCCTCACAATGAAGTGTCAATTGTTACTGGGAGAAGAAATAGGCCACAGAATAAAGGGCAACACATTAACTCATTAGTGAAACAGGGAGAACCACTCTAGGTGGATGTCTTAGCAGTGATGAGTCAAGATTGTTGTATTCAATATAAAAGTGCAACATTGCATTTCTACGTACATTACAGAAGTGTATTGCTTCATGCATCTATTTCTCATTCTGTAATGTACAATTCAGAGCCAATCCACACTAGTCAATAGTAATGTACACTCAGATCAGCCCATGGGAAGTGAAACAAGGCATGAAATAGTCCTAATGCATGCGTATGTGCTGTACATTACCACAGTACATTTTTCATGTTCATTTCTAGTTTCAAAAGCTATTCATTTGCATGACAGTTTTTCTGCTTACAAAGATGCAATTTTGTAACAGAGTAATACAGCTATAATAGCATTTCAGAGAGTGCCATTTATCTCAGAGTTAACTCTGTATGATCGACAATTAAGACTATCATTATAATCCATTAAAACAAAACTCATCATGATACAAGAGGGCTCAATTGACTACATGTTCCTCAGTTTGCTGCGGGTTTGGCCACATTCCAGCAGCTACTTGATGAATGGTAAATAATAATTGATGTAGAAAGGCAGGCTCATTTTGTACCATAAGGTCTCTGGTTCCCTATCTCTACCTCTGAGTGCAATACCAGAACAGCAGAAGGGAGAACCTCTTGATCCTGTGTTCGTCACCAGCTTCCCTAAAGGACACGTGCCACAGCCACTTACAAAGGTGGGCACCTGCACAGCCCCAAGAAAACTCAGGGATCAGTTACTGTTTCTGAACAGAGCAGCTCTACTTATATCCACATTGTCTTGTGCAAGGTAGAGAGCAGGCCTAGCAACCTGGGTGCGGCAGGATTAATTAAGGGCAGCTGAAAGGCCTATCTGCACCTATATATCTTACTTAGCTATTGTGTAATCCTTAAGAAGTGGCATTAAGAAGTAATGGAGGGGCCAGGAGTGGTGGCTCATGATGGTAATTTCAACATTTTGGGAGGCCAAGGCAGGAAGATTGCTTGAAGCCAGGAGTTTGAGATCATCCTGGGCAACAAAGTGAGACACTGACACTGTCTCTACAATTTTTTTTTTTTAATTATCCATGTGTGTGGTATGTGCCTGTAGTCCCAGCTATTTGGGAGGCTGAGGCAGCAGGACTGCATAAGCCCATGAGTCCAGGAATTTGAGGCTGTAGTGAGCTATGATCATATCACTGCATTCCAGCCTGAACAACAGAGTGAGACTATGTCTCTAAAAAAAAGTAATGGGCAGGTGCATTGAGTAGGCATTACGTTTGCCAGCAGAGTTTAGACATAGGAGGAGTTAATTTACCTAAGTAAAATCCACTGTAAATTCACAGACAGCATAATTCTCAGGAAATTGTCAGTCTCTGGGTAGTTTTCTCTAGGATAGATCATAATTAGATAATATTTAAGATTTTTAAATATAATGTGCACATAGTGTTCCCTCTTCAGATTAAGGATGACTCCAGTCTCCATCCTAATCAAGTTCCCATAGAATTTTACATGTAAGGTTGTAAAAAGCATGAGTGAAAAAGTGACAATACCTGTAACCCAGAAATTGCTGTGGGATATGGTGAGAGTGCCGTGGAGCCCAAATTCCTTCCCAGCAGCGGGGTCATGGGTGTGCTACTGGTTGTGTGGGTGGCACGCCAGTACGCCTCCAGGTACTCCCCTAGATGTTCACATGCATCCTCAAGCTGATTTTCATCCAATATAACATCAAACATTTCCTGTAGATGACAAGAAAATCCACTTTACTTCCATTTTAGGTTTTAGGCAATGAAACCTAAAATTCCACTTAACACAGATAATAGCATTTTTAATAGCTATTAGCTAAAATCAAATTTGAGGTGCTATATGGGCAGTTTCTAAAGTTAGGGTCAAGTGAAGAGTTACACAGTTATCCATGAACGAATGTAGACATTAATATAAAAATGAAAGTGTTCATTCAATATTTGGATCTTTTTTTTTTTTTTTTTTTTTTTTTTTTAAGACGGAGTCTCATTCTGTTGCCCAGGCTGAAATGCAATGGCACGATCTCGGCTCAATGCAACCTCTGTCCACTGAGTTCAAGCAATTCTCCTGCCTCAGCCTCCCAAGTAGCTGGGATTACAGGCGCCTGCCACTGCGTCCAGCTAATTTTTTTGTATTTTTTTTAGAAGAGATGGGGTTTCACCATCTTGGCCAGGCTGGTCTTGAACTCTTGACCTAGTGATCCACCTGCCTTGGCTCCCAAAGTGCTGGGATTACAGGCATGAGCCACAGCGCCCAGCCGGATTTTTCATTATTTAGAAAGAAAAAGATGAAGTAAGTGTAAATGTGTTACAGGTAAAATATGACAAAAACCCACGTGTATTCACATCTTTAGCCATGTATTCCTATAGAGCTGCACTCTACACACTTTGGAATATGAGAGAAGCAAGTTTGTGGCACTGAGAAGGGAGTTCTAGACATGTTTTGGGCAATGACCACATCAATGGAATAAACATTTTTTCTCCTAAGGTAACTATGTTGAAGGGAATAACATTTACTTAGGTAATTTTCAGAATGCTTGTGAAAATAACATTATCTGTTTTATGATAAAACAATAAGGAAAGAAAGTTTAGGATTAATAACAGAAAACCACATGGCAGTGGTTTCTGCTACCACAAGATCATTTTGTGAAATGGTTAAAAAAGAACAAGGGGTGTTTAGTTAGGGAAAGCAGGGGGTCACAAAAGAAGTATCTGCTGTCCACGTTTCGGACAGTAAGGCCATTGTTCAACATCTGGTCTGTACTCAGGAAGTTGTTCTGTTCCAGAGGAGCAGGGTGGCCCCCCTGTCATTGCAGTGTGGCTGGGAACACAGACAGGATATACCCCAGACATATACTCTTCAGAGGGAAACCAGAAAACTTTGGCACCACACAAAGAGAAAAGTCATTCCACAGGTAAGTGTTAGCACATCTCAACTTTCTTTCTTTCTTTCTTTTTCTTTGAGACAGTGTTGCTCTGTGGCCCAGGCCAGGGTGCACTGGAGCAAACACAACTCACTGCAGCCTGGAACACCTGGGCTCTAGCGATCCTCCCACCTCGGCTTCCTGAGTAGCTGGGACCACAGGCATGCACCACTGTGCCTGGCTAACTTTTTTAACTTTTTGTAGAGATGAGATCTCACCATGTTGCCCAGGCTGGTCTCAAACTCCTGGGCTCCAGCGATCCTCCTGCCTCGGCCTCCCAAAGTGCTGGGATTACAGACGTGAGTCACCACACCCGGCTCACATCTCAACTTTCAATAGTAGGATTGACCTTTCCCACCACCTTCATCTGCTTTTATGAACTCATTTTACCAAAATAAGAACCTCCCAGGAATGAATCAAAGACAGGGTCACTGCCATCGGCACTGATAAAGCTGGCTGAAATTAGGTTAATGGCAACTGGATGATGTGAAGTTAGTGGTGTCTCAGTTCAGTCATTCTCTTCTGTGCTTAGAACAAGGACTCCTGAAGCAGAAGTCACCATGGAAACAATCTCTCTCCCAACATTTACTATTTAAATGTTTCATCACATCAATTTTTATGGAAAATTTTGGCCTTAAATTGGAAAGCCATTTGGGGTTCTTGGAACAAGACTAGGAAAAGAATAAGATGACTTCAGTCCAAATGGACTCATGTTTGAGAAGACTTAGCCAGTTCAACTCATGTAGAAAATTCCCCCCAACCAAGAACAGTTATTAGTAGATTTCAGATTATTTTGCATATTTTATTCATTCATAAAATACTCAGTCCCTATTTTCTTCTAGGCACTGTGGGTATACAGTGGCAAGGAAAACAGACATCTTATGCTCAAGAAGCATAAAGTGTGGTGGGAGAGATAAGTATTAAAATCCATAATAATCTATGTCACACTGGGACTTTAATTCAGAAAAATAAAGAGACTGAGCCAGTTAACGTTTGAAGCTGCAGCATAAAGTTCTGGATTTGGAAGGAGGCTTGGAGAGATGTGTGAAAACTGAACTTACAAGGAAGGGGAAGTTACGAGTAAGCCAAAGAATGTTATCTGTAGAGGGACGAAAATAAAACAAAAAAAAAGAGAAGCAGAGGCACAATGGAAGAAAGAGATCATATGGCCATGAGTGCCAAGGAAAGCAGCTACTGCCTAGAGTTTCTGTCAACATATATGCTTACAATAAATCCCCTTTTCCACTAAAGTAACCCAAGGGAATTCCTTGTCTCTTGCAATCAAAAGCCCCTCCCCAACTCATGTAAAAGTTCAACAGTTACAAATATAGAATCTCAGAACTGTCCATGATGCTTTGACATAAATAGAGGCATCGAGGTGCTGACTTGAGTGAGACAAGGACAGCTACACCCCAAAGGACATCCACAGACTCAGATGGCACAGGAGGAAGAAAGAGGAAACGAGGCAGCACCAGAACAAAGGACCAGTCTTTCCGCCATTCCAGGCTAAAGTGTGCTGCAAGTTCTACATTTTATGTGACTTGGAGTTGGTTGTTTATATCATTTTATTTATGTGAACCATAAAATTTGATTACATGGGTCTCATTCTATAATATGGGTTTGATTAGTCTCAACAAATCATTTTCTTGCTGTTTCTTAAAGTGCCAAACTGAAAAACCTTCCAAGGATACCTAGGCCGGATGGGTCCTGACATTCACAGCCAGGATTGCAAAGCCCAAGGAGGGTAAGCAGCACCTATGGCAGAATGTTATTTGAATGAGGTTTATATCTACTTGGCCGTTCTACTTGTTACATTGTCACGGTTGTAGACATAATTAGTGGCACATTTAATTGCCATAAGTTTAATAAAGCACTTCTCTTTGCCAATGAATGGATAGAATTTGTATATATCAGCACATGGTATAAGCCTCAGTCATTTCTAGGAAACTGCTTTTGCACTGCTAAAAGACAGATACAGGTTGGAAGATGACTTGAAACTGCTTTTAGGCTTTCAAAAAACACAGAGAAAAGCAAATTTCTGCTTCTGAATGAATACTGACATATGTGGCTTATTTTCATCTAGGAAGAATTTCACAGCCTGTATATCTGTGACAATTTTTCTCTTTAGCTGTTTAGGAAATAACACAGCTGAGTAGATCAGAGTGATAGAAACTCAGTATCAGGGAAAACAATTTTTAAAAATCATACAAGAAATGCAAAAAGAAGCAACCCAATGAATTATGCAAACCAGCTATGCCAATTTTTCATAAATTTAAAGGTTCAAGTGTAGTCAGCTCCTTACTATGCAATATGTGGCCTGCAGCATGGGCTATGGATGCAGAGAGCTCCTAATCAGCAGAAGTCCCGGGCAGCGAACAGTTACCCACTCGGTGATACCATGCCCTTGGTGCAGCCCAAGAGAAGGGCAACGCTGAGCTGTTTTCAAAGCATGGCCACAGGGAACACCTTTGCCCTTGTATGATGGGATATTCTCTTCAGCTGAGGTAGACAGAATGGTGTGGCTGCCAAAGTAAATAAGTAGTGAATAGGGGAATCAAAACAAACCATCAAAAAAATCAGGCACATTAGGCCCCCTTTCTGGATAAGCTCCTTCAAGAAAATTAAAAAGAAAAGCATTGTAAATAACGAAGAGTGAAAAACATGCCTCTAGCTCATTTAGTGGGTATGAAAGCTAAAATGGCAGAGAAGAAAGAAAGGGGAAGAAAGACTGAAACTGAATAAAATGGAAATGAATACTTGCAAGGTCTTTAAAAAAAAGTATTTAACCATCTGTTTGGTACTCCATTTACAGAGTAAGAAGTAATGCTCTTTACTAGGGAAGCCACCTGAATTAAGGTGACCAATGATTGTGGTTGCTGGGGATCTCAGTGTTTCAGGAGACATGAGACTATCACTGCTAAACCTTGAAAATTCTGAGCAAATGGTGGGTCACCCTACTTTTTACAGAAGATACAGTGCTCTCCGGGTCCTACCTGGAGGAAATGAAGCATATTCCATTTATTTCTTTTCAATTCTTTTTGGAGGGAAGATATATAAAGACACTGGGTAAGTCTTCCTTAATGACTATAAAATACATATTTTCTAGCATGGAGGGGAGAATCTCATTAAAACTAATGCATATTGTCTGTTTTTTTAAATCTAGGAAGCTATTGAATATTTTTAATAAAAAGTTTATAAACTGTAGAAACTAATTTTGCAGTTTAATTTTAACTTTTGTTTGTTTGTTTTTTGTTTTGTTTTGTTTTGTTTTTTGGAGATAGGGTCTCACTCCAACGCCCAGGCTGGAGTGCAGTGGCGTAATCTCCGATCACTGAAGCCTTAATCTCTGGGGCTCGGGTGATTGTCCCACCTCAGCCTCCTGAGTAACTGGGACTACAGATATGCACCACCACATCCAGCTAATTTTTTGTAGTTTTTGGTAGGGATGGGTTTTCCCCATGTTGCCCAGGCTCATATTGAACTCATGGGCTCAAGTGATCCACCTGCCTCAGCCTCCCAAAGTGCTGGGATTACAGGCATGAGCCACTGTGCCTGAACTTCACTTTTTAAAGTTGGCTCATTACTGAATATTAGCTAGACAGGGGATTAAATGTAACAAAACTCTCCCATGCATATAATAATAATTATAATGATACGCATTGCTTTACATTTATTTGTTGTACATAGATAAAACTGCATGTTGGGCATTTTTCTTATTTCTAAGTGGTAAAAAGAAATAATATGGGTGAGCACACTTTTATTTCCTTGCTATTGTAAAATATAGAGACCCTGAAACTGACACCAAAAAAAAAAAAAAAAAAAAAGATTGGGGCAGCACTTTGGGAGGCCAAGGCAGGAGGATTAGTTGAGCCCAGAGGTTCAAGACCAGCCTAGGCAACATGGCAAAACCCTGTCTCTACAAAAAATCAAAAAATGAGCTGGGCTTAGTGGCATATTCCTATGGACCCAGCTACTGGGGAGGCTGAGGTAGAAGGATTGCTTGAGCTGGGGAGGTCATGATTGCACCACTGCACTCCAGCCTGAACAACAGAGCAAGACCCTGTCTCAACAAAACAAAACAAAACAAACCATGCACAAAAAAAGACTGGCAAGTACTGTTCAGTAAAATCAAACGGCTGAATGGTACAACATGTAATGCTAATTATAAAAATAATCAACCCAATGGTTCTTTCATATCAAAACTCCATTCTTTACATTATTAAAGCTTTTGAGATTCTGAGTATTTAACTCACTGGTCAACTAATGATGGGAAATTAGACTCTAAGTTGAAGGGCTTTTAAAAGATCTATGATGGGTGCGGTGGCTCACACCTGTAATCCCAGCACTTTGGGAGAACAAGGTGTGCAGGTCACCTGAGGTCAGGAGTTTGAGACCATCTCTTTTAAAAAATACAAAAATCTCTTTTAAAAAATACAAAAATTAGCTGGGTGTGGTGGCACATGCCTGTAGTCCCAGCTACTTGGGAGGCTGAGGCAGGAGAATCGCTTGAACCCAGAAGGCAGAGGCTGCAGTGAGCTCCGATCGCGCCACTGCACTCCAACCGGGGTGACAATATTACTGGGCTCTAGCAGTTAGTTCCAGGTAGTTTCCACTTTAATGAGCTAAACAGGAAAGATAATCATAATTCTTGCCAGTAATTGGTGAGGTTAAAATGAGGGCAAAAAATATATAACTTTGATTCTTTTGACTTCCTCTCTCTTGATAATTTGTGACACTTGATGTGAACCCAAACATGTTTTCCTCCCCACGCCCCTCCATCTGTCCATTCGTATTCTTCAAAGATAATACCATCTACCAACATTAGTGCCTACAGAAAAGGTATCCCATGCTTCTGTTAAAGTCAGATTAATTGGATGTGCTAGATCATAGCATTGGTGGGAATGAACTACCCCTAACTCGATATACCCAAGTCCAGTGGCTGAAATCCCTGGAAAAGGTGTAGTCCCCTTTGGGCTGAGAGAAATTGGATCCCATGTGGTCTTATTTCATGAAGCAAACATCTGAAATTGATTACCCCCCTTTTCAAAAGCAATGTTAGGAATTAAACTGTGGACATCCAGGGGCTGTGAATAATGAATGCACCAATGAGGAGAGCACTTCAAATAGACAGGTAAATCCACACGATTCTAAATAATTCAAATAAAATGACTGGAAGAGGGCAGTGGAAAATTACTACTGTGAGAGCAATATGATCAAGGATAACTGGGCACTATCATTCGCTCCAGAATTCTTGTGTTTCATAGGATAAATCTGAGTCCATTCAGCAGTGGAAAATAAAGGGCGACAGAACAGAGTGACCATGGTTACTGTAACATTAGAGGTTTGCAAGACTCTACTGAGGAGATGAGTTCCCCTCTCCCAGAAGGAGTGATCAATGTCATTTTACACACAAAAAAACATTACACAGCTCAAACAGCCACAGGGTCAGCTTTGGGTAACACAAGCCAGATTGTAACTAAGTAGGATTAAAGGATTACATTTCATTTATATGTTCAATTGTCTGTCTCTCAGCTTTTCTTCTTATTACCATAGTACTGGGGAAGTTTACACTTGGCCTTCTTAAAAAACATACTATTTTCAACTTATCTGAAGAGAAAAAGAATATCAATACTTGGTAGAAGCAAAAAGAAATAAAAAAATGTAGTGTATAGATGTATAATGGCAATACAAAATCAGGCTGGTCATATTAAAAAAAAAATGAGATGGGTTTGCAGGTCCTGTTCCCCTAGGTCCCCTTTTGTCTGCATCCCATCTTTTCTTCTGTGAATTCCGAATGGGCAACGAGAGGAAAGTCCTTCCTCTTCCAAAGTAGAACTATCCAGTAGCCCATTTTCCCCACTCATCTTACTGTCTATGACAGATTTTAAATGGTCACAAATTCCTTGACATTCCCTCATGGAGATGAAGAGTTATATCCCCTCTCCTTGAATTTAGGCAGCCTCTGTGATTTTTTTTTCTTTTAAGAGACAATGTCTCACTCTGTCGGGTAGAGTGCAGTGGCATAATCCTGGCTCACTGCAGCTCCAAACTCCTGGGTTCAAGCAATTCTCTCACCTCAGCCTACCAAGGAGCTAGGACTATGCCCAGCTAATTTTTAAAAATTTCCTTTTAGAGACAAGGTCTCAGTATGTCTCCCAGGTTAAAGGGCAGTGGCACAATCACAGCTCAGTGCAGCCTTGAACTCCTAGGCTCAAGCCACCTTCCTGTTTCAACCTCCTGAGTAGCTGGGACTACAGGCACTCACCATGCACCCAGCTCTTTGTGAGTATTTTGATAAACAGAATGCTGTGGAAATGATGTGGTCTGGTATCTATGCCCAGGCTGTAAAAGATTGGAATCTTTGCTCATGGAGCCTGGGAGCTGCCACGTAAGAGCCTGTATTCAAAAAGAGCTGGCTGAGCCCAGCCTTCAGCCATTTCTGCTAAGGTACCAGGTCAGCCGCCAGCTGAATACTACAAGTGGCCATTGTTTGAAGTGACTGAGTTTTGGGGATTATTTTATTGCAGAGTAATAGATAACCATAGCTTGGTCCCAGAACAAGGGGGCAAGTTCAGTTTGCCAGCTAAATCAGGCCTGTCTCATGCCTCTACGAAGTTTGATTGGAACACAGCTACACCCATTTGTTTACACACTGTCTATGTTTGCTTTCCTGCTCGAGAGCAGAGATGAGTAGTTTTGCAAAGGAGTCTATATAGCCCACAAAGCCTAAGATATTACTATCTGGCCCTTTACTTAAAAAGTTCACCGATCTCTCTCCTAGAAAAATCCTTACCCATGAAATACATACTTATCTTTTCTTTTTCTTTTCTTTCTTTCTTTCTTTCTTTTTTTTTTTTTTTTTTTTTGAGACAGAGTCTTGCTCTGTCACCCAGGCTGGAGTGCAGTGGCATGGTCTCAGCTCACTGCAACCTCCACCTCCCAGGTTCAAGCAATTCTGCCTCAACCTCCTGAGTAGCTGGGATTACAGGTGCGCACCACCACACCTGGCTAATTTTTGTATTTTTAGTAGAGACGGGGATTCACCATGTTGGTCAGGCTGGTCTCAAACTCCTGACCTCATGATCCACCCGCCTTGGCCTCCCAAAGTGCTAGGATTACAGGCATGAGCTACTGCACCTGGCCAAAACCCATACTTTTCTTTCCAGGAGAATATATAACTGACCTGTTGCCATTCATCATCTAGTCTTGCTAGACTAGGAGAAAGAGATCTTAAGCTGACTTTGGCCCAGGCATACAACCTTTGAAAAGCCAGTTCTCTTGGTCTCAGTTCCATCATTTGTAAAATGAGGAGATTGGACTAAGTCTTTCCCTAGACATGTTCCACTGGACCCATAGGATGCTCAATGGAAAAGCAGATCTGCAGTCACAATTTTAGGGGAAGCTGTGCACACTATTTGTCCTATTGGAGATATAAAATACACATTGGCATATTCAGGGTTCTGTAGTAAAGAAACCAGACTACCTTTGTTCACCTAAGTGTTTTCTCAAACATTTTTGGTATCAGGATTATTTTCCCATAACACTTACTGATATCACATAGGACCCATATTATAAATAATATAGTCTAGGAAATACTATATTGGGTGCTCTTTAAGGTCCCCTTTTGCTTCAACAGTCCCTGGATCTAGGATTAATTCTGGCTACAGCGTTAACTTTTTTCAGAGCTCCTATAGGCTTCCCTTTCCAAAAACTGTTGCCTTTCATTTCTTAGCAATGTGATACTCTGCCAATGTAATTTGCTGACTTTTCATACTGGAGATATGGTGGCCAATTAAGTAAGTCGCAAATTCTCCTAAAGGAATTAAAATGACACAGTGATCACCAATCTTTGGATGACAATTATAATTATGGTCTTGAAGTAAAGCAGGGGCAAATGCAGACACATTTTAAGGTTACTACTGGTTTTTATAATCCAAAGATTTCTTCACACATGCCAAAATAGAGGATACTATTCCTCCTCAGCATTACTACATCTGTGCAGTATCAATTGAACATGTTTAATAAAGTAAACAGTGTTTAGAAAATGCTAAGTACAAGGTAACCTTATCCATCCAGACTGCCTGTTTAAAATTCCAGGTTATCTTACCAATTATATAAAAAGATAAAGTGTTTATCCTACTGAGATAATGGTAAGGCAAGGCTGTCTTTCCAGTCATGGAGCTGTTTGAAATCTCTGACCTGGGTACAAGTCCTAAGGTAGCTCAGTATATTAGTTGCTTTTACAGATGCAAATATCTTTTCTTGATTCCAGCTATTTCAGATGTAACAAACCATATTATATGTACAACTACTCAATGATCAACCCTCTCAGCAGCTAAAATCCCTCAAATTTAATAGGACACAAGAATTTTCTCTAGTAATTATTAGAATAAATGTTAATAAACTTATTTTCATAAAGATAAAATTTCTCCAATAAATCTCTTGCATTTGTAATTCCATTTAGGTGTCTGCTTCCCAGAAGACCAAACTGATATAACTATCCTTATAAGATTGTTCCAAAAATTGGAAATAATAACATAGTTCCCGGCTTTTGATAGCTAGACAACAAAGATTATCTTCCTTCAACTGTGAAACATTAGAAGGTCAGGGCTGGGCAATACATTCCTCTGTCTGTTCAGTGCCTTAATCATACATTCCACTGTGTAATTGGGCTTCACTAACAGGCAGCGTGAAGTGAAACTTAACAGAGCACGCCATGCTCCAAGCTATCAAATTATCTTCAGGGTAGGTAACCAGGTACATGTGTGTATGGGTGGATGGGTTAGGGGGTAGGAAATTGTCTTTGGAGCCAGATAGATCTAGAATAGATTGAATCCTAATTTGCTATGTCACCTTAGGGAAATCGTTTAATGTCTCTGTTTTCAGTTGCCTAAACTATAAAATGGAGATAATATGGCCTATCTCACCAGGTAACTGTGAAGATTAGAGATAATCTATGTAAAGCATCTAGCACACTGTGTGGCCAACTGTAAGCATCTAATGAAAGGATGCATTATTACTCTTATCGTCTGAACATCCTTTCATTTATTCACTCATTCCACAAATATATATTATGGGTCTACTATGATAGGGAACTGACATACAACAGTGAGCCAGAGGGGCACGGGTTCTTACAGAGTCTACTGGACCAGACATGACGTCACACAAAGTGTATCCAGTAATTATAATAAGAAAACTTAGACGGTGCTTCTTATGTTCCTGGCGCTGTTCTAACAGCTTTACCACATATTCACTCACTCAATCCTTACACCAATCCCATGAGATAGGTACTTGCCCAAGATTACATAACTAGTCAGTGTGGATTCAAAACCCAAATATCTGGCTCCAGAGTCTGTGCTTTTACAGGTTATGCTGTGTTGCCCTCTCTAAACATTTGAATCAGATTTCATGCTTCCATAGAGCTTAAACAATCCTACACAAGTGTATAAAACAATCTAGTGAATCCATTGAGTAAGAAGGACAGTTATTTCCTTTACAGAAACATAGGCACAGAAATAGTAAGTCAGTGGGAAAAGTGGAGAGACTGGCCACTGGGGACCCAGTGCCATGTGATAGCAGTTCCATCTCCCACCCCATCCCACCATTGCTCACCTTCTAACCCAGCAGCTGTTTTCTGGCAATGGCACTAGAAGAAGAGTTGCTATAATTTCGTTTTTCATCTGACTCAGCCCTGACTCTTTCATCTACTATAACCACAGGGCCTCTCTAGTTCCAATCAATTCTTGACCTTCAGTGTCATAATCTTTTATGCCTGCTGGAATTTTCTTGCAGAAGAGTTAAAGGAAGATCAAATTGGTATGTTTTCTTTTGTTCTTTTCTTAAGCGTATCCATGTGACTGGAGGCTGAATGCTAAGTGGTTTGCTGCATGTTTGCAAAGCAAACAAGGTAGCAGTGAGAAGAACAGACCCCGGACACTAAGTTCATTTCTTATTACAAGGCAAACACCATCCACATCTGGATGCCTGAATACAAGCAACATAACAGCAGCAGTTTGTTCCAAGAAATCTTTTAGATGACAACATACCATCATCACCATCATTTTAGAATGAAAACAACAATATGAAGAAAAAAAAACCCACCCTCTTCTAACTAGTCAAGAATGATGAAGACAAAAAATGATCATACTTACTGGGGGGCATTGTGCAAGTTTATCAGCTGCCACCAGTTGAACATTCAAGTGTTTACTTTGTGACTTTCCTCTAGATTTAATCAACCGCTGTAAAACCTGATAGAAGAAGACATGAACCTGAGGTATTGTAGATGAGTTGAAAGAAAATCAAATAAGCCAGGATCTTTTTAATGGTCTGCTTGGCCCTGAGTATTATCAGAGAGGAAATGCAGTGTGAGAAATCATATATTTAAACCTGTAATGATGTCATCTGCTTACATTGGCTCTCAGTTCCATGGATTTGATATGTTCATCCTATTCTAACTCTGTGTGAAGTCTCAGGAGGAGCCTGAGTTCCCATCCTAGATTTTTCCCAGAGATTTCAAAGAGAGACCTGTAAAAATGGAGGGAGTGGACTGTACCAGGTCATTTATGTTAAGTAATACTTTAATATTATTCACCTGAATAATGTTTTAGCTCACTATCTCCATGTCAGATAAATGTCAGAGTCATTTTCTGGTTATTTTTGTCACCGATTATTAATGGGACATTTCAGTTTAATTTTAAATTAATCAGACTATTCTGTGATTGGAGACCCAGGCAAAACATTTGTATTAGTATATTGCTACATGTAAACCAGTGATATATCTATGTCTTTTGGCCACTGCTGTAACTGCATTTGGTCATATACTGCCATGTCCCGTGGCCCTTCCCCTGCAAACAATGCTAATCTATGAGCTCTATAATACCCCAGGACATAGGTGTCTGGGAACTCCTGTTCTTGCACTTAAGGACACCACAGTGTCATGGGCAGTGGGAAGGGCTGAACTCTCCTGCACTGCAGTGAAGTGCTTGAACCCCCAGCAGCTCTTTCAATCCATTCTACTGATTCTCAAAAGGCCCTAGTTTGTTCAGGATTCCCAAGTCCACTGCACCAAAGCAGTGTCTGCAGAGATAGATGGAAGGCTAGGATCTCAGAACATCTGGAGGAGAGTACAGCTTCTTTAGACATTCTCCACCCATGAGAGAAGACTGCCATGCTGGTTGGCAGTTGAATTTGTATTTAGGCACCAAAATACACTAGGAGGCACAGAGAAGAAACTGATTATTAAGATAGTACTTCCCAAGGGTAACCATTTCACGTTAACTTTTTAAGAACAACATCCTTTTTTAAAAATGAAAGAACACCCAAATCAAAAGAAACCAATTTGGGGCTATTTCACTTTTATTTTTACCTCCCACAATGGCATAAAGATACAAAGCAAATTTCCCATTGTGCTTATCGTGGAATAACCACATTCTTTCAAGAACTCAACCTAAGCACAAATGTCAGGGTCTATAATGCTTCCATAGGAGATGTTTAAACAGTGATATTCTATTTTATATATGATCAACATAGATGCCTTTTTTGATCAATATAGATGTACTCTCTCAACTAGGTACAGAGTATGGATGACACAGGAATCAACAGGATCCAAGAAATTTACCAATATAGAATTCATAGTCTATGATAAGCCAGAGTCTACTTTTCCACATCTGTCTTAATGTTTTGTTTCTATTATACACTTGCATAACTGTCTTGTTTGGGATCTACAATAGTAGCTTTTAGAAGAAATGAACTATTATATTCTTCACTATCTGAAAATTCATAGAATCTGTACACTGTGGAAAGATTTTAAATGTGCTTATTAATAATCAGCAAGACGTTCTCCTTTGTCCACTAACAAAAAACCACAGAGCAAAACACATTTTTAAAAGATGCACTTCTAAACCTTAAGGCAGAAAGGAGCTAATTACCTTTGGAGATGAGACTTTTACATGAACAATAATTGGTGCTAAGGAAGTCTTTATAAGTTGTGCTGGGTGATTGATGGTGTCTGCATCAAGAACAACCAGTTGCAAAGATCTTGCCAACTCAAAGATTCTTTCAATTTCACTTTGTACTTCCGCTTAAAGGAAAAATAATAAATAGATCCCGGTTATTGTTATGAATTAGTTCTTACATTAGAAAGATATAGTATATTTTCAGATATGTTGGTCTACATTACAAAATAAAACATTTTAAATTTTCATAGTCCTGTCTAATTTAAGACATTTTCTAAATATAGACAGAGATGGGTTGAGTTTTGCATACAACCAGTTGGTAGAAACGTCTGAGATGGCTCTCTTAATTTGCTTCTTCTAGTCAATATAATATTTAGCTGTTTATATAACTACGATGATTATTTTATGTTGTTTTTGATTGTTGTTTTGTTCTAAAGAACTTTAATGTTAGCCATAGAAGCTAAAAGCACATTTAGAAAACAACTGAAATATATGTGCAAAGCAACATCACATGGAAAGCAAATTACACTGAAATATTTCTATCAACGAAGTATAAACTAATACTTTGTGGACATGCTTCTTTTAAAAAAACCCCACAACTCATCTGTTTTGACTGATATGCATATTTTTGTACCACTGGTTAATTGTTCTGAGTCTACCCTTAAAACTAATCATATTACTAAGTCTAGTTAGATTTAAGTACGAAAGCCAATGTACTTGTTCTAAGGCATAATTAGCTTCAGTATTAAAAAAAAAAAAGTAAGGCCAATTATATTAAAACGCTGCAATGCATCTAGATGCAAATCTATCTGGCTGGCTGTAATAGCCAAGTGACCCAAATCTGTGCATGAGTCTAGTCAAATGAAAAATCTACTCTTTTCAAATGTCTGAAGCAATCCAGTTTTTTTTTTTTTTAAGGAAAACAGATAATCAACATAGGACATGGCTTTCTGAAATATAAAAAAGTTTTATATATATATATATTTTATAAATTACCTGACTTATTGGATCATGCCCAAAGTCTGAATTATACTATTTGATTTTCAGAGAAATTGATTTGTTTTCGTTTTTGAGACACAGTTTCACTCTGTTGCCTAGGCTGGAGTGCAGTGGCATGATCTTGGCTCACTGTAACCTCTACCTCCCGGGTTCAAGTGATTCTTGTACCTCAGCCTCCCACATAAATGGGATTATAGGCACACGCCACCATGCCTGGCTAACTTTTGTATTATTAGTAGAAGCGAGATTTAGCCATGTTGGCCAGGCTGGTCTTGAACTCTTGAACTCTTGACCTCAAGTGATGCACCCACCTTGGTCTCCCAAAGTGGTGGGACTACAGGCATGAGCCACTGTGCCCAGCTGATTTTGTTTTTTATTTTTATTTTTTGGCTATAGGTGTGACCAAACAATGCTGTAATCTGGTCCAAAGTACATACAGTACACAAAACTATCTAACTTAAATTATTATTATTAATTTTTAGAGACAGGGTCTCACTCTGTGTCCCATGCTGGAGTGCAGTGGTACAATCACAGCTCACTGCAGCCTCAACCTTCTGGGCTCAAGTGATCCTCCCACCTCAGCTTGCCGAGTAGCTGGGACTACAGGTGCACATCACTGTGCCTGGCTAAATTTTTTATTTTTTGTAGAGACTGGGTCTCACTAAGTTTCCCAGGTTGGTCTTGAACTCCAAAGTCCAAGCAATCCTCCTGCCTTGGCCTCCTGAAGTGTTGGCATCACAGGTGTGAGCCATTGTACCCGGCCTTAAACGACCCTAAAGATGGCCTAGGGAAAAAGGTAATGTTGCTCTAAATATCCTCATTGAAAAGTGTTTGTGATTTGCTTTGCTTATTTAGTATAAATTCAAGTTCACATAGCCCACCAAAAAATTCTCCCTTCCTTAACCAAAAGGATTGACAAGGTGTGCAGGGTCATGAATACTCAAGACTATCATGAAAATCTATTTTCTTATGTTTTGCATGATTGCATAAAATTCTTATTTCCCATAGAATCACTGAAGTTTAAGGCATGATCTGTATTAAAAAGGATTAATTTGAAGAGTCAACATATCACTTTTCATGTTATCCAATACCAATGGCCTGAAAGACTTCACATTGCTTGGAAAGGTGACTAGCTTTCAGAATATTAATGAAAACAAGTGGGCTTATTTGTCAAATTCTTCTGAAATCATATTCTACATTTGTTAGTAATGTAGCATATTTGTCCCCTTTTCTCTCACATGGCAGAAACAGTTTTAAAATAAATTTTCTTCAGAAGGAAGTTTGGAAAATAAAGTCAATTTTTACTGTAGTAAATTTCAGCCTCAGGATGTCAGGGTATGTTTCCCATTTGCTGTTTTCATTAAACTGTCACTGGCTTATGGGAGCTCCTGGCCAGGACTACATGTGAGCAAGCCTATGTTTTCTTAAGCTTCAAATATGAATACAATATTTTCAGAAGCAGCAGAAAGACATTGATGTGAACTGGACTGCCCTGGTACAAATAACCCTCAAGGCACTCTGAGTTTCTGTGTAAATGACTCAGAAATACCTGGGCCTTATTTACTCTGCACCAGCAATGAGGTTAAGTGTGGTTTCTGCCAGGAGCAAGGGCAGCCATACCTACTGCTTAACCAACACAAAACTCTTAGGCAACAGGCACTTGGGCAGAGGAAGAGAGGTGCTTGGGCAGAACAAGCCAGCAGGGATGCTGGAGAAGGCCACATTAAATACTGGGGTGAGCCCAATGTTTGGATAATATGTATACAGAATGTAATAAATATATTTTATCTGTGAGGCATATTTATCTATATAGCTCTTTTTTTGTTTTTTAAAGAAAAAGATCTCAACCAAATCAAAAAATCTTGGCTACCTGGACTGATTCTCAGAGGGGTTCCAAATAAGTTTTCCTCATAATCCTATTCCAGTCAAATGGAGCCCTGGGGAGTCATGGACTATGATGCTGGAGGACCTCGATGAACACTTCTATAAACTGACCATGATGATTTGGGCCCACCTCTCTCCAGGATCCCTGTCACAAATTATATCCCTTATACTCAAACCTGTTCATATTTCTCCCATGCTTAAAACACTTCAATGGCTCCCCAGGGTCCAAAGCAACATTTCCCAAAGTGAGTACTCTGGAACAATAATCTCATAAGATATCCTATGGGAAGAAGGGGGTTTTGTGTAAGGGTTATATTGAATACTATAATAGCTTCTCTTTAGAATTTCAAACATGCATTATCCTTCATATCTTCAAGGCTCTAAGTCTTGCAGAGAAGAAACCTGTCAGTTTAATTCATCATTTCCAAATTTATTTGACAATGGAAAACATTCTGAATGTAACAACTGTTACTATGTTGTAAAATTAACATTGCATGGGATCTATTTTGGAGTTCTCTTTAGCAAGGTGCATTAGAACCCCAACACATTGGCCTCAATCTTTTTCAATCTCTTCTGTTCCTCTCAAATCACACCACCAACTTCCCTGTTCTAAGCATGCTATACACAAATCTACTTGTTTCTCAACAACATATTTTTGTTTACATGTCAATGTCTTTGTACATTCCTGCCTGCCTTGAAGAACCAGCTCAAATATAACTTCTGAGAAGTCTTCTCACACATCTCTTAACCCCTACTCTTCTTTATACCCCTAGTTCCTTGTTCATAATTCCACTGTCACAGGTATTCTAACCATCTGTCTCTTCTGTCTCTTTGCCCATGGGTAAGATACTGTGTGTGGGTTATGTCTTTATTTCCTAAGTCTAGCACAATGCATGGCACATAACAAGTGTTCAATAAACATTTGATGAAGGAATCTACAAATGTGCATTAACAAGCACACAAATGGATCACATTGTGGTTATTATAAAATTAATAGATTGCCATGAAATTAATTCCAATGGTTGTGGGTTTATGACTTTACAGAGTAAAGGTAAAAACCATGAGGTGAGATATACTTTGTTTCTTCTTGTTTACACTAACATGCCCCCCATCCACCCCACTGACTCTGACAGCAGGTGAATGGATTGTAAGGAATGACTTCAGTGAATACACATGAAGCCCTTGGCAGGTGTCAATGGTTAAAGGAGTCAGACAACCTGGCTTAAGCTTTTAATTATCTTTTAGCCTCTCACCATACATTAGAAGGAGTACTTAAAAGCCAAAGACACTATAAGGAGTTACAAAATGGGTAGAAAACAGGAGAGCAGAGAATTGATGTTTGTTTGAGAAACTTCAACCTAACTTAATGTCCCTGTCACCCATGATATTTAACTTTAGTCATTACCTAATAGGATTCACCATCAACACTGCCATTGTACCTCTTCAAGGTCAAAATACTGTGCCTTTGAGCATGTTTCCCTCTGCATGTGGAAGGCTCTAAATACAAGACAAAAGAAGGGACCACTAATCGCTGGGATCTTCCCCTCACAAGCACTGACCACTACTCTATTTGGTATGTTTAGTAATCCTTCACAAAGCAACCATCCCACATTTATTAGCAATTATCACATGCCAATCCCATGTCAGGAACACACAGATAATATTTTGTACCTTCTTTACAAATTGCACGATCTTTGGCTCAAGGTCAGTGGGTTCTTAATGTGATGTTAGGGCATGCACTCTGTCTTGGAAATCTTAATTTTATTTTTCTATTATCTATAGAGCTAATTTCAACAGTTTAAAAAATGTAAGGCATGGAAGAGCCCTATTTATCCTTCCTAGTTAAAACAAGTTGCCCTCAGAATATGAATGTAAAGAGAATCCTAGGAAGTCATGAGTGGACTACACCACCCTTGGCAATCGTGGAGACCATGAACAGGCTTTCCAGATGAACGATGTAATTCACCAGCACTATGGACTCGCTTCTGTGGGTTATGATCCATCCTCCACAGCCCTGCTCACCTATGGCTTGACGGAGCTACTCACTTACAGCCTTTATTCTTCTCCATCATGGGGAATTTTAGGATGCTTTCCAACTGGTACCCCAGGAAAGACATGTTTAAAGTCCCTGCATGTTACTAATGGTCATTGCCATTCACAACACCAAGAACACCGTTATCTAGCTTTTCTTCTAAAGATCTCAGAAGGCTGAACACCTCGTTTCCTTTTATGTCAGCTGTGACTCAGGTATGACAGATATCATTAGCCTTGTTGAGAAGCTGAGCAAAGTGGAGATGACTGGTTTCATGTAGTTAGGCAGGAAAAGACTAGGAGAGCCCATTGAGGATTCTTTCCACCAGACTACTAATTAGCTAATTGACTAAAGCTGAGAGACAGCAAGCTCTCGCTACTGCAAGACTCTGCTGCCTTCTTGTCCATAGCTAGCATTCTTTTTAGGTACTCAGTGCTCCCCCGTTCAGAATGGGGAACAAATTGAAAAAGACATTCACAAATGCACCATGTGTCAGCCCGGTCTGTAAGCACAGCTTGAAGAAGTACCACATTTGAACATCTTACCTAAGCTGGACCGGGTGTTCGAACGTTCAATTATTGCTCTCTTGCTGGGATTATTTAGGACAGACCTCTTAGCAAGAGAAATGTCAGCTGTCACTCTCGTTATTGAAATCCTATGAATAGGAACACAGAACAGAACAAGCCAGTAAAAATGTTATGGGGCTCTCCAAGTGATTTATAACCACAGTACTTAATAACCAATTTACATGCTACAGGGGAACCACAGTATAACAAACATTGGCCACAAGTATTTTAAACAGGCTCTGGCTAGTATCAGAATGCAAGCAGAGCAGAATGGAGGAAGGTTTAAACTGTTTCACACACAAAAAAACCTACTCCAGTAAAAATGTTCTTCCTCCATTATGGCCTGCCTTGCTGAATTCCCTTTATAATATACACCACACCAGGAAGGAATCAAGACATATAAATAAACCATGCTCTTTCTAGGAAGTAGCAATACAATTTGCCACAATTCATAGTTGATTTGCTCTTGAACAAGACCTTCAGGAACTACAAATGCTTTGCTCTGGCATTTAATGATGCCAGTCAAAGCTGGGAAACCCTCTTCATTTTGATTATCAAAGACAATCTACCAGTCTGTGGCTAAGCTGCATTCTTTTGTGATACACACGTGATTCTCCACAGGCCCAAAGGGATACTTCATTTATAAGAATGTGAAAAAATGGTTTTATTTTTTCTGCATGCATAAGATTCTTCAGCATATTTGCATAAGACTTTGAATGCATACGGTGGGCAGTCATAAGGCACTCTAGTTGAAAGTAATGTGAGTATTGTGCCAGGATTTTCTACGTTAGAAAGTATCCTTCGGTCATGCAAGAGAAGAATAAAGCAGGGCCTGGCATGGTGGCTCATGCCTGTAATCCCAGCACTTTGGGAGGCCGACATGGGTGGATCATTTGAGGTCAGGAGTTCAAGACCAGCCTGGCCAACAAGGTGAACCTCCGTCTCTACTAAAATACAAAAACTAGCCAGGCACAGTGGCACATGCCTGTAGTTCCAGCTACTTGGGAGGCTGAGGTGGGGGAGGTCATCTGAGCCCAGGGGGCAGAGGCCGCAGTGAGCCGAGATCACGCCACTGCACTCCAGCCTGGGAGACAGGGTGAGACCCTGTCTCAAAAAAAAAAAAAAAACTGAAGAATAAAGCAAAGACATTGCAAATAAATGCAGAGGGGCATCTATTTGCATATGATTTATCAAATGAGAATATCTGCAACTTAGAATTTAAAGACTATTTTAAACTGAGATTGCTCAACTTCCAATTATCTACCAGTAGAATTCAAAGCTTGCCTCTTTAGGCCAGTTACTGTCACCATGGGCCTTTCTCCATTCTCATCTTCACAGCATGGTTCCCAGAAAGGAGACAAGGAAAGTAGCACCCCTCCCCTTTTATACTCAGTTAGTACACCCATTCTCTTCTGTTTTCAAACTCTTTGGGGATTGAAGCAGGAAGGAGGGTAGAATTATCAATTACTGAAACATATGTCATTTCATACCTGTCTGGGGACAACACTGCCAGCTATGTCAGGAGACTGTACCTGATTTCAGTGACCTAAAGCCTTGGAGAGAATTTAAAATAGTCCTTTCCTCAGATGGTTGGAAATCATTCTTTAAAACAACAGTCTGTGCAAAAGTTCTGGTGCCATTTTAAGCAAAGCACTGCTTGCCTGTGTCATTATGTTTATATGCTGTGGGTTGTCAGGAAGTTTTCAATTCTTAAAATTTTAGAACTGTTAGACCCTTTTCATTATTTGATGCATCTTCAAAATTGTCTCCCGCAGAAACCAAGAGTTTTTGCAGATACACCTCAGGGACTGTTCTGAGGACTAAAGGGAGGTTCAGTGGGCTCCAGCTTCACTATCCTCAGTGCCAGGTAAACATGTCTGCATTTCTGTTTTCTGCATTGGGGCTTTATATATGATTTCACTATAAAAAGCTGTTCAACTGCTAAAAGACACTGGAAAACACTGGTGTAACAACTTTTTCATCTTACCAAGAGGGAAACTGAGACACACACAGAAAGCTGCACATGGTTAGTTACAGCTCAGGTCTAAACTAGCCCCTGGGTATCGGGCCAGTGCCAAGTCACCTGACTCCACCATTCTCTTACAGTTCAGTGTTCTACAAGCCCGAATCTCAAGCTATGAGTCAAGTGGTCAAGCATGGATGCACAGTCAAGTCTTCGCCTTGCTCTGAGATAGTGAGAATTTAAATCAAGTTGAGGTAGAGTAAACCCACACCTGACTTTCTATTACTCCAGTTGGCCACTGCAGCTTTCAGGCATGAAGTCTCATAGGCAGCTCCTTTCCTCTCCAGAATAGGGTTTGTGTGGTTTTTTTTTTTTAATTTAATTTTTTTGAGTCGGAGTCTCGCTCTGTCACCCAGGCTGGAGTGCAGTGGTGCAATCTTAACTCACTGCAACCTCCACCTCCCAGTTTCAAGCGATCCTCCCACCTCAGCCTCCCAAGTAGCTGGGATTGCAAGCATGTGCCACCACACATGGCTAATTTTTGTATTTTTACTACAGATGAGGTTTCACCACATTGGCCAGGCTGGTCTCAAACTCCTGACCTCAGGTGATCTACCCACCTCAGCCTTCCAAAGCACTGGGATTACAGGTGTGAGCCACCATGCTCAGCGATGTGTGTTTATTTTTGTGTTTTTGGGTTTCTGGTTTATTTAAGAATGGAGCTGCTGGATAGAAACATACAGGCATGTTTCAGAGCAATCCAAATATATGACGAGAGACAAGTCGGTGGGTTTAGGGACAGAATTCAACTTTCTAGACCAATGATTTTTGGACTAATGATGTTTGGAGGGCCCAACAACCCAGAAAGTTGAATTCCAGTCTCCTTTAGTGAAAATAAAATTTTCTAGTTCTATACAAACAAGAGACTCTTGGTTCTTCAAATCTGAAGGGATTATCATCAGATTCACACTTTTTTTTTCTGAGTTATAAAAGTACTTTTACAAAGCTATTTTCAAACACGACCAAAGTTTGAAAAAATTCAGAAAAAAACCTTTTCATGTGTTCCAATACAGGGAAAGATGCAGACAATAAAGGGCACGTTTTCTCATTTTATTTGCTAATACAAGTTAGTTTGCTAATACAAGTTATTGATTAATAAAAATACACATGCATAAAACAGAGCTCAGAAGAAGACATGCACAGCCCTAGAAAACCTTCAGTAAGACAAAATAGGAGTTTCCCTTTTCTGTGCATAGATGCTTATTATTATCAAAACCAGACACCAAACCCAAAATTCTTTTTTATAAAAGGCTCTCCAGAAAAGCAATCACATTCACAACTGAATACTATCTAGCTTATATACTTTTTTTAACTTAAAGTGGTATCCTTTCTACTTCTTTTCTTGCTATGCTGAGACCCCCTAGTCTCAGCTAGTCCCCCTAGTTTCAGCATTCCCATGTACCTTGTTTGGTATACATCTCTAAAAAGTTCCCTTGGAAAACTTTCTGTGACTTGCTGGCCAGTAGGTAAAAGACTAATAGGAGTTTAGTTCCCCAGCAGACTGGATGTAGCAGCGAATGTTCCTGAAAACTAGCAAACATCATTCCCTAAATATAGTAAATCTGAACCCCAATTGTTGCTTATTTCCACTTTAGAATTCATCCTAACTGCTGCAATCCATCGTGAGTTGTATTAGTTTTCTGTGATTTTCTGTGGAAAGATATTACTTTCAGTTATGACAGATTCATCAAAAAATAATTTGTATTTCCACGCTGGTAACGTAACAGCTGTAAGATCTGTCTATATTCTATCCTTGCTACATCCAATATGCAGCCCAGACAGTATAATAATTTTTGAAAACTTCTGGTATTAGTAGGGAAGAGTGTTCCGAAGAATGCAACAGTGCACTTTCAGGAGAATGGAAAGGCACAGGAGACCCGAGTATCTTCCTGGATCTTTGTCTTGGTAGTTGCATGAGTCATTCCATCTTTTGACCTCAGTATCCTAATCAATAAAATGGCAATAGTAGCTTTGCCATAACTATCTCATGGGGTTGCCATTAAGAGCAAATAAGGTTATATATAAAAGCGCATTCTTAAATAATTATTCATAGTGTCCTCTGTTAATAAACACATATATAATGTACACAAGGCAAACAATTATTGGAGATTTAAAGACTCGAAGGAGATAGTTTCCTTATGTCCTACTCTCAAAAGTGGGCAGTCTACCATGACCCCTCTCATTCCCAGAGTCCGTGAAATGTGGGTGAGAGAATCAGGTCAGATACACTGTACTCAAAACCTACTAATTTAAATATTCAAGTTTGACACTCAAGTGTTCAATTAATTATTACTGGTGTTTGAGTGGCTGTTTATGAGTCTGCATTTGAATAGAAAACAGTAGGAAGAATGCATAGGAGAATGAAATTGATTACGAAACGGAAGTTGCTGCTGTTCTTTTTCCATTTGTTGACTGCAATTAGAAATTATCTTCATTCTTATATGGCTTGGTTGCCTTGTGACAGCACCAATTGTTCCCATTTCTTTTTATTAATAAATACTATCGCTTTGAGTCTCCCTAAGTTGTATGTTTAGCTTCTTTTCTTTCAAATTCTTTCTCAAGCCCTTTTTTTCCCTTTATGTGTTCTTAGGCTAAAAGCATCCTTTAGCTTGAGATCCTATCTGTGTAGGTTACACGATGTTCATCTAAGATTTTTGGCCATGATCATTATCAGTTACAAATTGTCCAATAAATGTCACAGAGTTGATCTGATCCAGTTGTCAAAAGCCTAAAGTAACAACTTTTTGGGGGATTTGAAATGATTGGCATAGGTCAACAAACTGCAACTGGTTTGACTGCTGGCTGTTCAGCCTGTGAATGGTAGATTCAGCCAGCTGAACAAACCTCATCCAAATGGGTAATCCCCAATTAATATTTGTGGTGTGAAATGAAGAGAGAAGCTCCATGCCCATTGTGTATCCACTGTGTCGTCGTCAGCACAGGAATCATTGCTTCATGTAGATATTCAAAAATACAGAGGGCGCTCAGGAACTGTTTAGTATTGTGTTTTTCTTTTTCTTTCTTTCTTTCTTTTTTTTTTTTTTTATTGAGACAGAGTTTTGCTCCTATTGCCCAGGCTGGAGTGCAATGGCATGATCTTGGCTCACCGCAACCTCTGCCTCCCAGGTTCAAGTGATTTTCCTGCCTCAGCCTCCCGAGTGGCTGGAATTACAGGCACGCGCCACCACGCCTGGCTAATTTTGTATTTTTATTAGAGATGAGGTTTCTCCATGTTGGTCAGGCTGGTCTCGAACTCCCGACCTCAGGTGATCTGCCCACCTGGGCCTCCCAAAGTGCTGGGATTATAGGCATGAGCCACTGCGCCCAGCCTAGTATTCTGTTTTTCTTACATGTATTACAGTTAGGCCCCACAATAGCAGCTACAGCAATAAAATTGTATAATAAGTAGCTCTAAACTGACTCAAATAATTTCTAAGGTATCAAAAAAATCCCAAGTTTATGATTCTGCAATAGTCAAACTGTTGGACTTTCATCCAATTTGTTGAATTATTTTCTACTAAGATCTGAAAAGCAGATTAAAGAAGAAAGCCTCGTAGCCAACAGATCCCTTCTTTGTACTTTCTGAAAAATAATAGGACTTTCTCCTATTTTGTCTAACGTACTGCATTCATAGCCCATGAAACACAGAGTAGGTTTCCATTAGAACATATTGTTTATGCCGTGTCACTGTGCTAAAGCCTTCCTTGTCATTGTTCTCTTGGCTGGTTTCAATTAAAGACTATTTGTTTTTTTCTCTCCTTGTATCAATTGGTAAAACATAATGCAGCATGATGTTATAGCTCAAAACCTAACGATATTCCCCACGAAGAAGACATGTCAGAGTCAGTGTGACGCTACCAGCGAATTTCTTTCTTATCAAAGTCTCCACATACACTCAACCAAGGAACTCCTTATTGTTCATTCTGCTGCCTGGCCTCTTAATATTTGAAATCAAGTCCATTCTCTCACCCCTCACCCCTTTAATATCTACCTATCTTTCTCCTGCTGGAGAAATATATCAGATTTCTCCAGGGCTAAGTCTCTCTCTTCAGCTATTACTTTTGCTACTGCTGGGCTCTTCCTCCAGACCCTCTGCCATGTCATCAGACCCCATGAATACTTGAGATTGAAATTTGCATTCAATTTCTATTAAAACCAACTTCAGTAGTATGTGTACAGTAATGGATGCGACAATTCTACTTGATTCGAGACAAATCTCTGCTGTTACAATTAAATAAATTCCCTTTTTCTGGGCCTCAGGATTGAGGAAGAACATCAGATTCTTCATTCTTGAGGGCAAACCTTTAACAGCACTGTTGCGTATAAGTATGTTATAGACCAAAATAATCTAACACTGTCTTATGGGATGGGATTTGTTCAGATAGGGCTGTTATGGGGCCAGTGGATTCGGCACTGCTCAGAACTGCCTTAGGTAACAGCTCCACAGGTTGAAACCATGTGACTCCATACATATCTGAAGGAACTATGCACGTGCGACCAAGGCATGCTGGCTGCCTTCAATCCACAGGGACCTGCATGAGGGTTAGGGTTAAGGCCAGAGCATCAGACAGCAAGACCAAGACCAGCCCTATTAAGTTACAAAGTCAGAGTTCAGCTATTTTTTTGCAATGCTTTTTTAGAAAGTGTAATCCCAATAACCAAAAGTTTCAAACAGAAGCAGGTTGTCTATCTGATTGTGGTTATTGGAGAAATGATGAGTCTAAAAGACATTTTATGTATCCTTCCAACTCCAATGCTCTAGGATTCAGGGCTTTTAACTTATTTTCTTTGAAGCTACTTCATTATCTGCCTATTTCTTTTTTAAAGAGAGTGAAATGGAACAAATACATCTTTCTTATTAAGCCTTTGTCCAGTAGATGAATGTGACGAAGGCTATTATTGATTCAACAAATTCTATCTCCTCTTCCTCCTGGACTGCAAGAGTGCCTCCGCTGCAATTAAGTATGACCACATAACCAAGTTCTAACCAGTGAAATGTCAGTTGCGCTACCTCCAGGCCGGGCAAGCTGACTAGAGACATCGTACCTGGGCTAAGGGCCCCAAATGACAGAGGGAACAAACTTTCTGCCCAATTCTCCCCTCCCCCAACTCTATCCTCCCTCCCAGCCAAGGAACACCTGCTTCAGACTGTTAAGTGAGCAATAATAAGCTTCCATTGTGTTTGAATCACTACACATTTTGGGGTCTATTTATTAAGGCAGCCTGACCTATATACTAATGTACCTAGAAGCATTCTTATTTCTTAAACTAAAATCTGTTTACTAACTTTCTATATTGTTCCAGAAACTAATGAATATTTTACCCAATTATCCAGAAAGCTTTTATTTTAACAAATGCATACAATTTATATTTAAAGCAATACCATGCTTGTTTTTATTCTTAATATACCAATTTATTAAAATCTATCTGAAGTTTTTTTACATTTTAAAATTATTTTGTGCATTTAGTGGATTCTCATAATTTAGCAAAGAGAAAGTGAATGGCTTAATTACTGCCTTCAAAAATAAAGAATGTGATGTTTTTCTTCAATCCTACAGTAATAAACTGGATGCATTTGCCCATACTTTTTGATGCACCCCATTTAAATTTCCTACATTTCTGATAAATCTCAGGTTTTTTCATGTGGTTATTTTTACATGGACTGCATTCAGCACTGTGAAAGAGCTTAATATTTAGAATTGAGTCAATACAGGCTTTTTACCATTTCTCTGCAAAACAGAGAAACTTTCTTTAGAATTTTTCACAAAACTTAAATGATAAAATTATTTAATGGCT
Source organism: Homo sapiens (assembly GCF_000001405.40). Classification (NCBI taxonomy): domain Eukaryota; kingdom Metazoa; phylum Chordata; class Mammalia; order Primates; family Hominidae; genus Homo; species Homo sapiens. The sequence continues at coordinate 151,868,551 of NC_000002.12, forward strand.
AATGCCTGAGCCATATTGTTGATGGATCATAGTAAAATACATTAAAAAAAGATCAATAAAATAACAAGGACATTTCTAATAAAAACAACCCACAACTATAATAAATATCCAAATAAGTACTATTCCCTACAAAATGATCACTTTGGGAGGCTTATGATTAAAATAATTCTCACTCTCTTCTTTTGAGGAAATTCAGTACTTGACATTTATGCTTTCATATGACACACACACACACACACACACACACACACACATACACAATTCCCAAATACTGCCTAGTTTGACCAGCAAGCCACTATACTCATGAGAAATATTATATATTTTAATTAATATTTTTTCATAAAAAACATTTTGGTATGAAATTATTAATAACTGAGAAAATAAAGATATATACATTTAAATAAAACAAATGGCTTATTTTTCTTCTCATGGTCCTTTCTTCACTGGGGACTCAATGTTATACTTCATATTTTCAGAGTTCTTTTATTATATTCTTCCCAAGAATACTGAGTTAACTTTTAACTAGAGAACTTCTGAAATCTCTGGAAACATAGATCTACAATTCAATTTATCACACAAGTTTGGTTAAAGGAAAATAAAAATACAAAAACATCTATATTTCTCACCTCCCATCAAACCTGTGCTTCAGGAAATCAAAGAGGGCTTTCTGCATCATGTCTGTTACCTTTGCAGAGGTGAGAAAAAAAGAATGAGGCAAACACATGCAGAGAGAGAGAGAGAAGTCAAAAGGGAGAGAGGAGGGAGGGAAGGGTACTATGAGCCAAGACCTTATTGTAGCCATTCGTCTCCTAGGGGGAGGTTACCATGGAAGGTGTTTTTCATGCTTAACCATGTGCAATTGCTAATTTCCACCCCCCTTGGTTCTCCTCCAGGGTGTTGAGGAATAAACCAGCAGTGTTCACCAGACCCTCTTCCCTCTTCCCTCTTCCCTCGTTAGGGGATAGAACTGCTGCCAGGAGACAACAGGCTGGCTTTGTACACAGGTGCCGGGTATCCTTGGCACGCCTGAGTTGTGCCTGCCTCCAGTGAGGAGCAGCTAGAGAACTGAGGCCAGCACTGGACTCAGCCTTCCTGCTAGTTTGTGTATGTTGGCGGAAATTCTCCATGCCCATGGCTGGATTTTTGTAGACCACTCTCCTGCTCATCCCTCTGACATTTCCAACTCTGAGAAAGACAAGAGAGAAAGAGAGGGGGATAGAGCCAGGATTCTTAGATCTGCCTGAAAGCGATTCATTAATTCATTCAGCAAATGTGTACTGAGTGCCTACTATGTGCCACACATTGTCCTAGCTCGATGGGAATGGTGCCCTGGAGGCTGCTCACCTTCAGAGTTTAATGTCACGTTCTACCTATTTTTTAATCCAAGCTAGCACAAAGTCAAAACAAACATCTGAAACGAAGTCTCTACTCTTTTCCTTGTCACATGGTTTTGTTTAATCTCCAAAGTTCACTAATGTTTTTAGTGGTCTTTTAAAACATGTGCCCTTTAAAATAAATAAGCAGAGAAGGATTTGGTGGCATATGCCATCATCTTAAAAACCCAGCAGGGTGAACTCTGTTTGGGCTTTAAAGGTTTGGGTTTGCTGGAAGATTGATTGTTTGTCCTCTTGTGCTGTTCATTCTCTATTACTTCTAATAATAATGAGAATGGTCAAGACAGATAAAGTCCTTTTCTTTGCATTTAATGTACAGCAAATCTTTGACCAGATCTTCCCATTGTGAATATTTTGAGGGAGGTATTTCTAAACAATGTAATACATAAAAGATGAGAAGTGTGCAAGAGAGGAAAGAAAGGGCAGAGGGCCTCATGAGCCCCACACGGTACCCCCTGCCTTCCCATGCTGAGCACTGGCTTCCATCAGGACCCACGTGGAAACAGACCCTTGAGGAGCAAGCGTCAACATGACTGTCTCCTGGGTGCTCGATCAAGAACTGAAGAGTAACAGATGATATTTGTACCTCGTAACCTTTCAGTGACGGCCCCACTAACACCACCGGACGCATTGACGGTACAACATCGTAAGGAGGAATGTGCTCCGTCTGAAAAAGATGATTCGACACGCGTGACAAGGTGAGGTTGAGCATGCCTCTCCACAGCCACAACATTCATAATTTCATAATTCTCAGGTTGAACGACAAATGATTATCAAAGTCCCCACCGAGGAGGCTCTTCCCTTATTTTATAGCCACTTGGGTCACTGAAATGGAGCATTGCAGGCATGTATATATAGGAACCTTAACAGTAGATTTAAAAAGGAAACACAACTTACCACTTTTTGCTTCTGTTTTGCTAAAAGACAATAACGAGAGCCATATCAAAATATGTAAACTCTGCAAATGACAGTACATGAGTTTAAAAGATGGAAGAATGTACCCATTTGTCCCTGTAATTATCTTCACCACCTTCCTATCGCCCACTTTGGAGAACCTGCCTTATGATTTCATTCTGGACACGTCAATTTTGAAGATGTATGAAAAACAGACAGCTTCCTCCCTGGTACAAATGACCTTATATCCTGATTTCTCACTGGGTGGGAATTGGGTACAGGAGTTGAGAGCAACACTGGAAGTTCCGGGCCAGCCAATCACCATGGGTTGTTCCCGTGCTGGACACAGCACAGTGTTGCTGGGAACAAGGTAGACAAATGCAATTTCATAAAAGGAAACAGAATAACCACTTGGGCAAAAATGACTATCACCTCAATCAATAGTTATTTTTATATTTGTTAACTCATAATTCTGCAGTCCCTTGGGCATTTTTGCCCATTTTCTAGAATATTGGCACATTTTTCCTACTATCTTGCTTCTAAATTTCAAATACATTTATAACCAGTTATTCCTCAGATAAATTTATAATGAGTTATTCCTGTTCTTTCCTGTTTGTAATAGCTAAAGTGTTCAATGTCCTGAATGTCCAACAAATGGGAACGAAGCAAAATATACTCAATAACTGATTTAAAGCGATTCTGTGGACATCCAAGCAGCTCCAGTCTAGTTGGGTACAACTCAGAAACCTGGTTTGGTTCAGTGTCCTGTAGATAAGAGGGCTTCACATGAACAAGGACCCAGACACTTAGAACCACTCCAGAACCAATCCAGTTGCCTCCAGTTTTGGTAGGCCAGAATAGGGCCTTGGACTTGCCATTCCAAATTGGTAATACAATTGGAATTGGTAACTAGGACACTGGATGCCCTAATGCAACAGCAGTTCTAGGCCAGAATGAAATTAGCCGATAGGAATCAGGGAATGTGGTAGAAGAAAAATTCCTACATGAATAACTCCATCGTTTCCAAATGTACCACAATTCCCTATTAGGCCACCAATATCTCTTCATTACCATTAATTCCAGGGCTTGGCTGTCTGCTGTCCAAATGTAAACGAGGCCCTCCCTCCTTTGGGCCCTGCCTTACTCTCTGCTTCAACCCTTCCAGCTCGGGCTGTACTAATACATCCTGAAATTCCACATGGAGACTGAAAACAGCATTTTCTTGAGAGTCTGCATCATTTTTTTCCTTTTTTTATTGGCCTTCACCATCTTAAACTCTGTCCGTTCCTTAGGTAAAATAATGAATTTTTTGAATATCAATTTACACAATGGACAGTTATTAACACTGAGGGGTAAATAAGATTTTTCAAAATTATATTCTAATGACATGAATTTTTAATACCATTTTAAATGAAATCAAATTACCATAGAAAACAAATGAGAAATGAAATATTAATTAGAGAATCTTTAAATTAAGCCTTCAAATTGTTTCCAAATTAGCAAAACTACTTGCATGTGTGTTCAAATATTTTTAAAAGGAATACAGTGTATGAAAAAGAGTTTAACTACAACCCTCACCTGTTGATGTGGGAGTTGCTCGGAATGTCCCAGATACCATTTCTCCAAGACTTGAAGAAGAATTTCCACTTGATTTCCTAGGATATAGAAAAGGAACTAAAGACTCACTCCCCAGATTCTTTGAAAATAGAACTTGAGAGTACAAAGCTTTCTTTGGCCCTCATCCTATTAAATAATTCAAAACACACCAAATTCTGCTATAAAGAATTTCAAGAATCTATCCAAATGTTTTCTTTGACCTCATTTCTAAGAGAATGTGGAGAACTAGCCGAGACCTGGAATACTCTGCAAAAGCATCTCTTCTAGTTACTCAGTGCGGAAATCAGACAAAACCATCACTGACGGGAATGGTCTTATGAACTGCTTGTTAACCTAACACCAGGCACCAATGTGCCAGTCAGATGTCAAACACAGCTCAAAACAAGCAGTTAGACCTGGAGAAACCATTTCTTCTTACAAGATGATTATGTGGGCATCAGAATTAAGAACTGATCGTAGGGAATTGGTCACGAAAAATATTATTTATTTAAATAGAAGATCCTCAACTCTGGTCTCCTCAGGTGTGCTCTGGAAGCTTCCCTGAAGCCCACAAATGCCGTCGGGAGCTGCCACCTTCCTACTTTTTGTCTTTGACAAAAAAGTTATATGGCCCATGACTGTAACAATTAAGAAATAATAATAACAATAAAACTTTGAAAATGATAATAATTCAGTTATTTTATTCAACAAATATGGATTGTACATCCCTGTTTTGGAAAGTAGAAATAAGACAGCGGCATTGGGGAGACAAAATCCTTTCCCTTATTGAGTCATATACTAGTAGGACATATCAGTACAGGTTGAATATCCCTTATCCAAAATGCCTGGGAGCAGAAATGTTTTGGATTTCCACTGTTTTCAGATTTCGGAAATTTGCACTATATACTTAGTTGAACATCCCTAATCCAAATGTCTGAAATCGAAAATGCTCTAATGAGCATCTCCTTTGAGCATCATGTCAGTCCTCAAAAAGTTTCAAATTTTGGAACATTCTGGATTTCAGCTTTTCAGATTATGGATGCTCAGCTTATACCAAACAAGATAGATAGGTAAATATATAATATTTCTGAGAGTAATAAGTGCAACAGAGAAAACTAAGTCAGGGAAGGGATGGGAAGTACAGGGAAGGGGAGTGGGTACAATTTTAAATACAATTGGCAGGAAAGGGGTCACTGAAAGGGTGATACCTAACAAAGATATAAAGCAGATGGAGTGGCCGGGTGTAAGTGTGAAGAAAAAGGTTCCAGTAAGAAAAAACAGCAAATGCAAAGACCCCAAGACAGGAACACATGCTCCCCATGTGTCTAAAAAGGGGCATGGAAGACAAAATTTTAGAAAAAAAGGGATAATATGGTTTGGATCTGTGTCCCCCGCAAATCTCATGTTGAGATGTAATCCCCAGTGATGGAGGTGGGGACTGGTGAGAGGTGACTGGACCACGGGGGCAGTCCCTCATGAATGGTTTGGCACCATCTCCTTGTGCTGTTCCTGTGACAATGAGTGAGTTATAGTGAGATCTGATTGTTTAAAAGTGTGTGGCACCTCCCCGTCTCTTCCTCCTGCTCCAGGCATGTAAGACACCTGCTCCCGCTTGGCCTTCTGCTACCAGTAAAATCTCCCTGAGACCTCCCCAGAAGCAGATGCTGCCATGCTTCCTTTACAGTCTACAGAACCATGACAATTAAAGCTCTTTTCCTCATAAGTTCTCCAATTTTATAGAAGTGTGAGAACAGGCCGGGCACAGTGGCTCACACCTGTAATCCCAACACTTTGGGAGTCCGAGGCGGGCAAATCACGAGGTCAAGAGTTCGAGACCAGCCTGACCAATATGATGAAACCCCACCTCTACCAAAAATACAAAAATTAGCCAGGCACGATGGTGCGTGCCTGTAACCCCAGCTACTCAGGAGGTTGAGTCAGGAGAATCGCTTGAACCTAGGAGGCAGAGGTTGCAGTGAGCCAAAATTGCGCCACTGCACTCCAGCCTGGGCGACAGAGCGAGACTCTAAGAAAAAAAAAAAAAAAGAAGAAGTATGAGAACAGACTAATACAAGGGACAAGAGGGATTAATATTAATAATAGTATTGGCAAGTTATATGCTAAAAAAGATTGGTAATTAAAAGTGGGGTAACTATACTTTTGTGATCTCCTATTACAGTTGGTGCGGTTCTTATTATGACAAAGGTAGGCGCCTAAAGAACACAGGAGTTTTTTGAAATAGAAAAGCATTCAACAGAAAACAGAGGTTGAGGGTCAAGAGAAAGAGCTGCTTCTATTTTAGAACTTTCAAAAAAGTGTAACATATCAAATCAATGCTTCAGTGCAGGCTGCGACACAATACATGCAGACTCAGGATGATTTGGTTTCTCTTCTGTCAAGCTGTGCTTGTGTTCCTGGGACCTTTAAATACCTGCACTCTGAGATCTACATGCCTACTTCAGTAGCTCACTAGAGGTTGATTCACCTGAAGCTGTCTTCACCCAAATACCAGGAGACAAGAGATGCCACAAAAAGCCTGGGGTGGAGAAGGTACTATCAGTGCCGGGACCTGCACATACCATCACATTTTTTTTTTTTATTGATCATTCTTGGGTGTTTCTCGCAGAGGGGGATTTGGCAGGGTCACAGGACAATAGTGGAGGGAAGGTCAGCAGATAAACAAGTGAACAAAGGTCTCTGGTTTTCCTAGGCAGAGTGTGTGTGTCCCTGGGTACTTGAGATTAGGGAGTGGTGATGACTCTTAACGAGCATGCTGCCTTCAAGCATCTGTTTAACAAAGCACATCTTGCACCGCCCTTAATCCATTTAACCCTGAGTGGACACAGCACATGTTTCAGAGAGCACAGGGTTGGGGGTAAGGTCATAGATCAACAGGATCCCAAGGCAGAAGAATTTTTCTTAGTACAGAACAAAATGAAAAGTCTCCCATGTCTACTTCTTTCTACACAGACACAGCAACCATCCGATTTCTCAATCTTTTCCCCACCTTTCCCCCTTTTCTATTCCACAAAACCGCCATCGTCATCATGGCCCATTCTCAATGAGCTGTTGGGTACACCTCCCAGACGGGGTGGTGGCCGGGCAGAGGGGCTCCTCACTTCCCAGTAGGGGCGGCCGGGCAGAGGCGCCCCTCACCTCCCGGACGGGGCGGCTCGCCAGGCAGGGGGCTGACCCCTCCACCTCCCTCCCGGACGGGGCGGCTGGCCGGGTGGGGGGCTGACCCCCCCACCTCCCTCCCGGACGGGCGGCTGGCCGGGCAGAGGGGCTCCTCACTTCCCAGTAGGGGCGGCCGGGCAGAGGCACCCCTCACCTCCCGGACGGGGCGGCTGGCCGGGCAGGGGGCTGACCCCCCACCTCCCTCCCGGACGGGGCGTCTCGCCTGGCGGGGGGCTGACCCCCCCATCTCCCTCCCGGACGGGGCGGCTGGCCGGGCAGAGGGGCTCCTCACTTCCCAGTAGGGGCGGCCGGGCAGAGGCACCCCTCACCTCCCGGACGGGGCGGCTGGCCGGGCGGGGGGCTGACTCCCCCACCTCCCTCCCGGACGGGGCGGCTGGCCGGGCAGAGGGGCTCCTCACTTCCCAGTAGGGGCGATACCATCACATTTTGTGCCCACTTAAGGGAGAGTCTCTGTAAGCGAACCAAGAGGAGCCATACTGCTGGTTCAGGTCAGCTCCCACTCACTGTGTGGAGAAAGAATGCCCGAAGTGACTCTCCTAGAGGAAAGCTTGGGTTCCAAGGAGGGCTTGCTGAGGCCACAGAAAACAGTCTCTGCCATGGAATTCATATGGTCTCCAGTGGTGTTAGGCTTCAGCATGCACAGAGGATAGAGAACTATCTGAAACTCTTCTGTGTCAGTTTCAGAAACACTTTGCACACAGAAAAGTATCTTCTACTTTGAAAGTATACACCCTTGAAAATATCACCCAATTTTCTGACCAAAAAAAAGTGCATAGAAAAGATGGGAACGTACCCTCCGTGAAAACGTCCTCTTTTTTGTTCTTGCTGGATCCGTATGTTCTCCAATCTGAGTGGACTTGGAATGAAGCCAATTTCACAGCCCTCTTTCACCAGCCTTCCTATCCACCAATCATTGTTATATTTCTGGAATTCAGAAATAAAATTGCTATCAATAGTAATTCACTTATCTTCACGTTGTTTATTAATCTTAGGGGACAAGAAGAATAAAATGCTATTTATATGATATGATATGCTATATTTTATATAAACTATATTTTATATGTATATGTGTGTATACTATATTTTATATACTATACTATAGACTATATTTTATATGTATATGTGTGTATACTATATTTTATATACTATACTATATACTATATTTTATATAAACTATATTATACTATACATTTTATATAAACTATATTGTATATGTGTATATATCTATATATCTATACTATATTATACTATACATTTTATATAAACTATATTGTATATGTATATATGTATATATCTATATATACTATATTTATATAAACTATATTGTGTATGTATATATGTGTATATATACCTATACTATATATTAATATAAAGTATATTGTATATGTATGTGTGCATATATAGATCTATATATACACATAGATAGCTATATATACACATAGATATCTATATATACACATAGATATCTATATATACATATATATCTATATATACATACTATATATATATATATCTGAGGTAGATGCATAGACTAAAGCAGGGTTCTGCAAACTTTTTCTGTAAAGGTCCAAGTAGTAAATATTTCAGGCTTTGCAGACCACGTGGTCTCTGTTACAATTAGTTGAATCTGCTGTCCTTGTGTGAAAGCAGCCACAGACAAACATCAACAAGTGAGCATGGCTGTGTTTCAATAAAACTTTTCTTTACAAAAAAGAGAGTGGGTCAGACTGGACCTGTGGGCTATAGTTTGTGAATCCCTGGACTAATGTCTGGTCCTAACCTTTGGATTCTTTTGGTCTTTGTCAAGAAGCTCTAACCAATTCTTAAAGAACATATTTTATAAGGATAAATATGCACCAATGTAACTGGAACTCTGGAAGGCAAGACAGATATGTCTGAGATGAAATACATTTAATAGTCCATAATTTGTCAAAAGCTTTCAGTTAAAAATTCCACGATACTATCTGTGGTCTAATCTCACTGGGGAAGAGTCATGATCTTTCAAATATAGATTTGCAAATTAAGGTCCATCTTACTACTTGAAGAAAAAGATGCCTACACTTACAAAGTCTGAGCGTATTATATATTTGTATGTGAAATTTTGCAAATAACTTCCAAATGCTCTGAAGCCCAAGAGGAACTCCAGAATTTCCATTTAAGTTAAGTTCCATGACAAGCAAACTCAAGTCTATGAGAAGGCTTCAACCAGTGTGGGGTGAGAGTCTGTCAATGTGGGCTTATTTGGTGGATTGGCAAAATTGCATTTCTAATTATACATTTGCTGAATTATACAGCAGAAAGCAATTTAGTTCAAGCTCCCTGCCTCAAGGAAAGGTTTCAGCTAGGTCACTTCTACAAAATAGATACCAGCTCTATTGTTTAAACTCTCTGGAGATGATTCTAAAAACTTCCTTTACTGTTTTTATCAGTGTTGGGCAAGATAATTCTCTCCTATTTTGACCCAAAATATATATATTTATAAACATATACTTTTTTCAAAATGTAACAATGATATGTAGTATATTTTGCTGAGCTCATAGAAAAGCGAAATTTATATATATGTCTGTGTGTGTATATATATATATATGATTCTGATACATTATGAAGGAGGAATGGAAGGTTTCATTGAATAATCACACCATGAAGTTCTGGGTAAACTTTAAATTATTCTGAGTAACAGCTTCACACTCATGAGAAATATGTTCTGGTAAGAATTTGGCCTTTGTTATGCACACAGCTTCTCCATGCATACTATATGAGTGGCATAAAGTATGAGATTGCATTGAAATAAATGTAAATTGAGGGCTGGCCATGGTGGCACATTCCTGTAATCCCAGCACTTTTGGAGTCTGAGGTAAGAGGATCAGTTGAGGCCAGGAGTTTGAAATCAGCCAGGGTAACATAGCAAGACCCTGTCTACACACACACACACACACACACACACACACAGTTAGCTGGGTATAGTAGTGCACCTGTAGTCCTAGTGTACTACACAATACTACACCATTAGCTAGCTATACAATTAGTGTAGTGTACTACACAATTAGCTAGTATAGTAGTGTACTACTAATTACCTAGTGTACTACACAATTAGCTAGTGTAGTGCACTATACTAGACTACACAATTAGCTGGGTGTAGTAGTGCACCTGTAGTCCTAGCTACTTGGGAGGCTGAGGCTGAGGTGGGAGGATCACTTGAGCCCAGGAGTTCAAGACAGCAGTGAGCTGTGATTGCATCACTGCACTCCAGCCTGGAAAACAGAGCGAGAACCTGTCTCCAAAAAAATAAAAAAGAAAAGAAAAGAAAAAAATGTGAATTGACCTGATATAAAACCTTGAACAATCTAGGTCTTAGTTGTTTTTCCCCACTTTCCTGTCTTTTAGTATAACAGGCCTAAAATAATAGGTCTGTTTATTTTGGAATTAACAAAGGGCAAAGGGACCCTTTTAGAATCTTGGGTGCATAGGTCTGGAATTTAAATTTTACTGTGTTGAGGACAAAACAGACCATGAGTCATAGTTTCCTAGGGCTTAAGTTACTTCCTGAAATGAAGTGGCATAGCCCACTGGAACACTCATTTGTTAAATGGCACCCAAATGACTTTAAAGGGCTTGCTGAAATGGTTAATTCAACTTCCCAAAATGTTTTAACTTAGTTCTAGGAAACAGCGAAAGCACAGTGAGAATCTGACTCAGGAGGAATGAATTTTTTGAGTTACTAGGGAGAAAGTCACTATGTAAAATCAAGAGCTTAATTTGATCATCATTTGGCTTATGTGACAAGCATAGTTGTAGCTTTTCTCTGCATTTAAGCTTTTTTTTTTTTATTATTGAGAAACTACTTAACATGGTGCATAATAGATGGCCTTCTAAGTGATGGATGAGAGGGAAGGCTATAACTTGATTATAGAAATGTATTCATTTGTGTTGATGTTCTGGGAACTTGTGCCAGCTCTCTACAGAGGTCACCTCGGTGTTGTTCCAACCCTTCTCTATTTGGATTTCCCTAAAATGATTAGCACTTTCTATATCAAAGATGTTTTCTTATCTGATAATTTCAAGACATGAAAACAAGAGGCTCTGGTCCACATAAGATTACCAGCTCAATGTCACATCAAACTGCCAGACTGAAGAGAAAATCACTGATCAACAAGCACATAGCTCAAACAGCAGCCAGGACAAATTGAGACCTTGATACAATGCAGGAAAGCAATCAAATACAAGGTTGGAATGTTGGTGTGAGTGAGTGTGCATGTCACATGTAAGAACATCTCTTACCTTTTCAAGTGGTGCTTCTCCTTGGACACAGTGGGTATTAGCAACTAATGAATATGGCTTGGGCATTTTTGATGGAAATGGTGAGACATAATCAACTTAACCATTCAGATGCCAGGGCACATGTTTCAGGTCAAGAGTTCTTGTCTTCTAGACAAATGTAGACATCCTCACCTCATATACCATCAAGAAAGTAGAGGCCATGGTTGAAGTTGATGGGTCCTCAGTTTCCTATTCCCAAGGCCCTGAAGTGTCTGTGCCTGCACTCATCTTTTCCCTGCATGTCACAATGAATTAGCATTCTTCTTTCTATCAAAGGTCTGTCCCTCCACTAGGGGTCTTGGATCCCACCCTTCTTGGCTACTCAAACACTTTACCCTTTTGCCTTTCTGTTTCCCAGAGCCCTCTGCCCTTTTCTTAGCTGTAAATCTTTCTTTGAATGATTATACACTCTAGTGTTGGTTCCATAGTCAAGGTGCACAGCACTATAGTCTACATGTCTATAATTACAACATCCCCTGTAAACAGTCCCTTCTGGGTAGGTGCCATGACACCAAACTTACATTTTCCAAAGTTGGATCCATATATTTATGGCTCTGCAGTCACAGAAGGGGATTTAAAGGTGCCCAGAGGACCATAGAGGTCTGTCAGAAATCTATGCTATAATTTTAAGGTTGACTGTGATTTAATGTTGTCAGTGTGTGATAATGCAAGCAATGATCTCAGACTTCTCAATCTTAATGAGAATGACTAGATTTGGGAGGCTCAGCAAATTAAATCATGTACTGCACTGGCAGCTCCTTGGGTCTCCTCTCTGGCTAGTTTGGCTCAGAGCTGATTCCTGGCTTCAGCTTTTTGGCAGGTGAAGGGATGCAGTATGTTCTACATTTACCTCTTTAATATGTAGAAAGTCTTTAGCATCAAAGGAGATAGCTGTGCTTGGAACAGGCACATCCTCGTCCAGGGCGCCGCAGTAGCTCACATTTGTCTTCACGGCAAATGCTACAGGTTTGGACTAGGGACAGAACCATGGAATAAGGAATGAGGAAGGGAGGAGAGAGGAGCATTTTTCATATTGAAACTCTGATAGTACCAGGTAGTGAGAAATAACTTTCCAAAGAGGGATCTCAAATGAGTTTTACATTCTCAAGCAATATCAAGAAACCTGCAGAGATGACTCTGAAAATGATTGGTCCTATCAGCCCAACCATTTTTCCTTTCCTGCAATACTTTCCAATATTCCAAATTTTAAAATGTGCTCTAAAGTATTAAGAGGGATAGACAAAGGCAGGGGAGGACAGTCTCTTCTCTAATCTTAAAATCTGTGTTTATTTTAAATGATAACCAATAGCTTCTTAACTTGGAATACAGGAAATGTGTGCAAGGTCTTTTTAAAAAGAAAAAAAAAAAGGTGGGAAGAGGATAAAATAGTATTTTTTAAATAGTCCAGATCTGAAAACGTGTGGGATTCTATACAACAGAATATCTGGTCCTGCCGGGGAAAAGAAGGGTTAGTCAGCGTCAAAGCTGATGGGCAGGGCTCTTCACAGATCACCTTCTCTCTAGCTAACGAAGCTGGTTTTGAAACTCTTTTTACACAAATGCCTCTCAGCAAAGTGCTCTCAGGCTGGCACAGCACTGTGGGGACACGTAAACCACCAGCCTAAGCAAACGGTGCTGCCACCCAAATTCGGGTGACCACACTGGTCACAAAACAGATTCTGAAAGAAAATTTTGTAACAAAAATTAGCCACAGTGAGACACAAGATTCCTGATATTCTGAGCTGCTTTGTTACCAGCTTATGTATTTGTGCTGGGAATCTGACTGGGGAACAGCAGTTAAGGCTGAAACCTCACTGATGTCCCTTCACATGTACTGCAAGAAAAGCCCCTTCCACCAACAGAGTACAGACATCATAGGTGTTGAGGCAAATGAAGACACCTAATTTGACTGCATCATTCTCCTCCCATCTTTTTTTTTTTTTTTTTTTGAGACGGAGTCTCACCCTGTTGCCCAGGCTGGAATGCAATGGTGTGATCTCGGCTGACTGCAACCTCTGCCTCCTGGGTTCAAGTGATTCTCTTGCCTCTGCCTCCCGAGTAGCTGGGATTACAGGTGCACACCACCACGCCCAGCTATTTTTTGTATATTTAGTAGAGGTGGGGTTTCACCATGTTGGCCAGGCTGGTCTCTAACTCCTGACCTCATGATCTGCCCGCCTCGGCCTCCCAAAGTGCTGGGATTACAGGCGTAAGCCACTGCACCGGCCCCTCTTTTTTTTTTTTTTTTTTTTTTTTTTTGGTAGGGTTTTGCTCTGTTGCCCAGGCTGGAGTGCACTGGTGTGATCTCAGTTCACTGCAGCCTTTATTTCCTGGGCCTAGGTGATCCTCCTACCTTAGCTTCCCAAGTAGCTGGAATTACAGATGTGAGCCACCATGCACAGCCTCTCACCTCTAAATATTTTACAATAAAAATAGAAAAGGGAAGGAATTCACTTTATTTGGGCTTCTGTTTTTTCTTCTTCTAAAAATCAGAAGACTGAACCAATATACCTTAGGAGTCTGTCACGTAGGGCAAAGAGGACAGGCCGGCCATGACCTTGTCTTGTATTTTGCTATTGTGCATAAAATTTCATTGGACAAAAAGGGTCGTGCTTCAAAAAATCAAAAAGCAAACAAACAAACAAAACAAAGTTGGAAGCACATGGAATGGGAGATCCCTAGTGACTCTTCTGGTTCTAACTTTCAACCATGCAGTTGGCTCCTTGCTGCTTCCTGTGGATGCAGCGATTTCTATGGAGGCCTCTTCTTGTGGAATATCTGAAGGTCTATTTTGGCAATGGCCTTTATTGCTTGTCTTTGCTGCACTTCTCAGAGTTGTTCAAAGTCCTGAACTTCACACTGAACTTGAGGTGGGATACTGAAAGCGAGAGAGAAGAGTAGAGAAACAAACAGGGCGATCCACAGAACAACAGCACACGTGTGGCCTGTAATAAAGGCTGAAGTAATGGATGAGGAGGGGCCAGGAATAGGCAGGGCCAGCTGGTGCCTGGGGGGCTGTCTGCCAACACTGGGCATGGGAGGTTTGATATTGCTAAGTTGGAAGACGACCAATAATTCACCACCAAACCAAATACAAAAAGGTGAAGGTTCTGAGGAAATGCCTCTTTGGAGATGTTACTAACCTCACTTAGAGGTGAAAGGATCAGAGAGCTTCCCAATCTGGAGCCTTGTTAGAATAATCACAAAATGATTATTCCAGAAATGTGAGGTAAGGGAAGAGCAGCTGGTAGCCACTGAGCAACGACCCACTTTTGAGCCAAAGAGAAGGAAAGAGACTCACCTTTGCTCTCTCAAGCTGGATAGCTGCTTGCTGTTCTCTCTCCTGTCGAATTGCTTCCCGGTCCTCTTCCAAAGAGACATCGGAGTCAGACGGCCTGCTTGTGTAGGAATCCGCTGAACCCTGGCAAAGAAAATAGAATAGTTTCAGATGATGTGTAGCTTCTTAAATTGTCACATCCATAACAGTATCCTGGGGCGAGTTCTTTTTCATTTGCCTAAAATTTGATGCACACACTCCATGCCTTATTGCAGATATAAATTTAGATGGCAGAATATAGTTAAGCATCTGAGTTATTCGGAAAGTAGCAATGTTGTGAAGAAAAATATTTTGACTAGATTAAGTGCTAGGAAGTAAACTGCAATGAAAATTATGTGATACTCAGCACCAATTCTTCTTGTTTTGTGCTATATTAAGCCCATATCACTTGTGAAACGTTAGTTTTCATCCATCTTCTCTTTTGCATATACATCTAAAGGAAAAAGAGACTCAGCTTATTACAAAAGATAAATCCTACCTGTATTTGGGCTATGGGTCATCTATTTGTCTAAGATTTCAATATAGTAAAGCATCATCTTACATTAGTAAAATGATTTTCCAGTTTCAATGTCAACACTATTGAACTCTTTCACTACTAAAACTTCAATCATTGTCCTGCAGCAGCCCAGACGTGGTCAACAAGAACACTGAGCAGAAAAACAACCTTGAGGATGAAAACAGGGATGTTCTCAGTTGAAGCCCACACTAGAAGAGCTATTTAAACAGCACTGAAGGCTGGGCACGGTGGCTCACGCCTGTAATCCCAGCACTTTGGGAGGCCAAGGTGGGTGGATCACCAGGTCAGGAGTTTGAGACCAGCCTGGCTGACATGGTGAAACCCCATCTCTACTAAAAATACAAAAATTAGCCGGGCATGGTGGGGGGCGCCTGTAATCCCAGCTACTCGGGAGGCTGAGGCAGGAGAATCGTTTGAACCCGGGAGGCAGAGGTTGCAGTGAGCCGAGATGGCACCATTGCACTCCAGCCTGGATGACACAGCAAGACTCCATCTCAAAAAAAAAATAAAATAAAATAAAAATAAAAAAATTAAAAAAGGCCAGGCGCAGTGGCTCACGCCTGTAATCTCAGCACTTTGGGAGGCCGAGGTGGGAGGATCACGAGGTCAGGAGTTCGACACCAGCCTGGCTAACATGGTGAAATCCCGTCTCTACTAAAAATACAAAAAAAAAAAAAAAAATTAGCCAGGCGTGGTGGCGGGCGCCTGTAGTCCCCAGCTACTCAGGAGGCTGAGGCAGGAGAATGGCGTGAACCCCGGAGGCGGAGCTTGCAGTGAGCTGAGATTGCACCACTGCACTCCAGCCTGGGCGACACAGCGAGACTCCGTCTCAAAAAAAAAAAAAAAAAAAAAAAAAGTTCTGAAATCCAGTCTGACTGATGTGGCGAAGTTAAAAAGTCAACCCCTTCCTTGCCTCCCCCACCGCAAAAAACCCTGGAGGTTTGTCTTATGGCTGCTACAGGAACATCATCCTTACAGTTTCCTTAAGCTGGCATTAAAAGTTGATATTTGCATAGATGGTAACATTTACACAGCAGAGGTATTGGGAGGACTGGTGTATTTGATTATGTTTCATAAATCATGCACAGGTTTTGAAAAACATAGACCTATCCATATAGCTGAGAATCTGCTGTCCACTGAGTGGGGGAAAAAGCTTTAAGAAATAGTTGACTGCTGAATCTGGTCCTTTGAAAGTTTTTCTACATGTAGAAATGTTGACTTGTGAATTTGTTGCCTTTAAGGGCAACTTTGTCTCTCAGTAGAGGCCATCATTCTAGCAAGGGTAGCATAGATTTTCCTGGCAGCCTAGAACAAGAACTCCTGGTTAGCGGTTTTATCAGAGTGCCCAGTCAAGTCCTGGTTCTAAATTTTGCCTCTGCAACATACTGCAGAAAACTTTATAGAAGTTACTGGACCACTCTGAGACAGTCTTCTTGTCTATTAAAGAGGGACAGTGCCTACTTCACAGGATTAAATGGAACAAGATATAATGAGCAGTAATATTTACTGAGTTCTTGCTATCACACCAGCATGGGCTAGATGTTTTGGACACTTTATCTCACTGAATCCTTGCAGCAGTGGGAAGGCTGAGACTCAAACTCAGGTAGTTCAGCCTTAGAGCCAGCAGATTCACATCCCACACTGAGCTGCATGTGACATTAAAATACCTACTCCAGGACCTGGCACATAACAGGCACACAATAAATCAACTTTTCATCCTCATTTCCTAGTGCTGACATTTTCACATTGATAAAAACAAAAAGCATTAATTTCTCAATGATTATATATGCACAATAACCCATCTTGAAATGTAGCCATTTTTCTTACTGTATTTACTGCATAGAAGATGTACTATAAACCTGATAACCGCAATGTGTCCAAATCCATGAACTTTATATAGTGCTTCTGAAAGTGCCCTTTATAGAGGAAATGTATTTGTTAACTGAATTATAATCAAATTCTTCTGTGCAAATCTACTAGGGAAAAACTTTGGACCTACAAAACGAGTAAGTGCAGGGTGACTTTCATAGACGTATTCATTGCCTAAAAAGAGAGCTATCTTGAAGTCCTTTAAAGCAGAGTTCTCTCAGAATACACCTTTTGTCTGAGTTTAGGTATAGCTGCATAAAATCCAGAGTAAGAGAAAAAAAAACACAATGTTTCAATTTTTATTCATTTTTTCTTTTTTTTGTAGAGAGAGGGCCTTGTCATGTTGCCCAGGCTGGTCTCAAACTCCTAGGCTCAGGTGATCTTCCTGCCTCGGCCTCCCAAAGTGCTGGGATTACAGGTGTGAACCGCTGTGCCTGACCCAGTGTTTCTAAAATATCTACAAAAACAGTTTGGAGTTAGTCCTAGGCAATGCTTTGCTGGAAATGGGATGTGTGATGGACCATTCTAAGGGAGCTGAACTGGCTGCTGTGAAGACATCAGGAACCCAAGTGAGACTGTGGTACGTAAGTCAGGAAGAAGGCACTTGCCTGGTTTTGAAAACATGTCCTGGGGATGGTTAGTGCCTACAGTTCACAAAAAAAGCAAGCTGCCTGCTGAGGTAGTGAGTCAAGCAGCTGAATACACACTCCACTACTGCCACTAGAAGACAGCTGATTTCCTGAAAGTACCTTAACAACTTTTCAAATCCTGGGATTCAATTATCTCTGAGTACACAAGAAGTGACTCAGGGACTCCTACAAATGAACTTTATGTTGAAATGTGAATGACACTGTAAGAATCTCAAATCTAATAAACTCTACTATGGCCAAATATGTAGAAGCAGAAGTTCCTGTTTACTCCCTGTTTCTAAGGATATTGGTAGAGGGAAAAATAAAGCACTGTGATACCCATTTTCATAATTAGTTTATATCATTACAACATTTACTTTGTTGTTGTTTTTTTAATGTCATCTACATTGCTTTGTATATGAAAAAGCAGAAGTCCAACATTCAAGAGCCCACATGTGGCCCATAGACATGCTCTGCTGGCTTGGTACTGGCTTGGTTTCTTGTTTTTATTTATTTTTGGTTTGGTTTGGTTTATTTTGTTTCAACTAGTTGAACATATCCCAGAAAAAAAGGAAGGAAAAGATAAAGGAAAGGATCTGTGTTATTTACAAAGGCACAGAGGGAAGAGCAAGTGAGCTAGAGAGGCCAGAAGGAAACTCCCTGGGCCTGACCACTGGAAGTATCCAGGAAGGGCAAGTGGCCATGCAAGGCTTAGTAAGAGCAGGACAGGTTGGAGAGGCGTCACCCAGATATCTGGCTAAATAGTTAATGATCAAAAAGAGAGAGAGATGGCAAGAAGGAAAGAATGTTAGATGCTAAGAGAACATAACTGAAGACGTAAAGGTTACTAGGCCTGGCCAAAGCTGAAAAGACCTGATGGAAGCCCCATGAGCTTATAATTTTCTAGCATTCTATTCATAAAACAGGTAGGAGCGAGCTACCCAATTTATCAAATGATCTAAAACTGAGCTGTTAACCCACGTGTAAGAAACATGACAGGGACTAGTCCCTCAAAAGCTCTTATGCAGACACCTCTGCAAGTCATACCATGTAGTGATAAAGTCATATTGCAGTAAGCCAAGGTCACAGCACAGCACTCCAGCCTGGGTGACAGAGCCAGACCCTGTCTCAAAAAAAAAAAAAAGAAAGGTATTTTGGTCTAGACTCTTTTCCCTTTAGGGAATCTTCTCAAGTACAAAATGCAAAATGCAGATAGTAACACTGGAAAATCAGCTAGCTGCTGTCTTCTGAGAGAAGGAAGGTGATCTCAAGTGAAACAATGTAAGGGCTTCTTCTCATTCACACAGAGAGGGTGCATAATATCAACAGGACAGCAGCCATGGCTGTTGGATCCAGACAGTATTAGGTTTGACACTGTCACCAGTTCTAGTTGGCTGTGAATCTTAAGCAAGTTATTTAACCTTCTGCATCCTAATTTCCTCCGTTAGAAAATGTAGATAATAATGTATACCTTGTAGAGTTTCCTGGTGCTTGGCTCCAGATGAAACATCATTTCTTTTTCAACATCATGGGGGAAATTCGGAAAATACCAGCAATTAAACTTTGACCCACTAATTAAAGGTTTGGCAGCTTTTTCACATTAAATTTTTGGCTGCCCTAGAGTTTTAGGATTTATATATTGTTCTTTTTTTAAAAAAATGGCTTTATTGAGGTATAACTTACATATGTAAAATTCACACATTTTAAGTGACAATTCAGTGATTTTTAATAAATTTACAGAACATAATTTATACCACAATCTAATAGAACATTTCCAATACCTCAAAAGAAACCTTGTGCCTATTTGCAGCCATTCTCCATTCCCAGCTCGGGACTAGGCATCTACTTACTTACCTTGTCCTTTTAAAACTGAAATAGACTTTCTCACTGTATAAGTAATTTTAGTATTTAGGCAAATCGTAAAATTACAGCAAGGAGAAGCAAGGGTCTACAAAGGTTTGATTTTAAAATGCAACCAGGCTGGGCATGGTAGCTCATGCCTGAAATCCCAGCACTTTGGGAGGCTGAGGCAGGAGAATTGCTTGAGCCCAGGAGTTTGAGACCAGCCTAGGTCACATAGTAAGGCCCCATATCTACAAAAAATAAATTTTAAAAAAAAATTAGGCATGATAGTGTGTACTTATAGCCCCACTACTTGGGAGGCTGAGGTGGGAGGATTGCTTGAGCCCGGGAGGTGGAGGCTCCAGTGAGCCATGATGATGCCACAGCACTCTGCCTGAAACACAGAACAAGACCCTGTCTCAAAAAAATAAATAAATAAAATAAAATGTGATCATACTGGAACAGAATCTTTCCACTGTTGGAAGTGCTGGGCTTCCTAGTCCAACAATCCCAGTCTCTCACAACCTAGCTTAGCTGTCCATTCACAGAACGCTGAGCATCAGTCAGATACTGGAGTGGCCACTACATGAAAGAGAACTGCTTATTTTTCTGGGGATTCTTGCCTCATCTGCAAAATGAGAATGAAGTCCTTCTTTGGGATAGATTTGGGAATCAATAAGATAACACATGTACAACATAGTGTACAAGAGTAATGCTGATACTACTAAACCAGCGCTGTCCAATGGAACTTTTACTGTAATGATGGACATGGACACTGTCTAATATGGCAGCCACAAGCCACATGTGGTTATTGAGCACTTGAAATGTGACTAGAGAGACTACTATGCTGAATTTTTAATTTAATTTTTAGAATTTTAAAGTGTTACTGTCTTTTAATTATTTTAAATTTAAATTCTACCTGTAGCTAGTGGCTACCATATTGGGCTGTGCGGTAGTAGACATTCAAAATGTCAGTTTCCCTTCTGGATTAGATAAACGAACGCTAATCTTGGTGTAAATTTGGCATTTTAAGAGTTGCATTTGGCCAGGTGTGGTGGCTCATGCCTGTAATCCCAGCATTTTGGGAGGCCGAGGCAGACGGATCACCTGAGGTCAGGAGTTCAAGACCAGCCTGGCCAATGTGGTGAAACCGTCTCTACAAAAATACAAAAATTAGCCAGGTGTGGTGGCAGATGCCTGTAATCTCAGCTACTTGGGAAGCTGAGACAGGAGAATTGTTTGAACCCAGGAGAAGGAGGTTGCAGTGAGCCGAGATTGTGCCACTGCACTCCAGCCTGGGCAACAGAGTGAGACTCTGTCTCAAAAAAAAAAAAAAAAAAAAAGTTGCATTAAGTGGACTAAGCGATCATGGAATATTCAGAGAAATATATCACTCCCAGTGGGTTTGTGCCCATTTTTCTCTGTTGTTTGTAATGACTTGACAATGCATTTTTCCACATTGCAGAAGGAACACAGCCCATTCTTGGTGACTTTCCCAGATTTCCCCGGGTAGATGAGTGAATATAACTCACTCACAAGGTTGTCATTAGGCTATCTTTATCTTGACAGGCTGGCCCCTCCCTTTCTTGCAAATGTGCTTCCTTTTCCTTCACCCCCTTTATCAAACATGCCCAGAACTCTTTGCTAGGGCACCTAGCCTAGCAGGGTCCAGGCTGCGTCTCCAAGTACATAGGCCCTACAGTGCCTGGCATGGCAGGACCTCGAGTTTGTTCAAAGAAAGACACAGTCACTCCCATCAGAATCTCTCTCTTCTTTGTTCCATGATTTTAAGTTCTTCTCAGGTGGTTACTTGACCAAGGTTGCTGTGTTTACTTGGTGTGACGCTAATTGTTAGCAACCTCACCCTCATGAGTTTTTTTGTTTTGTTTTGTTCTTTTTTTAATTACAGTCTTCAATGCCTTAATCCAGAGCGCTTGATAAGTATACATTCCCAGCACGTTGGTGGAGTGAGGAACTCTTGAAATTATATCGCCGAGATAACTTTTCTCTAAGGTATCTTGCATGGATTCTCACAAATAGGTTTTCAAAAATGTTGGCTGAAAAAATAAGACAAGTTCTGCTTACAATCACAGCAGCTCACTCTTATTGGATGGAAGACCTAAAATTCAGCCCCAGCTGTTAATCTGACTAAAGCTCCTTTTTAGGTTTCAAAGAGTCGTCAAGGGTAGCAAAGGAGCATGTTCATAAAAGGCTGTTAAAGGGAAGCGGAAGAGAATGAATGTTTGCTCATCCCTTACTAACTTATAGATATTATTATCACATCAACCCTAAGAAGTAAGTTATGATTATCCACCCTGTACGGATGAGGCATCTGAGGCTCAGACAGGCAACAAGAACATCCTCACACACCATTCCACACACCCTCATAGGTCACTACATGGGGAGCAAGGGTGTGGTAGATTCATTTTTTAAAATTTCCCCTATAAAATCTGGTGCAAAAACTTACATTAAAACATCAAACATTTTAGCTGCCTTCAGTAAAACAAAATAACATTCCTCAGTATTTTGTTAATATTAATCAAATACCAGAATCTCACTAATTTACAATGATAGACGTATTTTTTAAAATGCCAGTCTGAGATCATGGGAAGTGAATGGCAGACTGCTTTTCAAAAGACATGTTCACTATTTCTGCATTCACATGGTATCTGTAGGCTACCAAGGTTTTGGTTTGTGAATTTCTTTGAGTTTCTGCTCTAACCACAAAATTTTTCTTCAGCATTTTAGTTCTTGGTAGGTGATTCTAAGGTAGCACTGAGAGTTTTCTTTTTCTCTAAAATGATAATGCCTCCGATTATGTTCACACCACTTATTTACAGATTATTTCTTGTAATTAAATTATAACTATATATAAATATACAGTATAGTTCAAACTAAAGCACAGGCTTTGAATAATCTCATAAATGGAATACAAATTAATGGGTTCTATTACAACTATTTTACATAATTGATTTAACAGGAAGTAATATTAATTTATAAAAGTTGGCCAATCTCACCCTTCCTGTTGTGCTGGCTAGTTTTTGCTATAATTGCCCTGATTTCAGACAGGTTTCTTTTAATTGCTAGTCTGAGGAGACCCATGAATGGAGATAACAGCAGAAGAATTTTAATTGACCCCACAAGTACAAGGAGAGAGGTGACAAAAAGGCCCAGATAGAGATGGAAAGGAAATCTGTACCAGCCATGGCCATTTAGCCACTTCTGAGAAAGGAGAAACTGAGATGTGAGCTACAAGCAGATTTGCAAGTTAAACCAGTGGTAATGATGGTAGCAAGAGGGTAGATTCCTTTTGTTAGGTTGAATCATGAAATTGCAAACATTGCAATTGTAATTTCACGTGGTTCAACATATACATTGGGAAAGAACAAAAAACAAAGATTACTTGATATGGATGCTTTTGGGCAAAAACTGCTGTGATAATCAGCACATAATATTTTACATGTATGTAAGAAGTGCTATATCAATAAGCACAATTAGCAATAAATCAAAAACCTTCTGTGAGACTAAGGAGTAACAGAAGTTGAAAACACCCATGATCATTTTTGCATCCAACAAGAACTTTATTGTAACAGTAGGGACAGTGAGATTGTGGAGCTCACTTTCCTTCTGGGAAAGCGAAAGTGATCACCTACTGGGAGAAGGTGGCCTCCAGCAACCAAGCTTTACTATATACAGGTCACAGAATAACAACATGGGACACTGAGCAGCTGATCTAGAAACCCACCCTGCCTAGTCAAAACTTCATGAGAGCTTCTGATCAACCTACATGACAGGTGTGTGACAGGGTGGCTCCCGCTGGCTGATCCCGGCAGTTGCACTTGGCAGCATTAGACCCGGCACAAGGTCTTCATTCCAGGGTGGCTGCTCAAGCTGCACTAATCTAGTTTCAGCAGAGACGTTAAAAGGAAATCACAGTATTTGTTCAGAAAATCCTGAATATGCTGCTGGTAGAAGCAGTGCTGCATACTGATGAGGCGCTGATCATTGCCTGAAAACACGGACTTCTGTGACTTTTCTGGAAAAGTGATTGACTGAGAGACGCTTTCTTCTCACATGGCCCCCAGAGTGGTTTACAAAGCAGCACACCCAACACTACTTTTACATTGTGGTCTGTTTTCTTGAGAGTCAGATTCTTGAGAGAGAGATACGACAACAGGATATATGTTTCCCCTAAAAGTAGCTTCAGGCAATCACTTGTGTCTTAAAAAAAAAAAAAGAAAAGACT
Source organism: Homo sapiens (assembly GCF_000001405.40). Taxonomy (NCBI): domain Eukaryota; kingdom Metazoa; phylum Chordata; class Mammalia; order Primates; family Hominidae; genus Homo; species Homo sapiens. Next base: position 151,892,390 of record NC_000002.12, read on the forward strand.
TCCTTCTGTCACATAAAAAAGAATAATATAGCTTGGTTTAGAAGACAGGAAGAAAGTAGGGAAAAGGACTTGAGCCTCGCCCATGTCATTTCTGTAGTCCCAGGAACTGTGTGATGAAAAAATATCTTTAAATAACTCTTTGGAATGATTTTTTTAAAAAACTGGCTAAAGTTTCTCATTAAGGGAATGTGTATGCATGGCTAACTGAATCCAGGTATGCCATCAAAAACAGAAGGAGATCCCCCAGAGGTGGCTGAAGACACAATGGAAACCACAGTAAAGCATCTACACTTCATTTCAGGCAGGAGTCATGTCTTACCAGTTTTGTGGTCCTCAGAGTTCCTAGCACAAAGCTTCATAGGAGCTCAAAACTATTTGCTGAATGAAAGAATCAATGAGATGGCTTCAGGGGGAAGAAGAGAACCTTAAATGGAGACCCCAATACTGCCCAGACTTCACCCAAAGGGTGTACACTCTTCCTGCCTCCAGGGGTTGCTGGAAATTATGTAGGAAAGACCAGTGAAGAATAAAATCAATTTTAACTTGACAGAATGCTACGCAAGTTGACTGAAAAAATTAAAATCCAGAAACTGTTTAGAAAAAAATGTTAAAGGAAGAATAAAAGAGAATTAGCCTTTTTAATAGATATGAAAATATATAAAACTACAAAAGTTAAACATGTTTGGTACTGGCGCAGATCAATGAAATTACAAGGAGACCACAAACTGAGCTCTGTATGGGAGATTAATGCATGATATAGGAAACACTGCAAATCAATGGGAAAAGAATGATTATCCAGTTAATAGTGTTGGGAAACTGAGCTAGCCAACTGGAAAAAAAAATAGATCCCTATTTTATATCTTTTTTTTTGAGACAGAGGCTTGTTCTGTTGCCCAGGCTGGAGTGCAGAGGTACGATCTTGGCTCACTGCAACATCTGCCTCCCAGGCTCAAGCAATTCTCGTGCCTCAGCCTCCTTAATAGCTGGGACTGTAGGCATGTGCCATCATGCAAAGCTAATTTTTATATTTTTCATAAAGATGGGGTTTTGCCATGATGATCAGACTGATCTCGAACTCCTGAACTCAAGCAATCTATCCACCTCAGCCTCCCAAAGTGCCGAGATTACAGGCATGAGCCATCGCACTCAGTCTTATAGCTTATATAAAAATAAATTATAGATGAAGAGATTTAAAGGCAATATTATATATATAACACACATATATTTTAAAAGATATATATGTATATAAACACACCTCTACTACCACTAACAGAAACTATGCTAAAGTTTTAAAATAGCATGCCAAAAAGTTCAGAAGCCATGAAAAGAAAAGATTGATAAATCTGACTACATAAAAATCTTAAACATTTGTCTGGGAAAAAAATACAATAATCAGTCAAAATGAAAATGACAAAAAGAAAACATTGTCACATAAGTGACTTGGGTTTAATATCCTTCATATCCAAAGAACTCTAATAAGTTAATAAGAAAAAGATGAACAACCTATCTCTTCACTCATTAATATGAGAAAGGAGTAAAAATAGAAATAAGGACAAAGCAAAAAAAGAAAACTACAGGCCAATGCCAATATCACTGATGAATAAGACACAAAAATCCTCAACAAGGCTAAGAGTGGTGGCACATGCCTGTAATCCCAGCACTTAGGGAGGCTGAGGCAGGAGAATTACCTCAGCTTAGGAGTTCAAGGCTGTAGTGAGCTATGATCATGCCACTGCACTCCAGCTTGGGCAACAGATCAAAACTCTGTCTCTAAAAAAGATAAAAATAATTTAAAAATCTCAACAAAATACTAGCAAATGGAATCCAACATATCAAATATCACGTGGGATTTATCAAGTGGGATTTATCCCAGGGATGCAAGGATGATTCAACATATGCCAGTCAATAAACATGACACATTGCATCAACAGACTGAAAGACAAAAGCCATATGATCATTTCAACAGATGCAGAAGACTCATTTGACAAAATTCAACACCCTTCATGATAGAAACTCTCAACAAATTAGGGATAAAAGGAACATATATCAATGTAATAAAGCCCATGTATGACAAACCCACAGCTAACATCATACTGAATCCTCTAAGAACTGGAACAAAGATGCCCACTTTTGCTACTGTTATTCAACATATACTGAAAGATTTAGCCAGAGCCATCAAGCAAGAGAAAGAAATAAAAGGCATCCAGATGGAAATCAGAAAGTCAAACTGTCCCTCTTTACAGACGACATGATCTTAAATATATAGAAACCTAAAGACGCCACCAAAAAACTCTTAGAACTGATAAACAAATTCAGTAATGTTGCAGGATACAAAATAAACATACAAAATCAGTAGTGTTTCTATACACCAATAATAGACTCGCTGAAAAAGGAATCAAGAAAGCAATCCCATTTATAATAGTTACAAGATAATAATAATAATAAAATATCTATGAATACTTTTAATCAAGGAGGTGAAAGACCTTTACAACAAAAACTACAAAACACTGATGAAAGAAATAGAAGAAAACACAAATGGAAAGACATCCCACGTTCATGGATCAGAAGAATTAATATCATTAAAATGACCATATTACCCAAAGCAATCTCCAGATTCACTGTAATCCCTGTCAAAATACCAATAACATTCTTCAAAGAAATAGAAAAAAAATCTAAAATTCATATGGAACCAGAACTCAAATAGCCCCACACACACACACACACACACACACACACACACACACACACACACACACAAATCCTGAGCAAAACGAACAAAGCTGGAGGCATCACAAAACCTGACCTTAAAATATACTACAAAGCTACAGTACCTAAAACAGCATGGTATTGGTATAAAAAACAGATACATGTTATCCACGGAAGACATGTTTTTAAAAAGCATGCCTCATTTGTGAAATAGAAGAGCATGTAGCCAGGCACCATGGCACATGCCTATAGTCTCTGCTACTCTGGAGTCTAAGACAAGAGAATTTCTTGAGCCCAGGAGCATGGCACAGACCTCCAACTAATAAAATGTGAAATCATTAAGTCAGAAGATCGCATTGTACAATAATCTAGTATGTTATTTGAAATTGTGTTAAATTTACTGAGAATCTATTATGCATCAATATACCTAAATATACTAGAGGAAGGAAACAGATTTAAGTTCACTTTAAACCCTACCATACAGCTTGAATTTTTACCTTCGGAATTTTTAAAAACAAAAACATTATAAATCTCTATATACCTATATATATTTGTACATAAATATATAAAAATATGCATATTTTTACAGAGTTATACAGCTTAAGATTACCTGCATTAACCCTAAAATAATGATTTGATAGGTGACATTAAATATTAATAATCACTATCAAAACCAATAATAACCACTATTATTTATTGAGCACTTACTATGTCCCATGATTAGTGTTAAGTACTTTTATTAATTGTGTACTTTTTTTTTTTTTTTAGATGGAGTTTCGCTCTTGTCATCCAGGCTGGAGCGCAAATGGGGCAATCTCAGCTCACATGCTCCTCTGCCTCCTGGGTTCAAGCAATTCTCCTGCATCAGCCTCCCCAGTAGTTGGAATTATAGGTGCATGCCATGATATCCAGCTAATTTTTTGTATTTTTTGTAGAGACGGGGTTTCACCATGTTGGCCGGGGCTGCTCTGAACTCCTGACCTCAGGTGATTCGCCTGCCTTGGCCTCCCAAAATGCTGGGATTTCAGGGGTGAGACACCACGCCCAGCCAACTGTGTTCTTTCAAAAAGAATATTTCCTGTGAGAGGCCCAGGGGCCCCAACAGAGACTATATTAGTATGAGTTTTTCTCTTTGATCACCAGTCTCCTAAATTTGTGAAGCCTGTAGGCCTTCTAGGTGATATCGCCTTGTGCAGTAATTTAACTTCAGGTACAAATGCTGTTTTTGAATTAGAAGATGACGAATGGTTGGAAGTCTCTGAAGGTATGGTGGGCCCCTTGTGCACATGCTGCCTCACCAGCAAACACCCAGGGCTCTAGGTAAGAGCTATGCCTACCCCTAGCTTCCTCCACAGAAGAAGCTTATTGTCACAAGACATGCACCCTAGGTTGTGCTACTCCTTACAGCACTGCTTTCCTCGTTTGACTTTTGTGGCCTTGATGGTAACCACACGATACCCACCCCTCCCATCAGCATGGAACAACCCCATTTGGAGTTTGGAGTGGTACAGGCCCATACTCTTTCCTGGGGTAGTGCCCTTCCTCTCCAATCAGTTCACAGGGCAGGAGATGACAGCAAGGCTTGCTTTTTTGATTCCTATCTGCTAATTCTGTGTTCTGTGTGTTAGAGGTCATTATGGCAGAGGAAAAGGTTATTTTTAGTTTAACCTTTGGAACTAGGAAATAGGGTTTTGATTGGAATAAAACAGCACTTTACTGATGTTATCTAATTTAGTCACAATAAAAACTTAAGAGATAGATTTCATTATCCACACTGAAGTAAACAAGGCTTAGAGACACTAAATAAGATGCCCAAGGTCATGCAGCTGGTAAAGTGTGGTGAACCCTGGTTGGACTGGCTCTAAAGCCCTTGCTAATTAACTAATAATCATGCCCAGCAGAAGTGTTGGTAGGCACTGTTGGATGAGCAGATCACTGAGGTTGAAGACATTAAAAAAAGAATCTCTCTTTCTGTCTCTGCATTTAGATTGAACTAAAAATTACTGAGAATGCTAGGTTCTCTCCAGCACATCATCTTGATTTCTCTCCAAAGCTCTTTCGAGGTCCTATGAGAGAAGTCAGGCCACATGCTCAAAGTCACTGGGCCATGATCCACTGGCGAAGCTGAGACTTGCATTTCAAGCAAGAACATCTCTTGGATGATCTCTAAGATTCCTCTGAGGTCTGTTGTTAAAGATGTCAGCCTAGTGCCAGGAATTAGGTCTTCAAGTGCTTGGTGATGGAATCGGTCATTTGAATTGACATCAAAACACATACAATCAACTATTACTAAAGCAGTGACTACCAAACCTTGGATTTTCTCTTCCCTTCCTCCAGTGAATTAGCTCATCAATAGATCCAAGGCGGTCAAAGAGAGAAGCCACGTCTGCTCATCAATTTGTTGGAAACTTTTTTGGACCAAACAAATAGAAAAAAAAGTAACTAGATGAAACCTTGATTTAAATAAGTCTGACAGAGAAGCTATAAGTTAATTTATTCTGATCATTACCTTGATTCTTCATTAGGGAATATAAGGAGAGGAGGTGGTTACTCATACGAGAGCTGGCGTACAATAAGCAGTTTTGAGTGGTGCCATGAAGCTTGACTACCTGGGCTGGAATTCTAGGGCTGCTCCTTACTAGACATTTGCTTTCAAGCACAATACTTATTCTTTCTGGGCTCAGTTTCCTTTCTGAAAGTGAGTATAATAACCTAACTCATGGAGCTGCCATGAAGATTATGCACTCAGAATGTGCAAGCACTCAGCCAAGGAATCACACAATGCAGGTTAATGAGAACACTTCAGTATATGGAATTGTCCTGGCCCTTTGTTTTTTGGGTGAGGCCAATTTGCTGTTGTAATCCCTCTCTTCAAAAAGGGATAGAAATATAAAACTTAATTAATTCAAGTGAGTAGGAATTAAATGCTCTAGTAAGAACTTTGGGACAACTAAAGGTATTGGCTGAAATGAAATATAGGAATCATGTTGGTTGTATTCCTCCATATTTCTTCTGCCTGCAAGAAGTGTGTTTACTCAGAGGCATCACCTTGTTTGGGAATAACAAGAAGACAGTCAGTTCTGGTTTTCTTGGTCAGACAGCAGCATGAATAAGACTGCTGTCCTTTGCATATGAGGCTGACACTCCTGACCTGCTGTCTCCTCTGGGCTGCGTGGCTCTGAACTCGCATCAGCTGGGATGGCTGTGGGTTGCCCCTCCTCTTTATGACCCAGTACCCACTTCAAGACGGCCAGGGCTAGGGACGGTCACCCATCACAGAGCACTGTCGCAACCTCTGCTAGCTGACCCACATACCAAAATTCAAGGCCGGCACTCTCAACAAAACGAGCCAACCCACCACAAACTTTTAGAATCCTAAACAGGTGTGAAAAGTCACCCCTCAGAGACAAAACACTCTATTCCCTCCCAAAAGCTGAATATGAGCTCTCTGGCCAAAGGATGCCCTTTTGTTGTTTCAACGAGGAAAATAAGGCAGCTATTCCTTTTACTTAGCTATTTTTTAAAAATTCTATTTTCTCATTATCTTTGCTTTTCTATGAGATGCATGCCTTAAAAGGAATAATTCCTATTTTAAAGCTAAGACAAATTTATTAAAAATAGGTCTTTTGTTATCATTCTCATGCTGCATCATTATAGATAAATTCACAAACCATATGCATATATTATCCAAATGGCTGGATTTGAAATAAATTAACAAATGTTTGAGTAACATAGACCTATACTGTCTATGGCTGGGTGTGATGATGGGCATAGAGTGAAATCCAAGTCCAGATGAAGGCAAGGGCCTGAGGACAGAGGTAAAGGGTTCAGAGCAAAATACAAGAGGCAGGCAGGATGTCCATTCAGTGGGAAAATTTTTTCCTCCCAGAATCATCCTGAAAGCTCTTCTTCTCCCACCAATATTGATCAAACTCCTTCAGTGCTGCACAGCAAAGATCAGAGAGACCCACAGTGCAGAAGAGGACAGTCCTGAGGATGACAGGTAGCATTCAGCAGGTTGAACTGGAGGAGAGAGGAGGCCCTTCTTCTAGCTGGTGTTGCATGCACCTATGCACTGGCTAGTGGGAACAAGAGAGACGAGTTCAAGAAATTCACACTCAGTACTTTAACAGAGAGTTTAGGGGAAAATGCAGACACAAAGACCAAGAACTCTCTGCTCTTGAATAAATGGTCTTAGATGAGGAAGAAACATTCCAGCAGAGTGGCCTGAGAAATAAAACAGTACTGGATCTGTGAACTATCCAGTACTGCAGAAGGAAGGTCCCTGGAATAAAGGGGCCTCAGAGATACTTCCCTTATATAACTTCCCCAGGGCAAATATGCTACCAACTCCCAAAGACAAGGGACTACAAGTTGGTACTCAACATTCTTGCAGAATCTTTGCAGCTTTCTGTACACATAGTAGAGAAACTATGCTTAATTGTTTAGTTTTAACTTCACAGTATAGCTTTAGTCATTTTTACCGAGCATTTTATTGTCTTTATTAAGTTCTAAATGAAAGAACCCCTTCAGGTGGTCGTATGTGAACCAGGTGAACTGTCGCTAGGTACTAGGTACCCCAAGAGGACAGGGCGGGTAAGTGGACTTCCATATACCAACCATACTCGGTGCCCTAACAACACTAGGTCATGTCTGATTGTCTACTATCTAATATGCAATTCAAATTGACAAATGCTTGTTGAAAAATTAGTATGTATGAGGCCTGTACCTTAGTACAATGGCAGGCAAAAAGATAAATAAGACACGGTCCTTGCCTAATAAGGGCTTATAACCTAATAGGGCTGACAGCTATGTAAATAACCACATTATGAAGGAGAGTACAAAAAGTACCATAAAAGTACCATAACAAAAATACAAATCCAATCAGTGACTAGAAGAGGACAGATTAATTCTGTTTTGGGGGAACAGAAAACCTCAGGGAGAAGGTGAGGGAGGCTTAAGCAGAATTATCAGGAATGGCAGACAGCAAAGCTAAAGGGCAGGAAAATAAAGGCAATGTTTGTAGAGTGATGAATTTGGACAACTCTGTAGTCAGTATGGGGGTAGGAGTTGCAGTGGATGCTAAAGAAGTAAAAGGCATGCTTCTTGCCTTTAAAGAGCTTTCAAACAAGTTGGAGAAATAAGATCTGTGTTCATGAAACAAGGCAGTTCAGTGCTGAACTATGTCATTTAAAAAAAGAAACGAAGGTTACTGACTTTGGAGTTGCAAAAAGGCAGAGGTCAGTCTGAGGTGATGAGGCCAAGAAAGGTGCATGGAGAAGTCAGCGCTGGAACTGTGCCATAAGCATCATCATGATCTGCTGGGGGCAGAGAAAACGTTGCGAAGGCATTTCAAGAAAAGGTGGGGGCAGCATGAACAAAGGCATGAAAGTGGTGCCTTGCCTTATGAGTCGGGGAATGAGAAGTTCAGAGGTTCATGTTGAGGAGTAGCTGGAAATAAAATTGTAGAGTAGAATAAATGCAGATCACAGCAAATCAGGAAAGCCGGGAGGAAGTGTTTGCAGCCATATGGTTGTGAGTAGATGGCTGATGCTGCACTAAAGTAAGTGAATGAGAGTTTCAGATCGAAAAGGATGCACTGGGAAGATCTGCCTGAAAGTGTGAAAAACTGCAGTCAGAGAGACTGACTGGGAGACTGATAGGATAGTAACAGTGGGAAAAGAGAGCAAGAAGTAAACCAGAAACCTATTCCAAAAAGGTCTAAAAATGATCAACAGGATATAGGGGATATACACAATTTACCTACTGCTTAACAGACACTAAGCACAGCATTAGACATTGACTAAAGGGGAAAAAACATCTTTTAATTTAACCATTTTCAACTTGAAGACTTTGGTATTTTTCAGGATTTTCTTTTCTTTTCTTTCTTTCTTTCTTTTTTTTTTTTTTTTTTTTGAGATACGGTCTCATTCTGTCGTCTAGGCTGAAATGCAGTGGTGCAATCACCACTCATTGCAGCCTTGACCTCCTGGGCTCAAGCAATCCTCTCACTTCAGCCTCCCAAGTAGATGGAACTACAGGTGTGTGCCACCACACCTGGCTAATTTTTGTAGAGACAGGGTTTTGCCATGTTGCCCAGGCTGGTCCTGAACTCCTGAGCTCAAGCGATCCACCCACCTCAGCCTTGCAGTGTTAGAATTACAGGTATGAGCCACCGTGCCTGGCCTTTTCATGATTTTTTTGGTAACCGTGTTAAATTTATCAACAAACCATCAGCAGTTTGTCTATCTTCTGATGTTCAGCTGAGACAAGGAGAAACTAATATCAGAGCTGAAAAATAAAATGTAGTAGAGGTGGGGAGGTTTTTAAATATATTGAGTTATTTACTGAAAAGTCCAGGAAATCATTAGTAACCTTAATATTTTGTGGAAAGGTTCTTCACCAATTTTAGCTATGCAGGTCCAAGACAATACAATACCATCTACAATACTACAAAATTACAATTAGAAAAAAAACAAAACAAACAAACAAAAAAAACCTCCTTACTAGAAAAGATCACGAAGGAGTTTTTAAAAATGTGCATTCCGTTTTGAAAATTGCTATTGAAATGTGGTCTGGTGCTTGTTCCAGAAGTTATTTATAACCAAAGAACATAAAAATTGACAATGATGGGCAAGCACAATGCCTCCCTGGGTAGAGGTTGAGGCTTATATTGAGAATGAGAATTTGAAAAACAAGCCTTTCCCATTTTAAGCAATCATTGTTTTACCAAAGAATTCCAGAGAACTTGGTTTTACTGCAAATTCTATTACTTCATTACAAAATTGGAATACAATGGAATCTATCACCTTGCAGAACAAACTGCCAGAAAAATAAGTCTTTTTGAGTTATTGTCAAAGAAGGACAGTCCTTGTGAGAATAAGTAGATGCAGCTGAAGTTGGCAACGTTCTCCCTAGTGGGTAACACAACATCACCTTTTTTTTTTTTTTTTTTTTTTGACAAGATCTTGCTCTGTCACCCAGGCTGGAGAGCAGTGGCACGATCATAGTTCATTGCAGCTTTGACCTCCCTGGCTCAAGTGATCCTCTCACCTAAACTTTTCAAGCTGGGATCACAGGCGCACGCCACCATGTATGACTAACTTATTATTTTTTGTAGAGACAGGGTCTCCCTATGTGGCTGAGGCTGGTCTCAAACTCCTGGACTCAAGTGATCCTCCCCATTCAGCATCCCAAAGTATGGGGATTACAGGAATGAGCCAGTGCACTCAGACTTCACCCATCTTTTGATGGAATGCCTGCATGAGAACTCTATAGCAAAATGCCTTGTACATGAAAGACACTGGAAGCACTTTATTAACCCACTGGCAAAGTCCCCTAGCGAAAATGTTCCTCAAAACATGGAAGGCTGAGTCTACTTATACCTAAACAACTAAATGAAAAAGGGCTCTTCACGATTATTAGAATTTTTCATTATGGATAATAAAAATTAAATCATATCTGTCTTGACATATTCTCTATGAACAATGAGGAGCCTATGATTAATTATATTTTGGTTTTTACATCAGCCACCAGGAAGATCAGAGCTCAGTTCTAGCTTTCTTCTTGGTATAAGATTTTCTGTCTTAATTTATATTTTCTCTGATCTTGATATTTTGCTGGTTACTAACTTTTTTGTGGCTTCATATAGTCTTCTAAGCTGCCTGAAAAACTTGTGGAATGAGTTGAGGATAGAAATTAAAAAAAAAAAATCCACCTAGTTTTCATCAAATTGTACCCTATTGTGTGCAATGAATGAAAATTTCCTCCATTATACAGATGTCTATACAGAATTCTTTTGAACCCTGGGTTGCTACTATCGGGTTAAAATAATTGCTAATAGTTTCTGTTTTCAGACAGGAAGTTTTCAATCTCTCTCGAAGGATTGCTCGCCAATTTCTCCTAGCAATTTGGAAGTTTCCAGATAAGAAATTAAGTACTTTACTGTGCTATGTGTCAGCCTAGCTCTGCTCTTGAATGCTGAGTTTGTGATTCATTTGGTATGTTTGTATATTTACTAAGATTAGGTATAAATATGTATTAATACTAAATCTACTCAAAATCTTTGTTCTGACTACCTTTTATTTCATCAACATTAAGCTAGAACAAAAATAAGAAAATATTCATTTACTTTGAGGCCGGGCATGGTGGCTCACACCTGTAATCCCAGCACTTTGGGGGGCTGAGGCGGGTGGATAACTGGAGGGCTGGAGTTCCAGACCAGCTTGGCCAACACAGCAAAACCGCATCTCTACTAAAAATCCAAAAAAAAAATTAGCCGGATGTGGTGGTGCACGCCTGTAATCCCAGCTACACAGGAGGCTAAAGCAGGAGAATCACTTGAACCCAAGAGGTGGAGGCTGCAGTGAGCCAAGACTGCGCCACAGCACTCCAGCCTGAGCAGCAGAGAGAGATTGTCTTAAAAAAAAAATTCATTTACTTTGAAAAGAAGAATAAAACCGGGAATGACACTATTAAAGTGACATTTGAAATTGTCCCTGTCAATCTCCAGGCCCATCTTTTATCTTTCTCCTCCCACATGCTCTGGCCAATAACATGCTTCTCACACTTTTCCAAACATATCTCATCCACACTGTGTGGCACATAGTAGGCACCCAGGTAAAATACTTGTTGTATAAGGTAGGTACATACTCTGAAAGCTCCCTGCTCTTGCACAGGAGACTGACTCTTATTTAAAAAGCCCCTTTTCTCCTTGCCCATCTGGCAAACTCCATTTCATCCATCCGTTGTGTTACAACTGTACGTGTGGCTATTTTACCTTTCTGACAATAACTCCTCAAGGGCAGGTAGTGTATCTTTTTCATCTTTGTGTCCCCATTGTGGGCTTGGCATATAGTAGGTGTATAATAAGTATGTATAGGAAAGAAGGGAGGGAAGAAGGGCAAAAAAAGAAGGATGGGACTCATATTTCTTTGCATTCATCCTAAAAAATGTATGGCATTTTCCTAGACACTCAGAGTTGCGTTCAATAGAGAAAAAAACGCTTGCCTCCAATTTTTCAAAACCACCGCTGCAAAAGCAGATTGAATTTTGTGTTTCACTGAATCCATCCATTCATGATTAATTGGGTAGTTAAGCACTTCTAGTTACATGTGCAGCTGGGAATTCCTCCAGCTGTCATTAATTTTACTAAAGATTCAAATCCTCACTATTTATCTGCTGAAATGGAGCCATTATTATTCCTCGGCCAATCACAATCAAGTAAATAACTGTCCTGTTATTGAGTGACAATTGAGTAATTTACAAAAGCTACAAGTATGCTAACTCCAGTTGCCCTGTTGGTTACTATCATAATAAATGCCATGTTATTCAACTTCCTATTTTATTCCACTAACCAGGTGGGAAAAAAATCCAGATATACACCATAAATTAGTGAACCCTAACATACTCAACATAAAGACAGTAACAATTAGAGATAACTCTTTTTTTTTTTTTTTTGAGACGGAGTCTCACTGTTGCCCAGGCTAGAGTGCAGTGGTGCGACCTCAGCTCACTGCAACCTCTACCTCCTGGGTTCAAGCAATTCTCCTGCCTCAGCCTCTCAAGTAGCTGGGACTACAGGCACATACCACCACACCCAGCTAATTTATGTATTTTTAGTAGAGACGGGGTTTCACCATGTTGGCCAGGCTGGTCTCAAACTCCTGACCTCAGGTGATCTGCCTGCCTTGGCCTCCCAAAGTGCTGGGATTACAGGCAGGAGTTACCGCGCCCAGCTGAGACATCTTTTAAGAACTGAATTTGAAATAAATACAGTCCATTTATTTGGCTTCCAGGATTACTTAGCTGTGTGGTAAGAGAGGAACTACACTTGAAAACTATGCACTATTGGGCAGTGAAACATTCTGAAATGTAATGCATAGTTTTTCAAAAAGAAGAACTAGAATGCTATCATTTCCCCTCATCGCCTGCAATCAAATAACAAAGTGAGAACAAGGTCCAGCTCATTTTGGCTGTCAGCCTCTCAGCATGGTTCAAGTGCGTGCCAGGATACTGTACTCTTAAATGTAGCCCAGGCCTGCAGATGAACCTAAAATATTAAACCCATTTCCCAAAGAAGGAGAAAACAGAAAGTTCAGCCACTATGCCTAGGATGCCTATAATAATCATTTTCTACCCCCAACCTGGAGTTCTCTCCAGCCCATTGCTTGCTACTCATTGCCATTTCATTTACTAACATATTGTATTATCAATTTACAGTTTCTCACATCGTACAGATAATGCAAAATACATATTGCTTCCCCCTAAAACACATCTTCCCGATGTGCACTCATCTTTCGAACTAAAAATCCAATTCTCTCTGCAGCAGAAGACAACGATTCATAAACTTAAGAACGAGATAATTTGATTGTCAAAACCAAGTGTTTGCAAGTCTTGAGTAGAAAGAAGCTTTGCTCTCTTTAATTCAGAGACCTACAAAAATAATATGATAGAATAGCCACAAATGTATTTTGTACCTGGCAATATAAAGTAGGGATCAGGTTCCGTTTATTTACTCTTTCAAGTATCAGTTGCTTTAGATCAGAGAAAGGTCTTTAGCTAACAAATGGTTATTCTTCACAACTCAAGAAAACATGACATGTAAGGCCCAGCAAGGGAAAGATGACCAGCGAGCTTGACAGCTAAAGAGATCAACCAGAAAGGCAAGGCAAGAAGGGCTAGATTTCAATAAATATTCACTGACAAGAAATGGGAATGTGTCATTTACTGTCTAAAACAATTTCATAATTAAACTTTTCACAAAACTGAAAGAATTCTCCACTTCGTCTATCAAGTTCATATTCAACTCAATGGGAGTAAACCCTGATACAGCCAGATTACCTTTAAGTAAAAAGAGTGTTTAGTCAAAACTCTAAGTTAGCTAGAGTTCCTTCTAGCTCTGTATAAGCAGCTACCTCATCCTGTCTTTCTATACATGAGCACATGCATGCACACACATCACGCTATCCTCTTCCTACTCAGTAGCCTCCAGGAACTGCAATGAAACCAGAATGTAAAACTTGACATTTTTCTCCAAAAAGTTGAGGGACGCTACATCAACAGAAATTACTCAGTTGAATTTTTATTCTTAGCTCCAATTCAAGCATGATCAACAGTGTGACAGCATTTAAAAGAAGCATCTCACCAACCCCTTTAAATAAGAACTTCTCATGTTTCATCACATGAGTTTTCAAAAATAGAAAGCAGTTGAAGCCACTGGTTGCCCTATGAGTAAAAGCAAAACATTTCTTTTGCAGGGGGTGAAAATCACTGTCTTATGCATTATTTGTAAGTAGCAATCATTGAGCATTAGTACCTATATAAACTTTAAAAATAAACCACTGTTCCCCACTGCTAGGGAAGAGGGTAAGAGCCTAAGAGCAGTTACTCTATCTATGAAGCCACTAACTTCCTTCATGGCAAGAATAGCTCCTTTGGGGTTAGCCATATTTTCAGAAAATGCCTGAGCCACTGTAACTGATGGAGAATAAAGGTGAGATGAAACTCTCTGGTCTTTATCTTTTGCTGTCCTACTTTCATCTGCTTATGATTTAAAGGGTGAAACTACAGTCTTGTCCAGCAACAGAAGGCCTTTCTAATTCTGATGGCCCTAAGTCAGGCTCTTGTCTTTTGTCCAGCTTCATCTCCCTCCACATCCTATCAGTCTTCCCTCATGCTATGCTGAAAAGCTTGTCACTCCCTAGCTCCCTGAACACATCATGTAGATTGCTACCCTGACGTGTCTCTTTGGTACATTCATCCTAACTCCTACTCATCCTGAAGGCGGAGGCATGTCACCTTTAGGATGTTTTTTCTGATAACCTTTTTCAGGCTTGCTTAGTTCCCATTAAAATTACTGTGTACATTTGTTATCATTGCACTTACATTATTCAGCAGTTATCTCTATATGTTTATTCCCCACTAGCTTGTGTACTCTGAGGTGAAAACCACATTTTATCCATCTCTTTTTTTTTTCCTTGAGTTAAACTCAGTACCTAGTTTTATAAATGTTTACTGAATGAGAAAACATGGAAATGAGTAAATAACTTACAGGTAATCAGAGAACAGAGGTAGGGAAAACAGAACAAGCAAGGACCCTAATATATGTTCAGGTATTTTCATTTAGGGACCTAGATCAGCTAGCTATAGACTTAACCATTCTTTTCTGCATACAAAAGCTTTAGTTTATGTTCATATTTTTTCCTGAATCAGGTCCTTAATATACTAACCAGTAAAGAAATAGAGGTGAATAACCCAAATTACTGGAAAGAAAAAATATAGGCTATCTTTTAAAATAATCTTATTTTGGAATAATTTTAGATTTACAGAAAAGTTGCAAAGATAGTACAGAGTTCCCATATACCCTTCACCCAGTTTCCCCTAATGTTAACACCTTACATAACCAAGGTGCATTTGTCATAAATAAGAAAGTAACACTGGCACGTTATTATTAATAAAACGCCAGTCTTTATCAGATTTCACTGGTTTTCTACTAATGTCCTTTTTCTGTTCCAGGAGCATTGCAATTCAGAATACCATATTGTATTTAGTGTGTGTTTTTTAAAATCAAATATTGACTTGATTTTGAATAAGAAAAACAGCTTCAAAAAGTGATTAAACATCTTGGCCATTCTTCCTGTTTTCTTTCTCTGACATGTGATGGATAGGCCGGCCCTCCTTTCCTGGTCTCAGCCAGGAAGAGCACAGCAAGGAAAGTCCTCTTCACTGGCTGTCATAGCTGTTCCCTCATGTGGGCTGAGAATATTTCAATCAGGTCAGCACACAGTTTCTAAAGAAAAGAAACTGAGGTAGAGTAGAGATCATTGCAAAGATAACAACCAGGAATAAAAAGCATCCTGAGTTGGTGTTTCAAAAGGGTCACAGGAGGATTGAAAGTTCTCAAATATTCTCCAAGAGGCTTTTGTCCTGAAGCCTAGCTTGCTGCCACGGATTAGAAAAAAAGAGCTGCAGGAGGAGACCGTGAGGATGGTAAGAGTCTCTGCTGCTGTCAAAGCCCAGTCAGAGAGGCAGGGCCCAGGGAAAAGGAACAAAGACGCCAGGAGGGAGTCTGATTGCAGCCAAAGAACCTGTTAAGGTGCACAGGCATTAAAAACAGAAAATAAGGAGATCATTTGCTGCTAATTTCTGTGTTCCCGGGCTTTATAAGATAGACAGTGGTATATTTAGGGAGAGGTGGTAAACTAAGCACTTTGGAAAGTTTGAAAGCAGACACCATGCAGAGACTATTCTGAAGGCAAAGAAAAGCTGACCATTTTGCTTGATGATAAAGAGAGGATTTTATTCCAGTTAGAACAGTCACTTAAGGCCAATCAGGGTACCTGAACAGGTGCTGTGAGTGTAGGCTGTTAGCTAAGGTACCTTCCTGGCATTGTCAACCCTGCTTGGTTTTAGGAATCTGCAACTCAAAGAAAAGTGAAGAAGATCCTGAAGGAAGCATGGGGGAAGCTGCAGATGATGAAAGAGTTATGAAAGTCATGGCAAAAAATCTGGACCAACTCATCTGTAGATAAAAAGCCAAGGGAAGACTTTAGATAACATACTTTAAGAATTTGAAAGGCTCAAACTCAAGGGCTGGCAGACAGCCATTTCGCAGTGAGGGCAGAGTGAAAGAAAACATGCCTTGCTGCAGCTTGAGAGATTTAAGTCAGACATAGGAATACATTTTCTGACTAAGACAGTAAAGGTTATCAGGCACAGGACTAGGTTTCTGAAGCAGGTTATCAAATCCCATGCCCTAAGTGTTTTCTCAAATTCCCTTCATTTGGGGCATATTTAAATGGAAGTAAGCTGGTATTTTAGATATTTCCGCATTTTCTTTGAGGTGCAAAGGTGACAAAGGATTTAATTTTTTTTTAAAGAAAGGGAACAGGTGTTATGCTTGAAAAATATTAATTGGATAAATTTAGAAAGAAAAAAAAACTTTAGGTAAGTTTTTACCATTGACTATCCCTGAATCCTATCTATATATAAATATATTTATAAATATATATATTTATATATATATAATTTCTTCTTTAAAAAAGAGGGGGCTGGTGGGCACAGTGGCTCACGCCTGTATTCCCAGCACTTTGGGAGGCCAAGGGTAGGCGGATCACCTGAGGTCAGGAGTTCAAGACCAGCCTGGCCAACGTGGTGAAACCCTGTCTCTATTAAAAATACAAAAAAAAATCAGCGGGGCATGGTGGCGGGCACCTGTAATCCCAGTTACTCGGGAGGCTGAGGCAGGGAGAATTGCTTGAACCCGGGAGGTGGAAGTTGCAGTGAGCCGAGATCATGCCACTGCACTCCAGCCTGGGCGACACAGCGAGACTCCATCTCAGGGAGGAAAAAAACAAAAAAAAAAAACAAAAAATGGGATACAAGTGCAGATTATGCAGGTTCGTTACACAGGTATATGTGTGCCATGGTGGTTTGCTGCACCTACTGACCCACCCTCTAAGATCCCTCCCCTCACTCCCCAACCCCCAGCAGGCCCTGTGTGTGTTGTTCCCGTTCCCCCTTCTGTGTCCATGTGTTCTCAATGTTCAACTCCCACTTGTGAGTGCAAACGTGGTGTTTGGTTTTCGTTCTTGTGTTAGTTTGCTGAGGATGATGGCTTCTAGCTTCAAGGATATGATCTCATTCCTTTTTATGGCTGCATAGTATCCCATGGTGGATACGTACCACATTTTCTTTTATCCAGTCTATGATTGATGGGCATTTGGGTTGGTTCCATGTCTTTGCTATTGTAAATCGTGCTGCAATAAACATACATGTGCATGTGTCTTTATAGTAGAATGATTTATTTTGGGGGGTATATCAAATGGTATTTCTGGTTCTAGATCCTTGAGGAATCGCCATACTGTCTTCCACAATGGTTGAACTAATTTACATTCCCACCAACAGTGTAAAAGCGTTCCTATTTCTCCACAGCCTCGCCAGCATCTGTTGTTTCCTAACTTTTTAATAATTGCCATTCTGACTGGCATGAGATGGTATCTCACTGTGGTTTTGATTTGCATCTCTCTGATGATCAGTGATGTTGTGTTTTTTTTCATATGTTTGTTGGCCGCATAAATGTCCTTTTGAGAAGTGTCTGTTCCTATCCTTTGCCCACTTTTTCGTGGGGTTTTTCTTGTAAATATGTTTAAGTTCCTTGTAAATTCTGGACATTAGACCTTTGTCACATGGGTAGATTGCAACAATTTTCTCCCATTCTGTAGGTTGCCTGTTCACTCTCATGATAGTTTCTTTTGTTGTGCAGAAGCTCTTTAATTACCTATGCCTATGTCCTGAATGGAACTGCCTAGGTTTTCTTCTAGGGTTTTTATGGTTTTGGGTTTTACATTTATGTCTTTAATCCATCTTGAGTTAATTTTTGTGTAAGGCATAAGGAAGGGGTCCAGTGTCAGTTTTCTGCATATGGCTAGCTAGTTTTCCCAGCACCACTTACTGAATAGGAGATCCTTTCCCCATTGCTTGTTTTTGTCAGGTTTGTTGAAGATCAGATGGTTGTAGATGTGTGGTGTTATTTCTGAGGTTCTTGCCCCATTAGTCTATACGTCTGTTTTGGTACCAGTACCATGCTGTTTTGGTTATTGTAGCCTTGTAGTATAGTTTGAAGTCAGGTAGCATGATGCCTCCAGCTTTGTTCTTTTTGCTTAAGATTGTCTTGGCTATATGGGGTCTTCTTTGATTCCATATGAAATTTAAAATAGTTTTTTTCTAATTCTGTGATGAATGTCAATGGTAGTTTGATGGGACTAGCATTGAATCTATAAATTACTTTGGACAGTATGGCCATTTTCACAATATTGATTCTTCCTATCCATGAGGATGGAATGTTTTTCCATTTGTTTGTGTTCTGTCTTATTTCCTTAAGCAGTAGTTTGTAGTTCTCCTTGAAAAGGTTCTTCACATCCCTTGTCAGCTGTATTCCTAGGTAGGTATTTTATTCTCTTTGCAGTGATTGTGAATGGGAGTTCATTCATGATTTGGCTCTGCTTGCCTGCTGTTGGTGTAAAGGAATGCTTGTGATTTTTGCACATTGATTTTGTGTCCCAAGACTTTGCTGAAGTTGCTTATCAGTTTAAGGAGTTTTGGGACTGAGGTGATGGGGTTTCCTACATATTAAATCATGCCATCTGTGAACAGACACAACTTGACTTCCCCTCTTCCTATTTGAATACCCTTTCTTTCTTTCTCTTGCCTGATTGCCCTGGCCAGAACTTCAAATACTATGTTGGATAAGAGTGGTAGGAGGGGGCATCCTTGTCTTGTACCAGTTTTCAAAGGGAATACTTCCAGCTTTTGTTCATTCAGTGTGATATTGGCTGCGGGTTTGTTATAAATAGCTCTTATTATTTTGAGATGTGTTCTATCAATGACTTGCGTATGTTGAACCAGCCTTGCATCCCAGGAATGAAGCCGTCTTGATCATGGTGGATAAGTTTTTTGATGTGCTGCTGGATTCAGTTTGCCAGTATTTTATTGAGGATTTTCACACTGATGTTCATCAGGGATATTGGCCTGAAGTCTTCTTTTTTTTGTTATACCTCTTCCTGGTTTTGGTATCAGGATAATGCTGGCTTCATAAAATGAGTTAGGGAAGAGTCCCTCTTTTTCAGTTGTTTGGAATAGTTTCAGAAGAAATGGTACCAGCTCCTCCTTGTATTTCTAGTAGAATTCAGCTGTGAATCCGTCTGGTCCTGGGCTTTTTTTGGTAGGCTATTAATTACCCAATTTCAGAGCTTATTATTGGTCTATTCAGGGATTTGACCTCTTCCTGGTTTAATCTCGGTAGGGTGTATGTGTCCAGGAATTCATCCATTTCTTCTAGATTTTCTAGTTTATTTTTGCATAGATGTGTTTTTAGTATTCTCTGATGGTAATTTGTATTTCTTGGGGTCAGTGGGGATATCCCCTTTATCATTTTTTATTGTGTCTATTTGATTCTTCTCTCTTTTCTTCTTCTTTATTAGTCTAGCTAGCAATCTATTTGTTAATTTTTTCAAAAAAACAGCTCCTGGATTCGGTGATTTTTTGGAGTGTTTTTGTGCCTCTATCTCCGTCAACTCTTCTCTGATCTTAGTTATTTCTTGTCTTCTACTAGCTTTTGGATTAGCTTGCTCTTGCCTCTCTAGCTCTTTTAATTGTGATGTTAGGGTGTTGATGTGAGATCTTTCTAGCTTTCTGATGTGGGCATTTAGTGCTATACATTTCTGTCTTAACGCTGCTTTAGCTGTGTCCCAGAGATTCTGGTACGTTGTCTCTTTGTTCTCATTGGTTTCAAAGAACTTCTTGATTTCTGCCTTAATTTCATTATTTACCCAGGAGTCATTCAGGAGCAGGTTGCTCAATTTCCATGTAATTGTGTGGTTTTGAGTGAGTTTCTTAATCCTGAGTTCTAATTTGATTGCACTGTGGTCTGAGAGACTGTTTCTTATGATTTCAGTTCTTTTGCATTTGCTGAAGTGTTTTACTTCCAATTATGTGGTCAATTTTAGAATAAATGCCAGGTGGCACTGAGAAGAATATATATTCTGTTGATTTGGAGTAGAGAGTTCTGTAGATGTCTACTAGGTCCACTTGATCCAGAGCTGAGTTCAAGTCCTGAATATCCTTGTTAATTTTCTGTCTCGTTGATCTGTCTAATAATACTGACAGTGGGGTGTTAAAGTCTCCCACTATTATTGTGTGGGAGTCTAAGCCTCTTTGTAGGTCTCTAAGAACTTGTTTTATGAATCTGGGTGCTCCTGTACTGGGTGCATATATATTTAGAATAGTTAGCTCTTCTTGTTGAATTGTTCCCTTTACCATTATGTAATGTCCTTCTTTGTCTTTTTTGATCTTTGTTGGTTTAAAGTCTGTTTTGTCAGAGACTAGAATTGCAACCCCTGCTTTTTTTTTCTTTCCATTTGATTGGTAAATTTTTCTCCATCCTTTTATTTTGAGCTTTACATGTCTTTGCATGTAAGATGGATCTCCTGAATACAGCACACCAATGGGTCTTGACTTTATCCAATTTGCCACACTGTGTCTTTTAATTGGGGCATTTAGCCCATTTACACTTAAGGTTAGTATTGCTATGTGTGAATCTGATCCTGTCATCATGATGCTATTTGGTTATTTTGCACAATAGTTGATGCAGTTTCTTCATAATGTCATTGGTCTTTATATTTTGGTGTGTTTTTGCAGTGCCTGGTACTGGTTTTTCCTTTCCATATTTAGTGCTTCTCTCAGGAACTCTTACAGGGCAGGACTGGGGGTAACAAAACCCCTCAGCATTTGCTTGTCTGAGAAGGATTTTATTTCTCCTTCACTTATGAACCTTAGTTTGGCTGGATATGAAATTCTGGGTTGAAAATTCTTTTAAGAATATTGAATAGGCCAGGTGTGGTGGCTCACGCCTGTAATCCCAGGACTTTGGGAGGCAGAGGAGGGTGGATCATGAGGTCAGGAGATCGAGACCATCCTGGCTGACATGGTGAAAACCCATCTCTACTAAAAAATGCAAAAAAATCGCCAGGGGTGGTGATGGGTATCTGTAGTCCCAGCTACTCAGGAGGCTGAGGCAGGCGAATGGCATGAACCCAGGAGGCGGAGCTTGCAGTGAGCCGAGATCACGCCACTGCACTCCAGCCTGGGCGACAGAGCGAGACTCCATCTCAAAAAAAAAAAAAAAAAGAGAATATTGAATATTGGCCTCCAGTCTCTTCTGGCTTGTAGAGTTTCTGCTGAGAGATCCATGTTAGTCTGATGGGCTTCCCTTTGCAGGTGACCTGGCCTTACTCTCTGGCTGCCCTTAACAGTTTTTCCTTCATTTCAACCTTGGAGAATCTGATGATTATGTGTCTTGGGGTTGATCTTCTCATGGAGTATCTTAATGATGTTCTCTGTATTTCCTGAATTTGCACGTTGGCCTGTCTTGCTAGGTTGGGGAAGTTCTCCTGGATAATAACCTGAAGTGTGTTTTCCAGCTTGTTTCCATTCTCTCCATCTCCTTCTGGTATCCCAATCAATTGTAAGTTTGGTCTTTTTACGAATTCCCATATTTCTTGGAGGCTTTGTTCATTCCTTTTCATTCTCTCTATTCTTGTCTGCATGTCTTATTTCAGTAAGGTGGTTTTCAAATTCTGATATCCTTTTTTCTGCTTGGTCGATTCAGCTATTGATACTTGTGTATGCTTCACCAAGTTCTCGTGCTGTGTTTTTCAGCTCCATTAGGTAATTTATGTTCCTCTAAACTGGTTATCCTAGTTAGCAGTTCCTCTTACCTTTTATCAAGGTTCTTAGCTTCTTTGCATTGGGTTAGAACATGCTCCTTTAGCTCAGTGTAGTTTTTTATTACCCATCTTCTGAAGCCTACTTCTGTCAATTCATCCATCTGACCCTCTGTCCAGTTCTGTGCCCTTGACAGAGAGATGGTGCAATCATTTGGAAGAGAAGAGGCACTCTTGCCTTTTGGGTTTTCAGCATTTTTCATTGATTCTTTCTCATCTTTGTGAGTTTGTCTAGTCTCAGTCTTTGAGGCTGCTGACCCTTGGATGGGTTTTTTGTGGGGGCCTTTTGTTGTTGTTGATGATGCATTGTTGTGGCTTTCTGCTTGTTTGTTTTTCTTTCAATAGTCAGGTCCCTCTTCTGCAGGGCTGCTGCAGTTTGCGGGGGTTCACTTCAGGCCCTATTCATCTGATTCACTCCAGTGCCTGGAGATGTCACTCAAGGAGGCTGGAGAACAGCAAAGATGGATGCCTGGTCCTTCTTCTGGGACCTCTGACCTCAAGAGGCACCAACCTGATGCCAGCAGGATCCCTCCTGTATAGGGTGTCTGACAACCCCTGTTGGAGGGTGTCACCCAGTTGAGTGGCACGGGGAGCAGGACCCATTTAACAAAGCACTTTGTCCCTTGGTGGAGGGGGTGTGCTTTGCTGGGGGAAACCCACTCATCTGGGCTACCCAGATTCCTCAGAACTACCAAGAGGAGAGGCTAAGTTTGCTGGTCCACAGAGACTGCGGCCACACCTCCCCCTAGAGGCTCAGGCCCAGGGACATCCAGATTCTGTCCCTAAGCCTCTGGCTGAAGTTATTGGAGTTCCTGCAGGGAAGCCTCACCCAATGAGTAAGGATGGGTCAGGGTCAGGCCTGAAGGGACACTGGCCACAAACTAACACAGCCGGTCTGTTGGGCTGTGGGGACAAGTCTTGGGACCAAGCTGTCCAGCCTCCCTGGCTCCAGCAGGGAAAAAGTACAGCCTGGACGTATAGAAATGGGTGCCGCCCTTCCCCCGCCCAGGGAGCTCAGCGTGTTAGGCAGTGCGAATCCCAGTGCAGGCTGCTGTCCCTCCCGCAAGGAGCTCAAACAGCTGAGACAGCAGGCAGCCACAGTGGGTGCTGGCTGCCCCTCCCCTGCGGGGGTTCTGTAGGCTTAAGCTGACTCCAGCTGAGAGGCTGTAAGAATGTGCTCGTGGCCAGGCACAGTGGCTCATGCATATAGTCCCAGCACTTTGGGAGGCCGAGGCGGGTGGATTGCCTGAGGTCAGGAGCTCGAGACCAGCCTGGCCAACATAGTGAAACCACATCTCTACTAAAAAATACAAAAAAAATCAGCTGGGCATGGTGGCAGGTGCCTGTAATCCTAGCTACTCAGGAAACTGAGGCAGGAGAATTGCTTGAACCTGGGAGGCAGAGGTTGCAGTGAGCTGAGATTGCGCCATAGCACTCCAGCTTGGGCAACAAGAGCGAAGCTCCATCTCAAAAAAAAAAAAAAAAAAAAAAGAATGTGCACATTCTGGGGTTGGGACGCTAGGCCCTGGTGGGTGGCTTGGGTTCGTGAGTGGAAAAGCACAGTTTTCTCTGGGGGGATAGTGCGCTCACTCACCACCTCCCTTGGCTGGGGGGAGGGGGTTCCCCTGCCCCGTGTGGCTCTCAGCTGGGCTGCGGTACTACACTGTTCTTCCTTCTCTCCGTGGGTCACGCCAGCCCTCTAGTCAACTTTGATGAGAGAACCTGGATACCTGGTTGCCAGTGAAGGATTCACACGCTTATTATGGGTTTTTTCCATGGGAGCCTCCAAAAGCCGCTGCTTCTAGTCAGCCATCTTGGCCCCACCCCTATTCCTGGATCCTTTCTTAAGGTTTTTCAGGCCTCTTTAAATGATTATATTCTCTTATCTCCTTTTTTATGCATAAAATTAGAGACTTATGGTCCTCTTGTGTGTGATTTCCTGATAAAACCCCTCTCTTTGTTATAGAGAAAACAAATAAATACATGAGATATCAAAAAAGATATAAATTGAACCAGTTTACTCTGTATTTACATAAACACTTGGAAGAATGAAAGTGCTTGAGGCATAAAATTATTCATGCCTATTTTAAAAGGTTTCCATTTATGAAAAAAAAAGAGAATGTCATAGTGGAATAAAGTATCACCAGTTTTAAAATAGTCGACTGAAAAATGTTAAATCTTATCTTGATTACAAATTGTTGAAGGGAAGGAATTATGCATATTTATATTGATATAAGGACTGTGAAGTACTTGATCACCCACATAGAAAGCCAAAATATTGAAACTACGTACAATACCTGACTGCAGAGCCACAAGAGGAAACATCAGACTACTATTCTGGTGCAAAGCAAAGCTTTTTAAACTATGGGTTTAGAACAGTGGTTCCCAGCTGGAGGCAATTTTATTCCCCCAAGGGACATTTCAC
The DNA here is from genome assembly GCF_000001405.40 of Homo sapiens. Taxonomy (NCBI): domain Eukaryota; kingdom Metazoa; phylum Chordata; class Mammalia; order Primates; family Hominidae; genus Homo; species Homo sapiens. Next base: position 151,916,804 of record NC_000002.12, read on the forward strand.
AATGTCCAGAGACATTTTTCATTCTCACAATTGGGAGGAGGAGTTGGTACTGACATCTGGTGGGCAGAAGCCAGGAAAGGTACGAAACACCCTGCAATGCACAGGACAGGTCTCCCCAACCAATCATTATCTAGTCGGAAATGTCAGCGGTGCCAAAGTTCAGACACTCTGGTATAAAACCACTAGGTCTCCTTAATATGCGGTTTGCTTTTTCAAAATTAAATGGATATATTTAGAAACATGTTTGTGTTTTTCTCATTAACAAGAAACTATTTACCAACCAAACAAATATAGCTTTCCTTTAAAACAAATGCTTCAATAAGAAGGCAGCTAGGATGTGGGGGTATTAATACAATGTTAAACAATATGTATAAACTGAGTTTGGGTCATATGCCCCTTGAATATCATATCCCTGCTATGAAAGACTGAAATCATAATGGATAAAAAGATGACTGCCAATTTGGAAGGCACCGGGAAAACTCAAGCAAAACCTGTTTGGCTCTTAGTATAATCCCTATATAAGACAGGTTCTGGAGTATAAGGAATAGAAAACAAACACCTGGAAGGACTCTTCCCAAGGTGAGCTCGGGTCTAGACATGTGGGTTAATAAAGCGTACTGCCACACAGGATTGTGGACTAAGTAAGGCAATCCACATAAAGAGCTCCGCACAGGGCAGACCCAGTAAATGTTTAAAAATATATTTGCTACAGTGAGGATGATGATGAATACCAGATATACACAAGATTTCTGGCCAGGTGCAGTGGCTCATGCCTGTAATCTCAGCACTTTGGGAGGCTGAGGCAGGTGGATCACCTGAGGTCAGGAGTTCGAGACCAGCCTGGCCAACATGGTGAAACCCCATCTCTACTAAAAATACAAAATTAGCAAGGCATGGTGGCAGGTGCCTGTAATCCCAACTACTTGGGAGGCTGAGGCAGGAGAATTGCTTGAACCCAGGAGGTGGAAGTGCAGTGAGCTGAGATTGCACCACTGCACTCCAGCCTAGGCGACAAAGTGAGACACTGTCTCAAAAAAAAAAAAAAAAAAGAACATTTCTGAAATGAACACTGTAGTTTACCCCTAAACTTCTCCTTCCATATGCTTTGGCTATGCACTACTAGAAAGGCATTAAAGAGAAAGTTGGCTGGAAACCCCAATGCACTGACAACTAAAGGAGGTCTTTTATCTTAACTCCCCCTCTCAATATGGCAGAAACAAATGTTTTGAAACAAAAGTGAAAAAGGCTGGGGGGGAAAAGGGTGCTACTGAGTTCCACATTAAGATACAACAGCCACCCTCAACCATATGTACTGGTTTGTTATCTGCCAAAATATGTAGTTGGCCATTATGAAGGCATTGCCCATGCTTTCAAGTTGCCACAAAGCATATATTAATATTTATTTTTTATTACAGTAGTCATTCAGCATTGATTGAAGTCTATTATATCATTTGCTCAGTCAACAAGTACGTACTAAGCATTCAACTACAGGTAGGACACCATGGGAGTTGCAAAGATCTATACAATTTTGTCTTTCCTCCCAAATTGCTTACAATCAGGTAAAGAGAACAGTTAACCTGTGGTTAGCAAGAGACAAATCTGGGTGGCTCCGGAGACTCATTTCCTTCCCTCTTTTGCTAGCTTAGCAGAAAGCTGGCTCAGCTAAACAAATGAACAAAAAAATAGGCTGATACCAACCACTGGGCTCCAGGGGCTTTCCTTCTCCAATAAGGGCACTTCCCTGATCAGAGAGCCTCCACTGTTACACAAGCACATAGATGCTCCCTGCCTACTGACCCTATAAATAGTAGAGCTTTATCTACCAGAGCTGTGGCTATGGTGCATACAGATATCCATGCCTAGCCTAGGATGCAGGTTGAGAGTTCAAGGGATTGTGTGCGTACTGCTACATGGCTGCTTATGAATTCTCCTCCAAATCAAACCTATATCTGCATTGTGTAGCATTAGCACTGCATGCAAGCAACCCCTCGCACATAGGCAGAACTGACAAAGGCAGCACATCCAGAGATGCAAATATCATGTTCACCATATCAACATTCCGACTTCATACAGATTTTATAAAATTTTAAATGTTTCCATTTGTATAGTACAAATTTGGATAATCATTCACTGAAAGCCTTCCTAAATCAAAAGGTATGTAGGAGGGCTGAATGAATCCCTGTTCTCTGAAGTTCCGTAATATATGGAAGGTGTGATTTCGCCTAGAGCCAACCACAGGGGTAAGTTCTCTTTAGGGGTGAGCCTTGAACCTTGACCAGGGTAGCCTCAGGAGGGGTGTTTCAAAGGAGAGATCATGTTCAGTTCTACATTGATCTGGGGCCATACTAAGTTAGGCCTTCTGGGAATTCTCTCTAACAGTCCAGGTTTTGCCAAAGAGGGATGGCATGAGGATTGTCTTCTCTTTTTACTTTTCTTTTCTTTGAGTGAGACAAGGTCTCACTCATTCATCCAGGCTGGAGTACTGTGGCACAGTCATAGCTCACTGCAGCCTCACACTCCTGGGCTCAAGTGATCCTCCTGCCTTGGCCTCCCAAAGTGTTGGGATTAGAGATGTTAGCCACCGCGCCCAGCCTGTATGAGGATTCTGAGGACAAAACATGCTTTCCAAGCTACAGGCAGGCTTATATCCCTCATTACAGCCATCACCAGCCATGCTGTCACCTCCAGGGTGAGATTGAGGCAAGAGAGGTCTAAGATGCAAAATGTAACAGGGCACTCCTACCTCACTCTTAAGGGGGCACTCCCCCTCAGGGTCCTGCAAGTACAGGGATGGCTTGTGATAGTCCAGAGAGAGAGCGCCTCCTCAAATGTCTACTTAGGCTCCTCACTGCCTCGCCATACTCCCAGCCCTGTTTACCTCTCCTTTTTTGCCTCCCTCCTACCTTGACGCCCCCCTTAATTTGTACATCATTCCTCCATGTACACTTTTAATAACCAGGATCTAGCCATGCCAAAAGAAATCATTAAGACTGGATCCACCTTAAAAGAGGTATGACTTAAGTGCAAGTTTGGAAAACAAACAAACAAACAACAACAACAACAACAAAACCTGAATTATTTCCTCACACAAAAACTAGAATATATCTTGGAAAGTTCAGACGAGACTCACTTCCTAAATAGCTCATTTTTCTTCCTGTCCATGACAACCACAAAAGCCAACTATAAAGCCATTTGGCAATGGTTGTGATTTCCAAGTTAAATGCCTTGCAATTAGCTCCTCCTATATGTTTGTTAATCCTATTATGGCAACCTAATAAGTGTCACACCAATTTAGAAATTATTAGGTGTCAGAATGTGTTTTTCCTTTGTAAATAGAAATAGAACAATTTCTATTTCTATTGTAATAGGAATAGAACAATTTCTATTTCTATTGTAATAGGAATAGAACAATTTCTATTTCTATTGTAATAGGAATAGAACAATAGTAAAATGATTTCATTTTATGTTTATTTTTTACTTTACCAGTCTAGAGTCTTTTCTTCTTCTTCTTCTTCTTTTTTTTTTTTTTTTTTTTTGAGACAGGTTCTTGCTCTGTTGTCCACAACGGAGGTACAGTGGCACAATGTTGGCTCACTGCAGCCTCGACCTCTTGGGCTCAAGTGATCCTTCCGCCTCAGCCTCTTGAGTAGCTGGGACTACAGGCACGTGCCACCACACCTGGTTAATTTTTGTATCTCATTTATTTATTTATTTGTAGAGACAGGCTCTTGCTATGTTTCCCTGGCTAGTCCTGGCCTCAAGCAATCCTCCCACCTTGTCCTCCCAAAGTGCTGGGGTTACAGGCATGAGCACTATGCCAGGCCCAGTCTAGAGTCTTTGTAGTAACCTCAGCATGTATCAGTCTATTGTACTTTGTAATTTGGTTCCCTCTTTACCAAAGAAGAATTTCCATCTAAACATGCAACCATATTTTGTGATCAGGATCATAATTGACAAGTAAGACAGTGTTAAGTGGCAAGGTCATAATGTATCTTCAGGATTTTGAGAGCTGCCTTAGAATCCTTAGCTTTTGCCATCTTAAAACTTACTTGAGGCCAGGCACGGTGACTCACGCCTGTAATCCTAGCACTTTGGGAGGCCAAGGCGGACGGATCACGAGGTCAGGAGATCAAGACCATCCTGGCTAACACAGTGAAACCCCGTCTCTACTAAAAATACAAAAAGAAATTAGCTGGGCATGGTGGTGGGCACCTGTAGTCCCAGCTACTTGGGAGACGCAGGAGAATGGCGTGAACCCGGGAGGTGGAGCCTGCAGTGAGCCAAGATCGTGCCACTGCACTCCAGCCTGAGCAACAGAGCAAGACTCCGTCTCAAAAATAAATAAATAAATAAATAAATAAATAAATAAATAAATAAATAAGTTAAAAAAAAACACCTTACTTGATTGGTTTAGGAATTTGAGAGCTTCACAAACATTATCCCATGAAAACAAGGCATAGTTTCATCATCTAAAAAATGATGACAGCTGCAAATGCCAAATAATGAATATCAAATGGTGAATCTTGGTTTAAAACAACATGAACGACAGCAGATGAGCCACACTAATCTAGTCATGCCTCACTGACCTTTCTTCATCTAAGAGTTTATTACTTACCTATTGCTGCTGTAAGAATGACCACAAACTTAATGGCTTAAGCCAACACAAGTTTAATATTTTGTAGTTCTGGATGTCAGAAGTCCAAAATGTATCTCACTGGCCTAAAATCAAGGTGTCAGCAGGACTGTGTTCCTTCTGGAGGCTCTAAGGGAGGATCTGTTTCCTGGCCTTTTCCAGCTTCTAAAGCCAGCCACCTCCCTTGGCTCATAGGCCCCTTCCTCCATATTTGATATGGTTTGGCTCTGTTTCCCTACCCAAATTTCATGTTGAATTGTTATTCCCAGTGTTGGGGGAGGGTTCTGGTGGAGGGCGATTGGATTATGGGGCTGATTTTTCCCTTGCTGTTCTTGTGATAGTGAGTTCTCACGAGATCTGGTTATTTAAAAGTGTGTGGCACTTCGCCCTTTTCTCTCTCTCTCCTGCTCCACCACGGTTAAGATGTGCCTGCCTCCCCTTCCCCTTCGCCTTCCGCCATGATTCTAAGTTTCCTGAGGCCTCCCAGCCATGCTTCCTGTACAGCCTTCAGAACTGTGAGTCAAACCTCTTTTCTTCATAAACTACCCAGTCTCAGGTAGTTCTTTATAGCAGTGTGAGAATGGACTAATACAATATTCAAAAAAGTAATGTCAGACTGAGTCATCCTCACAATGCCATCTCTCTTGTTCTCTCTCTTCTGCCTCCCTCTTCCACTCACAAGAACCCAAGTGATTACATAAGACTCACTGGGATAATCCTGTACAATCTCCCCATCTCAAGGTCAACTGATAAGTAAATTTACCTTTTTATTTATTTTATTTTTGAGATGGGGGTCTCCCTCTATTGCCTAGGTTAGAGTCAATGACATGATCATAGCTCATTGCAGCCTCATCCTCCTGGGCTCAAGGGATCTTCTCACCTCTGCATCCTAAGTAACTGGGACTATAGGCGTGTGCTGCCTTGGCTGGCTAATTTTATAATTTTTTGTAGGGATGGAGTCTTGCTGTGTTGCCCAGGCTGGTCTTGAACTCCTGGCCTCAAGCAATCCTGCTGGCTCCACCTCCCAAAGTGCTGGGATTAAAAGCGTGAACTATGATACCCAGTTAATAAGCAACTTTAACTCCCATTTCTCATGAAACCCAACATATTCACAGATTCCAGGGATTAGTATGTGGACATCTTTGGGCAGCCATTGTTCTGCCCAGCATGAGGAGTTTAGATGAAATTTGCCCTGTGTGAGGCAGGGGCTTATATGATTCATGACATTTCCAGTATCAGATCTTTGGCATGTATAGTCTGAAGTTTTCTGACAATCAGAACTTTCCAAAAGATATTTACCAAGACAGTTGCAGTTTGTGGACTCCAGCAGCTGGTAAAACTCACAAATCCTGTTTTCATTCTAATATTTTTTAGACCTTTTGAATTTTGCAAGTCAGTTTCATAAAACATTGAGTTGATTCCTAAAAGATCAAATGTAGTCAATACTGAGCGTTTGTTGATTTTGCCTACTGCAAAAGAACCTCAAGTTGGAATCTCTCTACATTCATATTTGTGAGTCTATGAGGATTGCCAGCTTGTCTTAAGGAACTGTGCTCACTCCCTGCCCAGTTGTGCAATACCCAGAACTCTGAAGAAACAGCAAGGCTGGGCTCATTGCGGACTTGTCTGAATGGGTGTGAGGCAACAGGTGGAACCATGGTGAAATGGAGAGCACATGAAAGTATTTCAGGTAAGCATTATTTTAAGAAATAATAACAACTATGCTCAACCAAACAAAAGCAACTGCAAGTCAGAGTTAGCCTCCAGACTATGTGGTGGCTCCTCCTCCTAGCTATTGCTTCTATTCTGAAACTGGGTCCAACACCTAAACTCCAGAGGACTCCACTACTTTGCTTTTAGACCTCACCTCATTTGCCCTCTCAGTTGCATAGGGCAGGGTGTCCTTAAAGACTCTGCCATCCCATCTTGGTCTTTATTTATGTGCTGGATCTCTCACCTGCTAGCTTGGCTTTCAACACATTGCTGTCTAGACTTGAACTTCCATGCTTTGCTCCCCAGTCTTGGCAGCAGGCCCATGACCCCGTGTAGCCCCTTGCTGAGCACATGACTTGCTGTTATAGAAACTAGGTGCAGGGAGCTGGAGGAAGCCTGGGTGGAGGCCCGGATGGCATCTAGCTGACATTCCATTCTTCAAGTACAAAATATCAGTCTTGGCCAGATAATTTCAGACTGGCCTACAGAATTCTAATGGGAAACGTTTTTGCTAAGCATCAGCCAATAAAAGCTCATTTACAAAATGCAAGAAGAACCATAAGACTAAGGAAACTTGGATTCTATTCCTAACCCTCTTGCAGATTGGCTGGGTAACCCTAGGAAAGTTCCTCACCTCTAAAAATTGATCTGTTTCCTCACGACTAAAATGTGGAAGACTGGGAAATTGTTTCCTGATTTCATGGACCCAACACTAAGTAAAGTAAAATTAAAGCAAGGTAATACTTTCACATACTCAGGCAGTATAATTCGGTAATTTCTAGTAATTCTCCATGAGTTTCCATCTCATCTCCATTCAGAGGGACTGGTTTTTTAATGTGACTCTATGATACATTATATACCTACATAGATACATGCATTTATACATGCATACATACATACGTGCGTGTAATCTATTCTGAAATCTTTTTTTTTTTTTTTTTTTTTTTGAGACAGAGTCTCGCTCTGTCGCCCAGGCTGGAGTGCAGTGGCGCAATCTCGGCTCACTGCTAGCTCCACCTCCCGGGTTCATGCCATTCTCCTGCCTCAACCTCCCGAGTAGCTGGGACTACAGGCGCCCACTACCACTCCCGGCTAATTATTTGTATTTTTAGTAGAGATGGGGTTTCACCGTGTTAGCCAGGATGGTCTTGATCTCCTGACCTCGTGATCTGCCCGCCTCGCCCTCCCAAAGTGTATTCTGAAATCTCTTAAAGTAGATTATAGAAAATTGATTCTGAAATCTCTTACATTGCAGCTATTACTACTATACAATATAATTTATATTGCCACTATATAATATAATTTGTATTATATACATATAATAATATATGGAGGGATCTTCTTACCTCTGCATACTGAGTAGCTGGGACTACAGGTGTGTGCCATCATGGCTGCTATAGTATATATATATAATTACATCATATAATATGTATATATTACACCACCACAGAGAAAAGTTGTAATATGATGAAGGTGAATTACTTATATTAGGAATCCCTAAGAAGCATTCTCAATCCCTGGATGAATAAGAGAAGTTCTGGAATATATTTACCTTAGAAAGTTTTAGGAAGTTTCAGAACAGATTCCACTTTCTGGAATGCCAGACTGGCATTTTTTCAACACAGGGTGTTTATAACACATATGATATCTGTTTTTCATCCTTAGAATTCCAAGCCAACTCCTTTTTGTAACACGGTTGAGGTGTGGTAAGGATAGGTACCCTTTACACATTGTGACAATGATTCTATCGTTTTTTTCAAGGAATCCCACGCAATGCTTCCGGATGAAACTTTCTGACCTATTTAAACAGAGCTGATAATTCCATTTTTATCACCTCTATTATGATATGGATCATATTTGTATTGTACTCAGCTGTTTATTCCTCTGCCTCTCCCACTTATCTGTGATCTCTTTAAGAATATCCATTGGATTTTATTCTTCTTTGTATCCCCAGCACCCAGTGGAGTACCTGGCACATAAAAGCCATTAAACAGTGGTTAGTGAACAAATGACTTAATTAATTGTTAAGGAAAGTTACCTGCACTCTAAGCTACTTGAAGCATTTCTATTATTTTCTGATTTTATAACAGAGAATGAGCAGTAGAAGAATACAGCTATTAGCTAACACATTTTGTATTATTTGGTAGTCACATATCAGAAATAATTCCTTTATATTTGGAGGATGTACGTCCCAATTTCATTTGTACATGTGAAACAATTTCTGAACGTCCTTTAAAAGTAAGGTCCTAAAGTTGAAGTACCATGCTTTTGAAACTGTCTTTCTATGGGTACCAAACCTACAGAGCTGCATTTAAAATCCTATCAAGTTAATGTTTTTGCTGCTGAATGAATTCCATAAGTCACTTATAGGAAAACATCTATCATTTTGGAATCATGTACATTAGCAATCCCTGGTACCTGGAAGAATTTTCAATTTTGTTTGGCAACTGTGCATATTTCTTCTGAATTCAAAGGAGTAGGGTGGATAGGTTGTTTGTAGGATTTGCAAACATCCAAATATAGGGATAGAAAAGAGGAGCAGGGAGGGGGTGGGGAGGGTGGGGAGGCTAGGGTGAAATTCCAGGGAAAGGGCCTTAGAGGCTGGTGTAGGGGGCAACAGCAAGGTGGTGGAGAAGGGTAACATTCAGAATATACTGTGAAGACAGAACTGACAGGACTTGCTGATGGATTGGATGCAGGATGTGAGAAGGAGAGTTAAACCTGAATCCAAGGTGTTTGACCCAAGCAACTAGAAGAATCGACATACCACTTGCTGGGATGTGAAAGACCACAGGAAAAGCAGGTGAACCCAGATCTGGACATGATTAATTTGTTTGCCTATTAAACAACCAAATGGAGGTATTGAGTAGGCAGTTGGAATTCAGGAGATAGGTTAGGACCAAAGTTATAATTTTGGGAGGAATGTTAGAATACATTGAATATTTTAAAGCCTCAAGGATGGATGAGATAAATGAAAGAATGTATATAGGCAGAAAGAGAAGACATTGAAGGACTGAGTGCTGGGTCTCCAAAATCTAGCAGTCAGAAGATGAGGAATCAGTATAGGTATCTGAGAACTAGTTGCCAAAAAAGCCAGAGGAAAACCAAGAGAGTGTGTATCCTTGAAGACAAGTGAAGAAAAGTAAAGAAGAATGATCAGTTTTCTCAAATACTGCTCATAAGGCAAGCAAATCATGGGCCACAGCAATATGGAAGTCATTGGCAACCCTGACAAGAACAGTTTCACTAGATTATGGGGGCAAAAGCCTGATCAGAGCAGACTCAATAAAGGGTGAAGAGAAGTAGAAGGCAGGGAATAGAAAAACTCTGAAATGGAATTTTGCTATAAAAAGCAGAGTCTCTAAAATGAGGGTCCCCAAAGAATCTATGGATAGAATTCAGAGAGCTCAGGGATTTTGATGGAAAAAAAATTACATCTGTATTTTGACTCCTCCCTAATGCAGCATTTTCTTCAACTAATAATATAATAGCAGCATCTGTTACTTCATAGCCTATAGAAATTGTGGATATTTTCATATTACATTATAGTTGTTACATATATCTCAAAACATCATGCTCATTACTATTTCAAATTTACAGTAATTACTGTACCCATCACTAGGTCTCATGTGACTGTGCTCTTCTGCTCTACAAGTGCTCCGATGGAAGGAAACTTCTTATACTGAAGAGTGACAGGTTTTGGAATCAGAAACCTTGATTTAAATCCTTGACTGCTACTTACTAACTTTGCCTTTGGGTGTCTAACTCTCTAAGCCTCAGTTTCTTCATTTGTAACATGCTACCGTATCACAACAGTGGAAAGTTATTTTGATCAGTATATTAATATCCTGTGTTTCTTTTTTAGCCTTATGTTTCACTTTAAGCACTTTAAAACATTATTCTGAGAAGGAGTCCACGGCTTCACCAGACCATTAAAGGTCTTTATGGCACAAAAAAGTTAGGAATTTTTTTGGAAATGTTTCTGAAAATGTAAGGCAGAAATGGATAGGAGAAGGAGAAAGAAACATCCACAGAGGATTTTCTAACATGGGAGAAATAAGAGAATATTTGTATTGCAGATAAGAATGATTCAGTAGAGAGAGGGGAAATTGGTGATGCAGGAGTAGGGAAAACTGCTAAAGCAATGCTCTTGAGCAGGCACAAGGAGATGAATCTAACACACAAGGGGAGAGGCTGGGCTAAGATAGGTATGTGGGCCACTCGTGCAGTTATAGGAGAGAAGGCAGAGAATATGGGCAGAGCCACTCGCTGGGAAGATGTGGTGGAAAGACCCTATGTGGGCTCTATTCTGATTGCTCCCATCTTCTCATTAAAATAAGAAGCAAGGTCATCAGCTGAGACTGAGGATGGGGGAAGAGGTGCTGGAGTTTGGGGAAAGAGCAGAAGGTATGAACAAATTGGTTGTCTAGAAAAGTAGCACAGTGAATGGACTGGTGAGGGGTAACACAACTGGTGAACAGCACTGAAAACTCACTTGAGATCAATGATCACGAACTGCAGGTGAGTCAGCGCAATTGCGTGCTTCACCCAAGTCTTATCCAGCTGCAGCAACGCAGGTGCTGAGTAGGTGGAGGGTTGGATATAATCAGGGTTGTGCAAGTGAAGACAATGCAACAGAACAGCAAGACTGCAAAGAGAGGCTGATGGGCTGGAAAATAAAAAGCTCTGGCACAGTAGCGGTGAGCTTGACCAGACAGATTTATTTCTGCTTTCTGCTTTTCCCCTCACTCCTTCTTTCTTGAGAGTCAAACATAAGAAAAAGGAAAATCTTTGCGCAGGCAGCAGCAGAAACTGAAAGGCCACAGAATGGAGAGGCAGGAGTGGGCTGTGAGTAAGCACAAGCTGGAGCTGGGTATGAGGCAGCAGAACCAGCAGCAGACTTGGCCATGTGAAGGGCTGCACATCAGAGAGAAACTCCATCAGCTCCGGCTGCTCAGGGCATGGCAGAGAACCTGGTTCCTGGGGCTGCTTTGAACTCTAAGTATGAACAGCTATCTATTTCCATTAAAGAGTATAAAAGCAAATGATAGTCATGTATTGCCTAATTTTAAAAGAATACCTTTCTATTACTGAATGACTATCGACTTACAAACAGGAGCTTTTGACCAGTTTGATGCTCCCTTTTACAGCGCTTTCTACATTTTGTGTTAAATTGTAGATACCTGAATACTAAATAGAAGTGTCTGAATAACTCTAATGTAACAGAACCAAAAGCAGCCCCATAAAGGCAAGGACCATGCCTCATTTATTCCTGTGCCTCCTAGGACATCCCTTTGTGTTTGGTAGGCAGTCCCTAAAGGGACAGGTGTGATAACTCTCAAGGGATTACACCCTGATTATATCTCACCCATTTCTACCTCCTTGAGAAACTGAGTTGCCCAAGTAGTCAGAAAGGTAGTTGCGAAATCAAGCTGTGGATATGCAATCTCTGTGCTTCGTTTGGTAAATAGTTCCAAACAAACAAACAAAAAGGCTGGGTGCAGTGACTCATGCTTGTAATTCTAGCACTCTGAGAGGCCAAGGTAGGCACATCACTTTGAGTTCAGGAGTTTGAGACCAGCCTGGGCAACATGGTGAAACCCTGTCTCTAAAAAAATACAAAAATTAGCAGGGCATGGTGGTATGTGCCGGTGGTCCCAGCTGAGGCTGGAGAATCGCTTGAACCTGGGAGGCAGAGGTTGCAATGAGCTGAGATTGTGCTACTGTGCTCCAGGCTGAGTGACAGAGTGAGACCCTGTCTCAAAAAGAAAAAAAAAAAAAACATAATGCAAATGGACTCACTCACTATACTGTCTGAACTCAACAAATAGTTCTTCACTTTCTGCCTCTTTTCAGTAAGCTGGCTTTGGTCTCTAACTCGTGGAGATTCTGCTGAAGATATTGCATTCCAACCCAGAGCTTTGGCTACCTACTGTCATTCCATCTAAGGCTGAAAAGCCATCACAGTGCTTACATAATTCTACTCAGTCCTCCTACTACTCAGGGGGAAGCAAGGAGAGATGGAACCAAGAGGAGACACTATCCTCTAACTTCCAGAAGATGAGGAAAAGTATCTGTAACTTCCAAAAAAAAAAAATCACTGATATGAGTACATTTCAAACATATTTTTACTGCCACTTACAGTAAGAAATTTTACCATATGACCCAGTAAATGCACACACATACGTAAAACTAAAAGGTAAGACTCATAACCCTTACTATATGTAATGTTCTCTGATATTTTTCTATTCTACTTTTACCTCATTTTTAAAAAACTCTGGTCATAATATACCAGAAGGCTTTAATGACCCACAAATGGGTTATAACCTGCAGTTTGAAATCATTAGCCTATGTGAATTAGGAAACAAAAGATACCATTGTCTTTGTTCTGTAATAGCACACAACATTTATCAACATGGAAAATAAATCTCCATAGTGGAAAGGAAGGGGCAACAATTACCATTATTTGCAGATAATATGACTGTATACCTGGGAATTCCAAGAGCATCAACTAAAAAAACTAAGAACTGCATAAATTGATTACTACATTAATATGTTAAAACTAATAGTTTCCTTTTATCCAACTAATAACCTGACAGAGGACAAAGAGAAAAAAACAGCAACCATTTAGGATAAAAACAAAATATGTAGAATACTTGGGGAGAAATTTCCAGGCTCTATATGAAGAAAAACAAATCTCCCCTGATAATCATAAAATAATTGAATAGAAGGTCATGCTTTGTTCTAGGGTGAGAAGACTCAATATAATAAAAATATAATCTTTCCCATATTAAATTTAATATAATCATAATCAAAATACAAACAAGATTTGGGGAACATTTTCACAAAATCATACACAGATTTATACAGAAAAATAAATTCGTGATAAAGACCAGGAAAACTGTCAGGAAAAAATAAGTGAATGGGAGAACTAACCCTGCCAAATATGAAAATGTATTATAAAGCTACAGTAATTGAAACAGTTTAATACTAACCCAGAAACAGACAAAATAACCCTAAACAGAGTTCAGAGAAAGTTCTACGTGTCATATATGGGTGTTTGAATATGGTAAATGAAGCTCTTCAAAACTGAAGTGGGATAAGGAGATGACAGATTAATGATAGATGTTGCAAAAGCTGGCTGGCTTTTGGGGCGAAAAAGTTAGGGTGGATTCCTACTTTGTTATTCTCCTAAAGACTTAAAGGGTAAAAAAATTAAACTAAAATAGTGTCAGAATAAAGTATATAAAACTAAAATTTTTTGATATGGGGAGTATTAAAGCATGATCCAAATCCTTGAAGTCTTAAAAATCATGAATGAATTTGTCAATATAAAATTTAATACACATGACTGCACAAAGATAGTTGTGTAAGGATGTTATCTGCAATATTGGTTGTAATTGCAAAGCACTGAGAACTGCATACCTGCTCATTAGTAGGGGATTGGTGAAACAAATATTATGACACAACCCAGCAGAGGATTGCTAGGCAGAAGCTGATAACAATGGGGTAGATCTAGAAGTACTGATATGGAAATGGGTTAAAGGTAATATTGTTTACTGAAAAGGAAAAGTTCCAGAACACTCTATACTCCTTTATTTTTTAAACCCATTTATTTTTACATATGTATGTATATGTACATGCATATATTTACATACAGTATATATGTAATATTTACATATAGTTCATTATGTAATATATGTAGCATAATACTCTCTATAATATTCTACAACATTCATTTGCCCACTTAATACATCATGAAGATAGGAAGTGGTTGTTATCAACTACTTATGGGAATTAGAATTATGGGACTCTAGATCTTTACTTGATAGTTCATATCCTTCTACACTATTTGAAGTTTGTTTTTATCATGATCTTTTAAAAAGCAGAAAACACAAAACATGCCAGAACCATATCTAAGTAAGGCATACTCCCTCTTCCCCCATTTTCTGTTTCATCAGTTAAAATATATAAACCTATAAACCCATTTCCTCTGGTTGAATTCTCAGGTTATCCCAGGTCACTGCAGTATACCAGCTGGCTATTGATCAAGAATTGCTAAGGAATCTGTCCTGTGCTTGCTCCAAAAGTAGAACCAGTTTATATGAGTAATGCTAACTAGTCACTGGAATACAGTATCTGGAAGCCTATTACTGATATTTCTATAGACAAACTAAGCCCCGAAGTTGCCCTAAAGTGGCAAGTAACATTTAGTTAAGCTTAGCTTTAAAATCCAGGGTCTGTTTACTGTGTTCTAATTATTTTTCCTGAATGGCCTGCTTATCCAGTCTAGTTGGCAACAGCATGTGTAGTATGTGACACATAAAGGCTTACTTTCAGGCTCACAAAAGGAACATGGCAACATCAAATTCATGACATTCAGACATCATTAAATTACAGGCTCAAAGAAGCTCCCAAAGCACATTTGGAAGCTCCCCCTTGGTCCCAGGAACTCTCTGGCATTTTTATGAAGGCATAAGGCAACCAAGTGGCAATGGGGGGGTGACCTCTTTCATCACTCTAGGAAATCCTTCTAGATATTCCTGTAACTGTTAAGAACTGACATTTCAGGATTTTTTTTCTTTAAAAATAATATTGTTCAAGTTGCACAGTAAGCAAACAAAAAAGATGAGTTCTACCTCTTCTCAACATTTCATACAGCTCAAAATGGAAAAATGGCAATCTAAATTTCCATTAGTAAGTTAACGACTAAAAAACTATAGTATACCAGTATATTATGCAACTATTAAAGAGAGATAACTCTCCCTCTATTGATGTGGAAGCAAGCTAAGTATGAATATGACACAATACCATTTTCTGTAAAAATAAACAACCAAAAATATGACAAGAGGTATTTGCACATGATTGAGCATGAAGAAACATACAGAAGGAGAGACACCAGGCTGTTAATGTTGACTTTAATATTGGAGAAGATAAAAATGGAAGGAAGCTGGGGAGAGACAGCTAACTTTTGCTTTTATATATCACTGAGTTGTTACAATAAGCACATAAAATATAAAAACATTTTAAATAACTTTTATAAATTGTAATAAAATATATATTTTAAAATATAACTAAAATTACAAATTATAAGAGTGGGGGAACTCAGTAAAATGGGCCACTGAGAAAGTAACACATCTTGGAAGAAAGAATCTGTGCCAGGATGACAAATTTTTACCAGATCTCAAGGCTACAGATGAAACATGACCCATAAACTCTGAAATATCCAGTTAATAGCAGTCGATATACCCCACAAGAGGGAAGGAGCTTCACCAGTGGAGCTCGAGGTTATAGACAATGCTAGAGAACACATATCTGATATGAGTTGAATTATGTCCCCTGAAAAAGATATGTTGAAGTCCTAACCTCCAGTATCTCAGATGTGATCTGATTTGGAAACAGGGTCCCTATAAAGATAATCAGTGTTGAAATGCAGTCATTGGGGTGGGCTCTAAACCAGTATTGGTGTCTATTAAAAGGGGAAATTTGACCCGCCTGGCCAACATGACAAAATGTCTCTACTAAAACTACAAAAATTAGCGTGGTGGCGTGCAACTATAATTTCAGCCACTTAGGAGGCTGAGGCACAAGAATCGCTTGAACCTGGGAGGCGGAGGTTGCAGTGAGCTGAGATTGCACCATTGCACTCCAGCCTGGGCAACAGAGACTGGATCTAAAAAAAAAAAAAAAAAAAAGGTGGGGGGTTGGGGAATTTGGACACAGGGACAGACACTAGAGGGAAGAGAATGTAAAGTGGCACAGAAAGAACACCATTATGCTGCCACAAGCCAAGAATACCTGGGCTATGAGAAGCTCTAAGAACAAAGGCAGGCTCCTTCCCTTGCAGGCTTTAGAAGGAACATGGCCCTGCCAACACCTTGATTTTGGACTTGTAGCTTTCAGAACTGTGAGACAATAAATTTCTGTTTTCAAAACCACCCAGTTGGTGGTACTTTGTTATGGCAGCTCCAAGAAACTGATATATTAGGCTGGTGCAAAAGTAATTGTGGTTTTTGCCATTAAAAACAAAAAAAAAGCAAAAACCATAATTACTTTTGCACCAACCTAATAGTATCCAATAAGGTAAACTAGAAATCTCAGTGTCTCGATGTTGGCCTTATTAGATATTTTACATAATTTAGCATGTTATTAACAGGATATTCTCTGCTTGTTCTGTGGACACATGCCATCTCTTCAAAAGACAGTAAGGCATCCTGACCATGTCTCACTTTACAATGAGCTAGTATTTTGATTATTTACTAAATAATCAACATTGAGCTGTACATGCATTATTTTATATATGCCTCACCACAACCTTTGAGGGTGTTGGTTTTATTGTAACTGTCATCCCTCTTGTAACAGATAGAAAAACTGTGGCTCAAAAAGACCAAGCAATGCATTCAAGATCACACAACTAGAAGCCTGGACTCAAAGCTGGGTCTGAGCAACATCAAGTCTTCTGTGTGAACCACCAGACCCTACTACTTCTACTCAGGCTCCCCCTCACAGGCCCAGAAGGTGGTGCCATGGTCAGTAAAGCACAGTTTTGCAATATTTTCATTCTTTAATCAAGTTGTACTGGCACTTGATATCAAACTCCATATATTTTGAGGGTTTTAAAAAAAATTGTAGGGTCACATTAAAGAAACTATTGAAGCAATTTTTTAAATGATGGATAAGATTTTCTAAGGCAGCTATTCCTAAGACATAGCAACTCAATATATAAAATTTCAGTGATCAAATTCATTAAAGCAGGCACTGCTGTGGAATATGAAATCTGCAGTCTCATGGCTATAGAATCAGAAGCCTGAGGAGGACAACACCCTGACGACACTCCTGTCCTACTCTGAAGAGAGTTATAAGGTGCCTGAGAAGGAAGGAATAGCTGAACTATATAAAGTTTGCAAAATGCAGACAGAAAAGTTTTCCGGCCCTGAGGGAAAGACCAGCTAGCTGCTTTCTAGGTTGAATAATAAGAACTTGAGGTCACTGTCTCCACCAGTGTGATCACAGGGGACAAAAGGGAAAGGGAGTGTTACCTATGTGAAACCAAGACTATTCTGCTCTCTTTCTATGTCATGTAAACTTTGTAAACTTGGGAAATGTAAAAATGTCCAAGGAAGTGAATGTCGCCGCTTGGTCAGATTTAGAGGCCAGTGAGAGTTCAGGGGAGGCTATGCCTACCGACAGATACACATCCAATTGGATACACAGGTGAAGTGGGCAAAGTATGGCAGAGTGCTTTATTTTTCAGCCAATCACCTACCAGATACTGTTCTAGGTGCTTAACAGCATTGTCTCGTTCATCTCATTCCACTTTACAAAGGTTCAAAGACATAAGTAACTCAGCTAAAGTCCAGAACTGAAGAATGACAGACGTGAGACTCAGTTAAAAATTCTTATTTACGGCTGGGCACGGTGGCTCATGCCTGTAATCCCGGCACTTTGGGAGGCCGAGGTGGGCGGATCACGAGATCAAGAGATGGAGACCATCCTTGCCAACATGGTGAAACCCCGTCTCTACTAAAAATACACAAATTAGCTGGGCATGGTGGTGCACACCTGTAGTCCCAGCTACTTGGGAGGCTGAGGCAAGAGAACTGCTTGAACCCGGGAGGCGGAGGTTGCAGTAAGCCGAGATCGCACCACTGCACTCCAGCCTGGCAACAGAGTGAGACTCCATCTCAAAAAAAAGAAAAAATCCTTATTTACCATTTCTATGATCCACATTCCATACAGAAATTCAATAATATGCATTGATTAACTGTTGATTAATTCATGTTATGACTAAACACACACATCCACTATGAATATGCCACACATATTTGCTTCACACTTTCCAAGTAAAGGTAGCAGTGATGTTTTTCTTTGTATAGTTAATACAGAGATCTGTGTACCTTCCTAGAACTCACCTGGAACATCACAAGTGAGTGAAAAATAAATGTCTGTTGACTGGCTGATTAACTAAGGTAGAACTCTTAGAACCATTAGTACTTCAAAATAATGACTCACTTGCATAGTATTATACAGCTTCAAACAAGGCTTTCTTGTGCAGATGGAAGGAAGCTTCTTAAACTGAAGAGTGACAGGTTTTGGAATCAGAGACCTTGATTTAAATCCTTGACTGCTACTTATTAACTTTGCCTTTGGATATCTGACTAATTTTCTAAGCCTCAGTTTCTTCATTCGTAATAAGGCAACTCCTATTACACTTATATACCACAAAGGATTTCTTGAGTAAAAGTGAGACAATGCATCAAAGCCCTTAGCATGAGGCCGAATTCATGGAAATTATCATGTTGTCTCTGAATATGTGAAATTTAGGCTTTGATTTTTAGCCTGTGTAGTCTTTCCTATTTTTAACACAAAAACAGCCTAAATACAACCTGGTTATCTGAACCTAGCGAAGCACACTGTGTTACTATAACTAAATTTTTAGAAACAATCATTACAGTAGTTACAGACAAATCCATATGCGGATAGAAATCCACTTTACTTGAATGCAGATGCTGAACTCACTCAAGAAAATTCAAGTTATTCTGTGTTTACATTCTACTACAAATTATCAAAACATGCAATGTCAATATAAACATGAGACTTCTGATAACATTTGAAGAAATAGCATTGATAAGGCTATTAGATATTCTTCAAGATCGGATGTGTTCTTTTATTCAACTGAAGTATCAACTTTTCAAAAAGCTTTCCCTTCAAGGAATATAAAATGCCTAGACAAAGGAGATCTGGATTGCTTTCCAAAAGACTAAATCCTTTTGTTATAATTTTCCTTATAACTGAATCTACCCAGTTTTCAAATTCCCAAACTAGTATAGATTTAGTTTTCAGGTGCTGGTGAATGAAGGAAGTCTTAAACCAGCCGTCAAAAACAAAACTAACAAACAAAACTATATCAACTTTAAGATTCCCAAGATTTGGTCAACTAAGCAACTCAGTCTATAACAAATTTCAGTTGTAAAGTGCAATTCATGGATTTTTCTGTGCTGTTTGAAACAGAAATGTAAACAGCTTTTGCATAACGCAGAGTGCCAGAAAGCCCACCTTAATTTCCCAAGGAGCAGAAGTTCAAACAGCTCGCAGATAGTAATCCTTGACTGGAGAATTCTGGGGAGCAGCCAACTCTGTTTATTACACAGAGAACTGTGACTTTCTTGCAAGGAAAGATCATGTTTAGTCTCCCAGGAACATTCAGAGATCATAGCACATTCTGCTTCTTTGCCACTTCCTTAGGGAATCTCAGTCAAAGACCTTGGCCAAAGAAGCATGAAATGGTAGTCAGAACTCCAAAGAAATCTTGTACAAATAACTTTGCTTTAATGGTTCCCACCCTACAAAGAATAGTAAAAGGCTGTGTCATGTTGTGAAAATGATTGCTGAAAATGAAATCATGTTGTTTAATTTCAGCTCTGTGTATGAACGTGTTCTGTGCCTCGGATGTCCTGTGGTATTTAATTCCTTGGTCATTTGCCTATCACCTGCTTCCTTCAGGGATAAAAGGCAGCCTTGCAGGGAGCAGGTCTACAAAGGTGAAAGCCTCCTCCTCATCTTTCTCTCCCAGTAATACGTGGTTGGGAATGCCCTAGGGCCCGGACCACCTCTCATTAGGAAAACAAAATGCCTATTACATCATCAGTAAAAATGAGATTCTCTCCCTGCAGACCACTATGATTCTGTCTAACATGAACCAGAACTGCCACTACAAACCTTCGAAAAACCCTCCTATGTTTCAAGATTATAAATGCTCTCTGGGCTCTCAAAGCATAAATCATTGAAGATGCTTTAGTTGATTTATGGTGGCCATTACATGAGAATGTATTTGGTATTTTTATGCGTCTCACTGAATAAGTTTTCTTTGTAGGACTCAGAGAGGCCTTCTCAGAGGAGACATTCAGTAGTCATGGAAAAGGCACAAATTACATTTCAACCCAGTTTCAGCAACAAATAAGTACCACTCCATATTCATTGTTTTCTCATCGGAAACCACTGAAATTAACCCATTTCAATGAATTCCTATCCGAGCAGGCCTTGTAAGTGGCTGGGTGTAATAACTATATGCCAGGAAGGCTCTTCTCCTTTCCAATCCCCCTCTCCATCAAATCTCTTTCTGCCAGTCCCAGGGTCAAGCTCTACCATTGGTGAAGTATTCTTTTTAAGTGTTAGAGTTTCATTTAATGCTGCCTTACACTATGAAAATGCAAAGAACTCTGGGAGAGGCATTATATTAAGCTTTTTTTCAGCTATTAACTCAGAGATTACTTCCTGGCTACCTGGAGATAAAGGGAGGGATCTGAGATGCCAAGGCCTCCCAAAAAGAAGGAAGCCCTTCTCAGTTTATTTATATTTGACATGTGCTTTTGCATATTATGGATAAACAGGATATTCTGGAATGGTACCAGCTCAGAAATCAGAAAAAGCTGGCAAGGTTTCTAAGGAACCAGTGCATCACATCTACATCTACAATCTGGGGAATGTTCTGCTGGGGGTCATTCATGCTCCCCATTTCTGTAGACAGTGGATAAGTGGTGACTTGCAGATTTGCAATGGAACAATGAAATCTCATGTCATGGTGCCATATTTGATGGCTGCTAAATGGCCACCAATGTAATGGTCAAATTCCAAAGTCCGACTTCTAATTGGCACACATGATCACTAATTTCAAGGTTAGAGGGCACTTTAGAGAGTTCATCTGCCAATTAAAGAACTGAATTCCATCTATATAATAAAAGCCAAGTGGTCTTCCAGCTTTTGCTGGAACATCTGCAGGGCTGAGGAACCCACCCATTCCATTTTCAGAACGTTCTGAAATTTTATTCTTATATTTTACAAAAATCTGCCTCCCTAAGACTTCTATCCATTGGTCCTAACCCAATATCTTGAGTTCCCACATAATAAGCTAGACACCCTTTACACATGACAATTATTCAAAGAGCTGAAGACAGCTATCATGTCCCCTGAGTCTTTCATGTACCAGAAATGGTGAATAATAAACACACTGCTTTTGACTTAAAGAAACTGTAGCACATTCTCAGCAACTGTTAGTTAATAAGGAGAGTAAAAACCTTGCCAGAGGTCTTCTCTCAAAGTGTAATGTGCTAATAGAGCCACCTGGCCAACTATGTCAACTCTGTCCAGCAGACATGGGAATATAGCTATTTACATCTGCTATTTAGAATGAATATGAAATAGAACATTGTGAAATCTTGGACCTACTTACTTAGCCTCTGATGAGTTATATGACACCCTCCCCAATCAAAGTTTCCATTGCCCATCTGTGTCTTTCCAGAGTAGTGTTGTATCTGGGTGTAGAGGTGGTGTCAGGAAGGAATGGACCCTGCTCCACTTGCACACAGATGAGCACAGGGTATCATTGGTGCTTGGAAAGTCATTCATTTCTACTTTCACCTAGGCTGGATTTCTGTAAGTAAGACCTTTCGTGTCATTTCAAAGTTTTACCTGGATGTCAGAATGTCATCGAGAATACAAGATTTTTTTAAAAAACCAATGAGTCATTTGAAATATGAGAAAGGCTAAACTGCTATTCTTCGTCTCCTCACCAACCCTCCTACCCCCAATACACAAAAATAAGAATAATCAGCAATTCTCTTGTTTTTGGAGCATGGGGGGAAGGGATGGTAACATAGTTGCAAACACAGCATCAGATGTCTGATTTTGTTGTAAATACAATGGAAAGGTTCAAGGATTCGAACTGGCATGGATTTCTGTTGAAAGGAGAGATGGATTGGGAATCAGGAAATTTAAGTTCTATCAGCTCTGCCGTGTTGGCTCTGGGACCTCTGTCAGATCTCACAACTCCTTTCTCTATCTGCAGATATAATACCTTCCCTGTGTACTCCTATGAGAATCAAAAAAAGCTAGTGGATATTGTTGCAAGACATTAACCTTTTGGCTTTTCTTTTTTGCCCTTCTTTGTTGGAGATGCTCCTCCTCAGTCAGCAGCACCCACAGTGCTTCAAGAGGAATTATTACTGGCATCCAAAAAGCAGGAAGGCAGGGAGAAGAAAAGAGTCTACCCTCAGTTTTGACTTCCAAAATGATTGTGTTTTTATACACCATGTGTTTTTGTTCACCACGAACAACAGCTTTGAAAGCCAAAATGCTTGTTTTAAAGCAGTGGGTTTGGTTGAGAGAATAAAGCGCCCTTGAAAATCAACAGGAAGATGTTCAAAGAGCAAAGCAGAGGACAGTCACCTACCATTGAGAGTCAGGAGGAGTGGAGGTGAAACAAGGCCTGACCTTGGAAGAGGTTTGCAGGAGGCCCCAGACAAGGGGATCAGACCTGAGGGTCCATGCAAAATAAATGAAAATGGCCAAGGACTTTCCTTAAAAGAAAAGGTCTGGAAGTCCCCAGACAAGGCATCACCCGTGACCATTTCTGTAATCTCCCTCTGTCTCTGGGCTGTGCTCTTCTCTCTGGCAGGTGAGGAACTTGCACCCATAGTTACGGGCACTGCATGCTGGAATGAGCCCACCAAAGTGACTACCCATGACCCAACAATTTGCTGAGTGCCTTCCAAACTGCTCCATGTGAATACCCCTCTCTTTGCAGTGACCCAAGGCACTTATTTACTAGCACCCCACACTACCCAAAAAACTGATTAATCTAGACAATGGTGAAATTCACCCTGTTATGAAAGTTCTTGGGAAAGCAAAAACAAAAGCTATACAAATGGAAGGAATTAAGAAACAAATATGGAAAAAAATGATTTCATATTTCTTAAAGAAAAAAAAACCTAGCCTCTTTGGCTTTTAAAAGAGCCTGGCTGAGAAGTATATAAAATTTTATATCCAAAAATCTGCCTAATTTCTAAATTTTACTCGTTAGTTTTGAAATCAATCTAAAAAAATTGTTCTAGCCTAATAAAATTTGCCCAAATAATGATTCTTAGTTTATCTACATGATTGGCAAGTGTTAACATAAATATATGTGCACAAGCAAAAAGCAGATTAATAATAATGGAATCAAGTTTTCTTAAGAGGTATGGCTCTTTCTAGTTAATGTAACATTTATAAACAGATCATGTTCTGAGTCCTTACTCTATATACTGGAGACATGAGGTACAAGGTGCTAACTTCAAACCAAACAGCATGACACAGGAGCCTCCTTGAATTTCTAGAATCTCCCCCAAAGAGGAACCTCTGAACTTCAGTAGGATTTATACAGAAAATGGGTAAGTGGTACCAGAAGAGAGAAATGACATGAGCAAAGGTAAAAAGGCAGGAAAGGGTTAAGTGTTGAGGAAATAGAAAATTGTTGCTAAAACTGCTTCTCCAAAACAGTATGCTGGAGTAGGAAGCCATATTTCTGACCCCTCATGGCTTGGGCACATCTGAGTGCTAGTAGTTTCATCAGGACATCCACAGACTTGGGAGGTTCAGGATTGAATTTAAGTCTCAGGTTCAACATATACTAACAGTTGGGCTCTGGGCAAGAAATTTATCCTATCGGAACTTCAATTTCTTCATGTATAAAATGGGGGTAATCTTTGAGGTGAAGATCTTTTGTCAACTATAAGGCATTAAGGAATACAAGGGAGGGTTATGTGATATTAACTGTCTATGGTGGGCAAACATACCTTTGCCAAATGGTGGTATGATTATAAAGGATCTTGGAATAGAGATGCATGAATATATTGTCACCAGGGCTATAGTGCTCTTCTTTTAGGCTGTCCAAATAGACTAGGAAAACAGCCGAAACAGAGTATCTCTTGTCCAACTCAGTCCTGGTCTGGCTGGGTTCATTTTTGACATTTCCTTGCAGGTAGTAAATGGGAATGTACCTTCTAAGTGCTACTTCCTCATCCAGAAGAACTCTCTGTCTCTATGGCATGGGAGTGTCTAATACTTTCAGAATAAGGCTTCCTAGAGTCTACAACTTAGAGTTTCTAAAAGTAAAAAACTGGCTATGTTTATAAATCCATTTCAAAGGATCTGGGTAATTAGTTATTAGTTACTATCTAGTCACAGCATGCTATGGAGGAACCATCAGGTAATTGTTAGCAAATGCCTATTTGAGCATCTTCTGTCCAGTTGTCATGCATTGTGTAAAAGTTTAAATTATAAGCACTGAATTGTTCAGTTTAAAATGGTTAATTTTTTTTTTTTTTTTTTTTTTTTTAGCTTGCGTCTCGCTCTGTCGTCCAGGCTGAAATGTAGTGGTGTGATCTTGGCTTACTGCAACTTCAGCCTCCTGGGTTCAAGCAATTCTCCTGCCTCAGCAACCCGAGTAGCTGGGATTACAGATGCCTGCCACCATGCCTGGCTAATTTTTGTATTTTTAGTAGAGACAGGGTTTCACCATGTTGACCAGGCTGGTCTTGAACTCCTGACCTCAGGTGATCCGCCTACCTCAGCCTCCCAAAGTGCTGGGATTACAGGCATGAGCCACCGTGCCCAACTTCGTCTCAATTTTTGAAAAGGGAAAAAAAAAAAGAATTGTAAGACTAGCATCTCCCCTCAAGAATCTTATTGCTATGGTCTGATCAAGATGATAAGACTTACCTTCATTCATCCAACAGGTATTTACCAAGTGTGCATTTCATCCTGGACATACACATAATACCAAGTAATGTACAAACAATGCAAAGCACCTTAAGGTTATGTGCTAAATTGTGTTATGTACCAAAAATTAATGCCTAGAATTAATGGAAAGGAGTGAGTGCTGGCTTCTTGAAGGAGATACAGCTGTTCTGGCCATGGAAGATAATACTATGATTGTAAATAAAAAATGAAAAAAAGAGAGCCTTTAGACAGAAAGGATGAAAAAAGGCCCCAAAGTAACCCTAACATGGAGGGGATGCTAGGCAGCAAGGACTCCACCATGATTTCAATGCTCTTCTTTTCTAAGTCAGCTATAAGAAATGCTATCTAGAACTCATCAAGACATTTAACAGAGTCATTCACAAGATGGTAAAACACAAACTGTGTGAACAGATAGATTCTCCAGTGCCTGAACAATCACAGGATGCCTACCACTGTAACAAATACCAGGCTATCTAGATAGATCTAGATCCATAGTTATCTAGAACTGTGCTGTGTTGCAGGAAGTCAGGGACCCCAAATGGAGGGACTGGCTGGAGCCGTGGCAGAGGAACATAAATTGTGAAGATTTCATTTTAATATGGACATTTATCCGTTCCCAAATAATACTTTTATAATTTCTTATGCCTGTCTTATTTTAATCTCCTAATCCTGTTGTCTTCGTAAGCTGAGGATGTACATCACCTCAGGACCACTGTGATAATTGTGTTAACTGTACAAATTGATTGTAAAACATGTGTGTTTGAACAATATGAAATCAGTGCACCTTGAAAAAGAACAAAATAACAGCGATTTTTAGGGAACGAAGGAAGACAACCATAAGGTCTGACTGCCTGCAGGGTCCGGCAAAAAGAGCCATATTTTTCTTCTTGCAGAGAGCCTATAAATGGACGTGCAATTATGGAAGATATTGCTAAATTCTTTTCCTAGCAAGGAATATTAATATTAATACCATGGGAAAGGAATTCATTCCTGGGGGGAGGTCTATAAACGGCCGCTCTAGGAATGTCTGTCCTATGCGGTTGAGATAAGGACTGAGATATGCCATGATCTCCTGCAGTACTCTCAGGCTTAATAGGGTTGGGAAAAACTCTGCCCTGGTAAATTTATGGTCAGACCGGTTCTCTGCTCTCGAACCCTGTTTTCTGTTGTTTAAGATATTTATCAAGACAATATGTGCACTGCTGAACATAGACCCTTATCAGTAGTTCTGCTTTTTCCCTTTGCCTTGTGATCTTTGTTGGACCCTTATCAGTAGTTCTGTTTTTGCCCTTTGTCCTATTCCCTTAGAAGCATGTGATCTTTGTTCTGCTTTTTGCCCTTTGAAGCATGAGATCTTTGTACCTACTCTCTGTTATTACACCCCCTCCCCTTTTGAAACCCTTAATAAAAAACTTGCTGGTTTGAGGCTTAGGTGGGCATCACGGTCCTACTGATATGTGATGTCACCTCCGGCGGCCCAGCTGTAAAATTCCTCTCTTTGTACTCTTTCTCTTTATTTCTCAGCCAGCTGACACTTATGGAAAATAGAAAGAACCTACGTTGAAATATTGGGGGAGGGTTCCCCCAATAGTGCTGCTGGTTCTGAAATGTGTTCTGCCCAAATTGTCATTATCACAAGCTTTGCTGAAAACATAAATGGAATCCATGATCAAATTTAGGGTTGACCATGACACTGGAAGAGAACACTCACACATAAGATGACAGATGGAAAATCTATAAAGAGGTCTTCTGGCTAAAATGTTGGCCAGATTGGATAAGATGGAGTAAGTACAGATTAATGCACTTATTTCTGGAAGAAAAAAAAAACTATCCAAGTACAGTCATGAAAGGCATGGCTTAAAAGCAGTACAAATATTCATTGAAAGGGAATGTGGTTTTAACTGACTAATATTAATCATGTCATCCCACTTCCAAGGGCTAATAAGGGGTTCGTCCAGTTCTGGGTGCCTCATATTAGGAGGAGCTCCACCAACTGGGAAAGCCTCCAGAAAATAGCCAGGAGGGTAAAGGATTTTTGATGATCATTTGAAGAAACTGATTATGCATCATTTGGAGAAGACAACACATGATAGCCTTATGCAAATATTCAGAGGCTGGCAGATGAAAAAAGGACAGAACAAAGGCTGATGAACAATTATTAGAGACTCCAATTTTACCTACATTCAAGAAAGAACTTTCTGACAAAATGTGTAAATGAAATGTGTTTCCATAAGTTGCCTGTCATTGGAGGTGTTAAAAATTGCCCCTGAATGATGGTTTGTGTGGAACACTGATTATCGGATACAGGATTATACTTTCTTTCTTTTTTTTTTTTTTTTTTAGAGAAAGGGTCTTGTTCTGTTGCCCAGGCTGGAGTGCAATGGAGTGACCACAGCTCACTATAGCTTCGAACACCTGGACTCATGTTATCCTCCTGCCTCAGTCTCCTAAGTAGCTGAGATGACACAACAAGCACACGCCACCACACCTGGCTAATTTTGTTTTTAACTTTTTTTGTAGAGATGGAGTTTCGCTTTGTTGCCCAGGCTTGTCTCAAATTCCTGGCCTCAAGTGATCCTCCCACCTCAGCCTCCCAAAGCGCTGGGATTACAGGCATAAGCCACCACGTCCGGCCTGGGATTGTACTTTCTAAAGTCCTTTACAGTGCTGAGCTCCTATGATGAGAAATACAGGAGAATACAGTAGACAGAAAAAATTAGTCTTGAGTTATTTGGGTCTGATCTGGAAGAAAAAGAGAGTATAGGTATTAAACAGGAGAGAGACATGATAAAAGTTACAACTGAAGGCCGGGTGTGGTGGCTTACACCTATAATCCCAGCACTTGAGGAGGCCAAGGCAGGCAGATCACCTGAGGTCAGGAGTTCGAGACCAGCCTGGCCAACATGGAGAAACTCCATCTCAACTTAAAATATAAAAATTAGCCAGGTGTCATGGCACACGCCTGTAATCCCAGATACTCAGGAGGGTGAGGCAGAAGAATTGCTTGAACCCGGCACACGGAGGTTGCAGTGAGCCAAGATCCTGCCACAGCACTCCAGGCTGGGTGACAGAGCAAGACTCTGTTTCAACAACAAAAAGTTACAACTGAAGACAGTTCTAGCAGAAACTGTCTTCTTGGAAAGAAGAGGAGGAGGAGGACTAGAACCCAGGAAGTCAAAAATGAGGCTGTAGCAGTAATCCAGTTGTGAGACAATAGGGTCTAGATTGGGCCAATATTAATAAGAATAGGAAGAAAATGGCATAATACATTAACATAACATAAAATGTCAGGATTTCCTCATTAGCTATTCACAGGAGATGGGGTAGGGGTGTAAGCTTCGCTTGCACTCTGGGTTTCTCTGTTCTCAGTAGAACTTCCAGTAAATATTGAACTTAGTCCCAATAAGTGACTGAGACACTCGGTGTCTCAATGTATTTGTTTGTTAAAATGATTTCCAAACAAACAAAAAGTTCATCAAAAGGAAAGCTATCTGGGATAGTGGAAAATACTCAGGTTTTGAAGATAGTTTTATCCCAGGACTACCTCTTGCACAGCAGCCTTACACACAGGTAGAACAGGCAGACTCCTGCCAACTTTAGAAATTCCAGAAATCCTCCTCTCCTGCCTGCACTTGCCCAGGGGTGTCTCTATTTCTGTTTCCTCATCTTAACAATGGGGATAGGCCGGGCATGATGGCTCATGCCTGTAATCCCAGCACTTTGAGAGGCTGAGGTGGGGACTGCTTGAGCCCGGGAGTTCAAGGTGGTGAAACCTTGTCTCTACAAAAATTATAAAGATTAGCTGGGTGTGGTGGTGTGTGCCATAGTCATAGCTACTCAGGAGGCTGAGGTGGGAGGATCACCTGGTCCCTGGAAGTAGAGGCTCCAGTGAGCTGTGATTGCACCACCACACTCCAGCCTAGGTGACAGAGTGAAACCCTGTTTCAAATAAATAAATTTAAATTTAAATTTAAAATGGCGATAATGTTAGTACATAGCCCGTAGGGTTGTTGAGAGGAACAAATGAGTTAATATATGTAAAGTAGCAATAGTACGCGCCTGTAGTCATAGCTACTTAGGAGGCGGGAGCTGAGCCCAGGAGTTCAAGGCTGCAGTGAGCTAAGATTATTGCACTTCAGCCTGTGTGATGGAGCAAGATGACCCTGTCTTTAAAAAAAAAAAAAAAAAAGAATTACATGTGTGTGTGCGCGTGTGTGTATATACAAAGAAGTTAGAACAGCACTGGCACAAAGCACTACATAAATGTTAGCTATTATTATTACTACTGCTGCTGCTACTATTGTTGTTGTTATTATTATTATTATAATAAAATGCCTCCCAAGGCCAGGTGCGGTGGCTCACGGCTGTAATCCTAGCACTTTGGGAGGCGAAGGCTGGTAGATCACATGAGGTCAGGAGTTCAAGACCAGCCTGGCCAACATGGCGAAACCCTGTCTCTACTAAAAATACAAAAATTAGCCAGGC
The DNA here is from genome assembly GCF_000001405.40 of Homo sapiens. NCBI lineage: Eukaryota > Metazoa > Chordata > Mammalia > Primates > Hominidae > Homo > Homo sapiens. Next base: position 151,946,190 of record NC_000002.12, read on the forward strand.
ATGGTGGTGGGTGGCTGTAATCCCAGCCACTCAGAAGGCTGAGGCAGGAGAATCACTTGAACCCGGGAGGTGGAGGTTGCAGTGAGCCAAGATTGCGCCATTGCACTCCAGCCCGGGCAACAAGAGTAAAACTCTGTCGCAAAAAAAAAAAAAGGCTCCCAATGAGGCTTCAGTGACCAACCTTCCTGGTTTGCCTGGGACTTCAGTGTTTCCCAGGACACAGGACAGTCCCAGGCAAACCCTGATGGCTAGTCACCCTAAGGGGCCTCAAAATCCTACATTACTCACTCCACTAAAGGTTGTTACTGAGATGCAAATGTTATCAGAAGGCTGTTGGATGCACTTTAAACCATTAGCATTCCTTAACAATATATAATGAGATCATCAATTTAGCAAAATTCTGAGAACGTGAGCCACATGACAGATACATTCTGATGGACAACCAGCAGAGAAAGATCAGAGCTTCAGGGTGTGTCCTGAGCACCCCAGGGCTCCAGCAGGGCACAAGGCACCTGGTACAATGGGGTGGAAAGCAGGGCCAGCATGTCCCATGGGGAGGAGAGAAAGAAAAAAGAAAACACCGTCCCAGGGATATAAGCTGTTTCTCTCTTATAATTTCATCAAATTTCATACAAATTTCAGTGATGAAATTTCATCAATACAATTTCATCAATCTCTTCAATAGATCCTTATGGAAGGAATATTATGACTCTGAAGGACGGTGATTCTGAGTCCTTTAGAAAACAAAATCTGAGTAAATTCTGGTGTCCTGTGCCATAAATCCTGGTGTGACATGTGCTCACAGCCTGAAATTTGATTTCAGTCCAATTCCCCAAGGAGAGACACCAGATGAAAAACATTCTGTGTATGGTCAATGTGAAAAAAAAGAGCAGTCCTCAGAAAAAGCAACCCCATGAAAAGAATGGATTAAACCGGATCCCCAGAAGGAGAGCCCTCCACAGCCTGCAGAAGGCACTTCATGGCTGGTAGCGTCATCCTGTAACACAGGGTCACCCAGGTGAAACAACAGGGATGGGGCTATGCAGGCAACAGAAGATGGAAAGAGAAGATGTCCAGGGCTTGCTTGCCTTTCAAGATCTGCTGTTCTGTAAACCTGCAAAACAGTGGTTCTGGAACTTAGGGGGCAAAGAAGAATCACGTGGGGTACTTATTAAATATACTGCTCCCTGCTGCCCCTAGCGGATTCTGAGTGGAGTTCTAGAAACTGCATTCCTAACCAGTTTCCCTAGGCAGGGGGAGTGGGGGACGGGATTCTATTGCAGAGTGGCCTGTGGACCACACTTTAAGAGTCGCTGCTATAAGAATTCCGCATCACACATAGAATAAGTAACTTCAGAAACAGGTCCCAAGTGGCCTGAGAATGTCTATGCACTTTTCAAAAGCGCTGCCAGAAACGTTTACTGCACGGCTCCCTTGGTAGGGAGAAGGTTCTTTCATTTGCAAAAAGCTGCGAGGTCGTCCGGGTCTGGCAGCAAGGCTTCTATTTGGGAATGGACACTGCCAGTTCCACTTGCCTCTTCTGAGACCACCCAGCACTTCCTGCAGGCACCTGCCCCGGAGCCCAGCAGAAAGAGAGATAAGATCAGATTTCACTCACTATTATGAGAATGTCTATTTGTTGGCTAATAAGTCCCTGGTTTATAAAAAACAAGCAGCAGTAGCTTAAAAAGGGAAGAGAAAGCAAACCAGAGTGCAGAAATGGCATACTGAGGAGTCTTGGCCGAGGCTGCCGGAGGTAGGCGAGGGCATTCTGGTGCTCCACTGAGGAGCTCAGGCCTTCAAGAAGCCAATGACTCACTTGGCGGCTTTCTTGGGCTTTCAGTTTTTGGCATGCATAAGGCAATGTGGGTATGGATGATAGTGTCATTGGTGTATTTATTGCATTTGGATTGGTTGCCTTAAAATCTCTCATGAGAAACTAGGAACAAACCGGGTGTCATTTTTTTCTTAGAGATCTACATTTAAAAAGCTCTCCTACCCCAAAGCCAGCATTTCCTAAATGAGCCTTGCAGTTTAGCTGCAATCAAAAGGCAGTGAGTGGCATCACTAGCAAAGGTGCAAATTATATAACCTGGAACAGGTAAGCAAAAGGCAGAAGACAGCCACTCCCACTACAGTCTTGAATGTCCCTTTCTGTGCTCTGACCTGAAGGTCCTAAAAACAGTCCAGACCAGGTGCAGTGGTTCATGCCTGTAATCCCAACACTTTGGAGGCCAAGGAGGGTGGATTGGTTGAGCCCAGGAGTTTGAGACCAGCCTGGGCAACACAGGGAGACTCCTGTCTCTATAAAAAATATAAAAATTAGCCAGGCATAGTGATGCATGCCTGTAGTCCCAGCTACTCAGGAAGCTGAGGTGGGAGAATCATCTGAGCCTAGCAAGTCCAGGCTGCAGTGAGCCAAGATCGTGCCACTGCACTCCAGCCTGGGCAACAGAGTGAGATCCTGTCAAAAAAAAAAAGAAAAAAAGTCTAAAATGACAGATGTAATGGAAGCAGCAGTTCCTGCCAAGTGCCCTGTACCCTTGGGTATTTTGAAACTACTAGTTCCCCTGCCCCTGGCCACAGTACAGAGTGTAAGTGGAATAAGGTGGGACTGGGAGGCATTCATTCCTGGGATTTAAGCCCTCCACTTCTCCAGCTTCTCTCCTCCACCCTTCTACTCTGCAAGCACACAGTTTAATGTAATAATTATGAGATCTAGAGAATAAATGGAATGATAGTACATTTGTTTAAAGGTAGATGTCATTGGTATCTACTTCCTGTCTTTCCCAGTTTCATTCATTCCCCTACCTCTTTCTGCTTGCTCTCTTTTTTGGTTTTTGGTCTTTTTCTTTGCCTGACCTGCTTTCTTCTTTCCTCTTCTTCTCTTCCTACCTTTTCTCCCTGACTTCCTCCTTCTTTGTCCCTTCCTCTTTCCTTCCATACTTTAATTCAATTAACACGTATGATACCTATTGCTTTCAAATAGGTATCAAAATAAATAGGTAACAAAAAAAAAAAAGTGCCATCCTGACCTAAGAGGACTGACACTCAGTTCAGTCAACAACTACTTTGTGAGTTTCTTTTTGCCAAGCAAGGCTGCAGGTATTTCAGACACATGATGGACTAAACAGAGTAAGCATCCCTGCCCTTACGGAGCCTAGTAAAAGATACAGAGAAGCAAACAAGGAGTTAAAGTGCAGAGGAAAGTACCAAAAGTTCAGACTAGGGAATTATGAGAGGCTTCTGGCAGGATGTGATGTTGAGTCAGGCCTTGAAGGAGATGGAACAGTTAGTTCGTAGCCAAAAGAAGACACATATGCAAAGGCAAGAAGGTATAAAACAGCATGGTCCGTTCAGGGACCTACCAAGTAGGTGATGTGGCTGATATGCAAGGATGGCTGTGAGAAAGAGGGAGAAGCCGAGGCTGAGGTCCTAGCAAGGGCCATGATGTCAAGGTCCTGATGTGCCAAGGAAAGGCATCTGCAATGGGTTCTGAAGGCCATGGAGGACTACTGAAGGGTTTCATATAGGTAAATAACATGATCAGATTTGCATTTTAAAGAGACAGTATTCTGGCCAGGTGCGGTAGCTCACACCTGTAATACTGGCACTTTGGGAGGCTGAGGCGGTGGATCACTTAAGGTCAGGAGTTCGAGACCAACATGGCCAACATGGAGAAACTCTGTTTCTACTAAAAATACAAAAATTAGCCTGGCATGGTGGCACGCGCCTGTAGCCCCAGCTACTTGGGAGGCTGAGGCAAGATAATCACTTGAACCCGGGAGGTGGAGGTTGCAGTGAGCTGAGATGGCATTCCAGCCTGGGCAACAGAGCAAGACTCCATCTCAAAAAATAAATAAATAAAAAATAAAATAAAAATAGAAAATAGTCTTCTGAGAGGAAACCACCCCAAGAGAAGGACTGGAAAGAAAGGGACAAGGCCAGAGAGATAGAGATGAAAGAAGAGATTATTTCCATCATCCTAGTGGGAGATGGACCTGGGGAGACATTAAAAAAAACCTCTGCCCCTACACATACAGAGCCATATTTTTATTTCTCAATAAAGGCATCCTAATGTACATTTTTAGCCTTGTTCCAAGATGCACAGAGTTTCTATAGAGACAGTCATATGTCCTTTCCTGACTTCATTGATGTCTGCTCTAAAGATCTCTATCAAAACTAATGGCCCATGCTTCAGGCCCTATGGAAAGTCTTCTGGCAGTTTCACAAAAAGTTAAACAGAGAACAACCATATGTCCCAGCCACTTGACTCCTAGGTATATCCCCAAAATAACTGAAAACAGGAACTCAAACGAATACTTGTCCATGAATGTTCCCAGCAGCACTATTCACAATCACCAAAAGGTTGAACAAACCTAGATGCTCATCAGCAGATGAATGTGGGCTATCTAACCATAAATGGAATATTATTCAGTCATAAAAAAGGAATGAAGTACTAATACATACTCTGACATGGATGAACCTTGAAACATTACACTACATGAATGTCTGACTAAAAGGTCACATATTGTATGATTTCATTTATGTGAAATATCCAAAATAAGTAAATCTACAGAAACAGAAAGCAGATTGGTGATTGCCAAGAGTAGAAAGAGAAGGGAGTGGGCAGTAACTGCTTAATGGGCACAGGGTTTTATTTTGGAGTGATGAAAATGCTTCCGAACTAGATAGAGGTGGTGGTCAGACAATATTCTAAATGTACTAAATGCCACTGAATTGTTCATTTATTTATTTATTTTTTTGAGACGGAGTCTTGCTCTGTCACCCTGGCTGGAGGCTGGAGTGCAGTGGCACAATTTCACCTCCCTGCAGCCTCCGTCACCTGGGTTCAAGCAATTCTCCTGCCTCAGCCTCCCGAGTACCTGGGACTACAGGCTAATTTTTGTATTTTCAGTAGAGACGGGGTTTCGCCATGTTGGCCAGACTAGTCTTGAACTACTGACCTCAAGTGATCCACCCACCTCAGCCTCCCAAAGTGCTAGGATTACAAGCATGGGCCACTGCATCCTGCCTGAACTGTTCATTTTAAAATGGTTAATTGCATGGTTTGTGAATCTCACCTGAATTTCTAAAAATTAAAAAAAAAAACAACTAATAACCAAATGTCACCCTCTTCTTTCCCCTACCCAATTCCCCCTCTAATCGATCTCTGATGACTCAAGTGCTAGATGGCTGACATTGACTGAGGAAGCCCTCCAGAGCCAGCACACAGCCCCAGACGACCACATTTTCCAATTTCTTTTAAGGATGCTAAGAATTTAAAGGAGCCAGCAGCATCAGAAAGATCAGTGAGAATAGGTTTCGGTGTGCTCCTTTGAGTGATGGAACCTGATAGTTTAAGAGAATGAGATATATCATAAGTCAGGGCAATAAGATGAGGTCCAGGCAAGGGGAGACATGGAAAGAAAGCTTAGCTCCCACTGCAGCTTAGCTCCCATCACAGAGGCCGGCCCACAGGCTTCAAGGAAAGGCATCTTGAAAGATGCCTGCAGACTGCAGCAGTTGGCTTCTGCCACAGATGCACCTCTGTTTCTTCCTAACATAAAAGACTAACGAGGAAGCTGGAGTCCTCTGCACAAGGAAGCTGATTAAACCTCCTTCCTCTGGTCTTCAAGAAGGAGGCTTTCTGAGAGAACTTTCTAGTAAACAAAGCTGCAAAAAAATTCCTTAGGCATACTGAGAACTGAAAAAGGGCTTTGTAGGGCTTGGAAAGTAGCAAGGCATAATTGAATGGCCTGGAGGCTCTGGGTATGAACATCAATTCTGCCATAGACTGTGTGTCATTTACCTTCTCTGTGCCTCAGTTTCCTCAACTGTAAAACAGGGATAATAACACCTACCTCAACTACTCTTTTGAGAATTAAATGATATATGTATATACACCATCTAGGGTATTCAGAATAGTGAAGGGCACTATTCACATTATTTAATAACTACTGTGATACAAATATCAACTAATCAGAGTAAACAACGATCTAAACCATCCACTCAGAATGGAATCAGCCACGTCCTACCTACGAGATGTATAAATAACATACAAAGCAGCCCTGAAACAGTCCACGGCTCATAGAAAGCCTACAATGGGGAGTAATGATTTTGAAGAGACAGCTAGAAATAGGATTCTGAGGGTTATTATTTCTGCAAAATACAGACTACTCTTTGATAGCTCTAAGACAGACAGACAGAGCCATGCACAATCTAGAAAAGACTCTGAAGGTCCCTCTTACTGGGGGTCTCCTCTTTCTCTGTCGCTTTACCATACTCCGCCTCTGTAGAGAGGTGATCTCCAGGAAGGGTGGCAGAATGGATCCTGTTTCCCAGATGGTTAAAAGGAATGCGCAAAGAAAATGTAAATATGACTGAGGTATATTTAAAACTAATAATATGCCTTAGAACGCTAGAGGCTCCAAATAATGGGACCCGAGAAGCAGCTAGTCCAGAACTTAATGGGCTGCCCCAGAAGGAAACAGGAGCGAATGCACCAGAAGGCAAATCAACGCCCTGATTCCTTCATCGAGAAAGGATTGTGACAGGGGAAAAAATGTCAGCTGAACTAAAAGCCTGTTTTATGATGTAATTGATTCACGTTCTGGCACCGTTACTCAAAAACATTTGAAACACTTATATTCCTGGGAAGAGGGGTGAATTTCAGGGAATCATGTGAGAAGGATGAAAACCGGTTTCTAGCTTTCTTTGCTCATTGCTTTGCTAGCACGGTCTTCAAGCGTTCAGACTGGGCTGAATGAATAGATGAATAAGTCAGAATGACTTGTGGAGAAAAGAAGACTGGGTATATGTTTACGGAGAGGAAACTGAATACTAGGTGGGGTATTAGGAGTGCAATTTCTGTCATAAACCTAAGAAAATTAGGGATGACTGAGCTGAGATGAGCGATTTTATCCTGACACAGAAAATGAATATGAAGTGGCTCAGTCATCATCAGTAGGAATTCAAAAAGGAAATGGAGGCAGTAATGTGAGACCAACATGTTCTCAGGATTCTGCCAGTGCAAAGGAAGCTCCCTCCTGCCTACGGGATCTGTCCAATACCTGCTGGTGTGGGTCCCACGGCCATGTCCGACACCAGCAGGTCCCCATCCTTACTCGTGTGCCCGTACCTTGTTTGCTCCTTCTCTTGTTCTGTTTCCTCATTCAGCCTGCCATGCTCTCCTTTCAAGCCCTCCAACTCCTCCCTTCCCTGTTTTAGGAAGACAGTCTAGAGTAGGACACTTGGGTTCAAATCCTGGCTTGTCTTCTAGCTGTATGACCCTGGACGAATCATATGACTTTTTTTATGCCTAGAAAATGTGTGACAAAAATATCTACATCATAAGGTCATTGTGAAAATTAAGGGAAAGAATTTGTGTGGAGCACAATTGTCCAAATCCAAACAGTTAGTAAACGGAAAGCATTGTAAGTCCAGTTCTTTTTACAAACACAAAGTCCATCCTCTTACTCTATGCTCCCTCCTGGTGGTTTCAAATGCACAGATCTCCTCCTGATTTCACTCTAAGAATTTTTCTACTAGGAATATTTTCTATTTCTATGACTCTTTTAAGAGTTATCATCTCTAGCACAGTGTTGGAAGTTCCATAGGTACTTGTGAACTTTTCATTTAGATGCTCAGAAAAGAATGCATCTGTAAACAGTCCTTTGGTAACACTCTGACAAACGTGTTCACCCCACATGAAGGCCATCAATAGATATATCCAGGATTAATTTACAAAGCTCAGATGTCTTTACAACAAATTCTATCTGTCTTTTGAACAAATATGTCAACATATCTTCACAGTAAGAACTTAAGGAAGTCACCCAGATGCCTCCCATCTTAACATGAATGACCATGGGGATACAAGGACACATACCTGTGGAAGGGATCTGCCATCTACCTCTTGCAACTGTGACCAGGGTTATCAGTGTGTCCCTGAAGCAACAACCGCAGCTTCACTATAATGTACACTCTGCCTCTCCAACCTTCAGCAAGCTCCTCGTTCTAAACCAGAGTGGCATGGTTTATTACTACCAAAGGAGACCGTCCTATTCCTTAGTTCTTTTCAACATCACACAAAAATTAAGGCTATGAATTAATAGAGTAATTTTATTTAGGCAGAATTATTTCCAAGGAATGTTTCATAAGCAGCTCATAAAGAACAAACTGGGATGATTTGCTTAATTCTGTCATCCATGGGGAAATGTCTGAAGAGCAGATTTTATAGAGAAATTTTCATTGCCAAGAGTGAGAAAAACTAAAATATCTTTGTTCTGTTTCAAATTATTGTACCTTTATGTGTCTGATTTCCTGAAATTTGTTGTTTGTTTGTTTCCATTTGGCTTTAGAGATTAACATGAGAAAGTTCATTTGCGGGGTTCATTCAAATAACTAACCTTGCCTGAAAAGTCACAGAGATTTCGGATATGGCCATCACAGACATAATAACTCTGATAATAATACAGTCACTAAATTATGATCTGAACTTGGAAATAAAAGAGAAGAAGTTGAAAGAATCCTATTTTCAAGACAATATATCTGAATATGTCCTTGCAAATGAGAACAAGAAGAAATAAAGAAACTATGATACACAGACAAGATTATTTCTAAATAGAATGCCTTTCAGCATTTACTGTGACAAGTCAGCACTTTTTTTTTTTTTTTTTTTTTGAGATGGAGTCTCGCTCTGTTGTCTGGGCTGGAGTGCAGTGGGGCGATCTCAGCTCACTGCAAGCTCCGCCTCCCAGGTTCATGCCATTCTCCCGCCTCAGCCTCCCGAGTAGCTGGGACTACAGGCACCCGCCACGATGCCCAGCTAATTTTTTTTGTATTTTTAGTAGAGACAGGGTTTCACTGTGTTAGCCAGGATGGTCTCGATCTCCTGACCTTGTGATCCGCCCACCTCAGCCTCCCAAAGTGCTGGGATTACAGGCGTGAGCCACCGTGCCCAGCCAACAAGTCAGCAACTTTTAAATAAGCACCTCACAATTTCAGAGCTGCACCTGGTTTAATTAATTACACTCGTCATTTCCTCACTGGTTGGTGCAAACCATTCCCATCTTACTATGCACTGAGAACATCAATATCATAGAGCTATAGCATTCATCCACTCATTCAATATTAACTTATTGTGTATTATTGTGCTATGTCTTTTTTAATTCATTCTCTACCCTTGCATAGTTGGAGTTGAGGGAAGGAAGGCAGAAAAGAATGGTAAGACTTGATCCTTGCCCTCTAGAGTCCTATGTTTGCAGAAATAAGATGCAGACACATGAAATGGTGAAGAAGCCATCCAAGACTGCAGGTGGCTAATGCCCAAGTGAATGGGGCAGATGCTGCTATGGGAATTCAGAAGAGGCTGGAAAAGCAGAGGAACCTCATAGAAGAAGTGGAATAAGAGTTGGACTTTGATTGGGTGCAGTGGCTCACATCTGTAATCCCAGCACTTTGGGAGGCTGAGGCGGGAGGCTGAGGTGGGAGGCTTGCTTGGGCCCAGGAGTTTGAACCAGCCCCGGCAACATAGTGAGACCCCATCTCCACAAAATAAAAAATTAGCCAGGTGTGGTGGTACACGCCTGCAGTCTCAGCTACCCAGGAAGCTAAGGTGGGAGGATTGCTTGAGCCCAAGATGTCAAGGCTGCAGTGAGCCATGATTGCACTACTGCCCTCCATCCTGGGCCAACAGAGCAAGGCACGGTCTCAAAAATAAAAAATAGAAAAAAAAAAAAAGAATTAGACTTTGAGCAATTCAAAGTCTATAAAGTCTATAAAGAGGATGTGGGAGAAGAGAGATTCTCAAAAGGAGGGAGTAATGTCCACAATTTTTGTACTTGAGACTGAGCATTGCTTACTCGTACAAACTGACAAGAGCAGGATTATATGGAAATAGCTGAGATATGGCCATTCAGGCCAGTGGAGTGGGATTCTAAAACACCTTGTATCTTCGATATACTTGTAGTATACATCAAATTATTAAAGATGACGCATTTTGATGTGACTGGTGAAGAAATTTATGATCCACACATACCCAAGAACTTGTGCATGAATGTTCACAGCAGCATTATTCATAACAGCCACAAAGTGGAAACAGCCCAAATGTCCATCAATGGATGAATGGATAAAATGTGATATATCCATGTAATGGAATAATATTTGGCAATACAAAGAAATGAAATGCTGATAAAAGCTGCAACATGGATGGATCCTGAAAACATTATGCTAAGTGAAAGAAGCCTACAAAAGGCTGTCTATTGTGTGGTTCCCAATGTACGAAATATCCAGAAGAGGCAAATGCACAAACACACCCTAGGGCTGAGAGAGTTGGAAGGAGATGGGGAGTGGCTGCTAATAGGTATGAGTTTTCTTTTTGGGGTGATTAAAATGTTCTAAATTGGTCGTGGTGATGATTGTAGTTGTACCACTCTGAATATAGTAAAACCCCTGAATTGTACACTTTAAACGGCTGAATTCCTTGGTATGTGAATTATATGCAGTGAAGCTGTTATTAAAGAAACAAACTATCAAGTGTTTACTCTAGGGAATAGGGTCTAGGATTGTAGGCGAGGAGGGAGACTAACACTACCACCAATTATTTTTACAATCAATATAGCTGAGTGTCTCATCATATTCTGGCTCTTTTAAGAATACAGACCTTTTAATTTCCAGCCGGGCACAGTGGCTCATGCCTGTAATCCTAGCACTGTGGGAGACCAAGGCGGTGGATCACCTGAGGTCAGGAGTTCAAGACCAGCCTGACCAACAAGGCGAAACCCAGTCTCTATTAAAAATACAAAAATTAGCCGTTAGCTGGGCGTGGTGATGCATGCTTGTAATCCCAGCTACTTGGGAGGCTGAGGCAGGAGAATCACTTGAACCTGGGAAATGGAGGTTGCAGTGAGCCGAGATCGTGCCACTGCACTCCAGCCTGGGCAACAGAGTCAGACTCCATCTCAAAAAAAAGAAAGAATATAGGCCTTTTAATTTCCTAAACCTGCTAACCCCCAATTTTAAATTCACTTTGATTTTTTCAAAGAAAAAAAAAGTAGAGTGGCTGGGCGTGTGTGTGTGTGTGTGTGTGTGTGTGTGTGTGTGTGTGTGTGTCCCTTGGGAATCCCTGATAAAATATATTGTGTTCAATCATTTCTGACCATTCCCTAGATTCCTCTTGATTCCTGGAGGAATTAAAGTTATTGAATTTCAATTCATTCCAACAACCATTTATTGAGTGCCCATCTTGAGGCAAGCAAGGGTAGGGTAAGGATAGGGAGATGAATAAACCAATTACATTTTATTTAAAGAAAGACATTCATACTTCAAAGTGCTTACCACCCCAAATAAGTGGACAAGAAGCTAAAAGAACAGGGAAACTAAGTGCTGTGTGCACTGTCACAAACTCTCGAGCTGACCAAGACAATAATTTGACCCAGTATTTCTCAAAGAATTTACATGAAAGTGATTTGGGGAGCGTTTGCCAAAAATATGAATCCTAAGCCTTACTCCAAACTAACTGAATCAAAGTCTCCTAAGAGGGAGGCCCCAGAAATATATATACTGTATCTATTTAACGTTAACTTCACTCTGTCCCACAAAATCCTTCCAGTCTACAACACTGAGATGGTTTGCAGTGATTATGAGGCCTGGTGTAAATAACTAAACCAGCATTTCCCTAATTGTATTCTGTAGTATACTAGTTATTCAAGTACTTAATAGGTATTCTTTAGGGAAAAAAATGGATTCTGAGATCAAGTAGGTTTGGAATATCTTGGGGTTAAATAAAATTTAATTGGTTTATTTATTGTGGAATGCTAACAGATATTAGTGGGCTACTGGGTGCTGTGAATCTTTTGAGAAAGGGACGGAGTATGGTGATTATCAAGCTTATTTGACTAGGGACCTGTTTTTTTCACATGTATCAACAGGCGCATAAATTAATGGCTAGAAACTCATCTACCACATATAAGAAGTATGAGAGACTCTGGAAAATGTTACAATCTACTTCTAAATAGAAAAAGAAATATTTAATGTAAAAGGATAATATATGGCAAGCTTCCTCTATAGTTTCCAAACATGGCATAATAGGGTATATGAGGATAGGTACAGGCCCGGAACAGATAGAGCCATAACCGATTATTTGGCAGCAAGTTCCTGGTAACCGGGAGTCCCAGCTGTCTAGAACGAAACTATTTCATGATCTTGGGATGAAGTCAGTAACTTTCTTAGCCAGAAACCAATGGCTAAAGGGTTGAGGCCTTCAATCCGGGACCTGGCTTCTAACCTGAGATCCCCAGGGTCAGTGGAAAAGATATCAGAAGAAATGGCCTAGTTTTCCAATCTCAGTGGCATCACTGTCCAACCGGTCAGTCACCTAAGCCGAAAGTGGGAGTTCCTCTTCCTTCATAAGCTAATTAGCCATTAAACCTGCTGCATTTATGACTTAAATATTTTTTCAGTTCACCTCCTCCTCTCCATCCCCACTACTGCTGCCCTAGTTCAGGCTTCCATCAGCTCACACCTGTACTATTTCCACAGCTTTTTATTTGGACTCCCTGCCTGAATTCTTCCTCTCCTCAAATCCATCTTCTACCCTGACCAATGCACAGCTGATCAAACCACTTTCCAGTTTAAAAATCTGTGAACGGCTCCCAATTACCTACTGCAAATAATTTCTCTCACAGTATGTTCTGCGAAACATCAATACAGTATGTGATCACAGAAAAAGGGCTCCTTTCAAATGGGAGGCTAGGTATTTTTAAATGTAGGTACAAAGATAACAACTACCTATCAGTGTCTGATCTGTTCCCAGTATAGCAGACAGGTCCAATAATTCCTTGGAGTCTAAGGACCTCGAGGAAGGCCCAATCAGTAATCTGGGAAATGCTTCCAAAGTCTATCAACATCCTTGATTAGAGAATCTCAGAAGTCATTTAACACAAATGCTGATAGGATAATGGACACTTTTTATACTTCTAAAGAAATGATATAGTTTATAGCCAGAGCCTGCTGAATGTCCTCATTTTCTGCCGGAAGTCAATCTGGAACTTCAAAACTATACATCTTCCATTAAATACATGGAGGTGAGGCTTTGGGTTCACAGTATCTTTGCAAGCTCTAAATTAGGAACTGGAAATTCAAATACCCTAAGAATCAGATGAATCACAGCTGACAAAATTCTGGCTGAGTTTCCAGAACAAGGTGTCCCATGCGTACCCTTCCCCCAACCTCCTCAAGACATCTTACAAAACTAGTCACTAAGTTAGACTCAAATATTCCACATTTGAGTTGGCTGCTGGCTGGCATTTTGAAAGCCAGCTTCTCTATGTAAATGCAGCACTCAAATGAAAAATGTAACAACTAGTTGTACATCTTACAGCCAGAACATATTTTAGTTAAAAGCAATATAAATCAAAACATTCATAGAATCTAGATTATGCATTTCTCATCCTTTTTCTATCTTATTTGTATCCGACTCTTTTTTTTCTTGCTCTTAAATTTTAGGGGTAAATTTACCTACTTTATATTTGGAATGTGGGAGGAACAATTTTTTAGCTATTTTTATACCTGTGTAATTTCAAAACCAAAGCAGAACAATATCATATTTATCAACATACTATTCAATCTTAATAAAGTCCTGTTATAATATCTTGCATAATTTGCATAGTTCTTTATATTGTAGCTCTGATTCAAGGAGTTTCACAGACACACATAGTTATTCAAAATATTACAGCTGAACTGATGAAAAGCACCCATAACAAATGGTAACAGTGTACTTCAGTTACAAGATCTGCCTCACCGTTCTTATAACACTGCACTCTACACTAGTAATAATTTAAGAATTTGAGTTATAAAAATTAGAAATCAATTTTAAGTAGATTATTTTAAGTCCTTAAACTGTGAAAATGAAACAATCCAAGCAGTCTTCATGTAACATGTATGCTAGCTTAGCTTTCAGAAAGCCCCTTAAGTATATTTAAAGACATATGCAGTACCTCTCTAGTGAGTGTCTCTGTATACCATATGCCAGGCACACACCCTTCCAGGAGTAAACATCTGAACCTTAGAATCTTATCAAAATAAACCACAACTGAGACTCATGGCAATCATTTTATTCCTTATTGCTGGAATTGACTCTCTCTTGTGGCCGCTGGCACAGTTCTGTAAGCATAAGGACCAGCTCTCACCACTGAGAACAGCCTGGCTTTGACCCTGCAGACACTGCTAAAAGCAAGGAGAAAATCTACTTCCCCCGAGTTCGCCTTATCTTAAGAATCATGGCTATTCAGAGAGGGGAGGTATCTGCTGGCTGGGCACATAACCACCACCATTGCGATCGGTCCCAGGGAGGGCAGTGAAGCAAAAGGCCACCATGAACATCACCAATGAGAGCACCTTCTGTTCCAGAGACTGGAGGGGCATGCTCTTACCATATCCCAGTGATGGGTTACATGTCCCAATCCTTGGCCAACTGGTCCACCAGTCAAGGGTTAGTGCTCTTTCTGCACTCAGGATTCCAGCATCTAGTGAGGGCATGAATCTACTCCCTTCCACATTTTGTAAGTCTTAGCAATGGAAAGTAAGGGCCTTCATTATATCCATCCTAATCCTGATCACAGCTTTCAGAATTCCATTAGTTTCACTTGTTTCCCCAAAAGACACTCCCAAAATTTCTAATTAAAGTATAACACATGTATAGAAATGTGCACATATCATACATGTAGATCAATGGATTTTCACATATTTTACACACCATAAAACCAGTAGCCAAAGTTGATTTTTAAATACAGACACATGGGGTCTGTTTTAGCTTGACTAAAAATGGCAAGACTTGGCCTCCAAGCTACTATCATCCATGTAAAGGAAATGCTCCTCTTAGCATTCCCACCCCTGCCCGGTCAACATATCTTTTAATAAGGAGGCTGTCATCAGAAATGTAAAAATCTCACATTGCTAATCCCTGTTCCCACCACTCCTCTCACTATTATATGTGGTGGGAATCACAACGTGATGACATTTGGAGAGATCCCAAAAATTATTCTGGCCTGGCCATGACAATGGAGCACATCTAAGACACAAGTTGGTCTCATTCGCACTTTCCTTTATCTTCTCAGTCTCCACAGAGACCTCTGGGTATTTGAAGGCAGTCATGGAAGCCCTCTTAGCTTAGCTTCTCAAGCTTTCTCCACAAAACTAACATTTAAATCTTTTATTTGCTCCTATTGCTAGACATTTTGTTGAAGTGCTGAAGGTCTTCGTCAAAGCAACAGTACAGGAATTAAAACCCAGGAGACTGATTGCAGTGAAACTATTCCCACATATGAAAGCCAACACACATCTCCAAAGGAAGACGACCAACAACAGCTCCTTCAGAGCCTCACCAGCATCTTCAGAGGTGTGCTTTAAGAATGGCTTCAGGCTGAGCGCAGTGGCTTATGGCTGTAATCTTAGCACTTTGGGAAGCCGAGGCAGGAGGACTGCTTGAGCCCAGGAGTACGAGATCAGCCTGGGCAACACAGTGAGACCCTACCTCTACAAAAAAATAAAAAATTAGCCAGGCATGATGGCATGCACCTGTAGTCCCAGCTACTCAAGAGAATGAGGTGGGAGGATCACTTCAGCCCAGGAGGTCCAAGGCTGCAGTGAGCCATGATTGCGCCACTGCTCTCCAGACTGGGCAACAGAGGAAGACCCTGTCTCAAAAAAAATAAAAAAAAGAATGTCTCCCAATTGCATGCTTTCATCAACTTGTGTGAATATACACTCAGACAATACAGTAATACAGATGGAACCAAATCACCTCTCTAAACCACCCTTCATCCTTCCCCACTCTGCTATTGCACTGCATGGCTAACCGGTAAGCTCTGCTCTTTGGCTTCTGGCTGAGTTTGGCCAAAAGGCACCCTAGCAGGGATCAGAGTAAGGGAGACTAAGATTAGGGTATTTATTCTCTGGCTTCCTCCTTGTGGGATGCTTCAAAGCTGGCTGTATCCATCCACAGGGAAAGCTGCATCCTTCTCAAGGTAGCTTTCTGGATGCAACTCAGTCCTCCCAGGTTCCTATAACCACACCCTTTCTGGGAATGCACTTACTAGCCATGGGGGTACAGCACTATCCCTTGTGGTTTCCTTGCACCCTACCAATACCTTTTCATTTTATTAAACCCTCTCAATTTATCCTAATTTGAGCATGTTGTCAGGGACACTCTCTCCACCCCCACCCCCAGAACTTACAGTTCCTCGTACCTTTTACAAATACTGCTGTTCCTTTTACCTTTTAAAAAATATTGCTACTGAATCATGCAAATGTTTCTTTGAATTGGAAGCTCATGGAGATGAATCATAAATGAGAAAGGCAGAGAATAAAAATGAAATTCGGATGCTCATGGCTAAGGCCAAACGTAGCAGTAACTTGCAACTGTCATCAAGACCTGCATACAAATCATGAGAACACTAACATTTCCCTAAAACACAAAACGTCTTTGTGACATTCTCTAGCATTGAAATTTTATGTTCATTTAAGTTTTATGGGTGTATTATCATTCTAATCCATCAGCGACTTGGGACTTCAAACCATATCATAAAGCAACATCAAACAAACGCTTGAAAGAAATTGGGAAGCAAATCTGGTCTACAAGTAGATAAAGTTCTCACCATTTGGGTCAGAGAGCAATCCAATCTCTGTTTTGGAGATTCTCCCAACTCCCAACTGTTTTGTAAGCTGTCAAAAACCATACAAATTATACGATTATACCACTCTTCAGGTTTATTCCAGTTTTTTATAGTACTAACCTTGGAATTTGGCATCCTAAAAAGAATATTGCTCTAGAAAGAAACGTGGGCTGGGCGCGGTGGCTCACGTCTGTAATCCCAGTACTTTGGGAGGCCAATGCGGGCAGATCACAAGGTCAGGAGATCGAGACCATCCTGGCTAACACAGTGAAACCCTGTCTCTACTAAAAATACAAAAAATTAGCCAGGCGTGGTGACGGGCACCTGTAGTCCCAGCTACATGGGAGGCTGAGGCAGGAGAATGGCGTGAACCTGGGAGACGGAGCTTGTAGTGAGCCGAGATTGCGCCACTGCACTCCAGCCTGGGTGACAGAGAAAGACACCGTCTCAAAAAAAAAAAAAAAAAAAAAAATGTGAGGAAGGCTCTAGGTCCACTTCTACTACAGATTGCGTCATTCTAAACAAGTGGCCTAATCTCTCTGGGCCTCAACTGTTTCATCTTTGATATGATGAGGGCATATGGAACTTCCCAAGTTTTTGTGTGTTATTTTTAAACCAAAACAAATTATCACAACAGAGAGTAAATAAATTCTTCCTATAGAATCTGGAGGTCATATCCTAAAGTTGCTCTCCACAATCAAGAAACTTCTTTGAAGTCTTACATTTCAAGTTAAAAAGGTTGAACTAAATTGGTTTTTTTCTGAACCAAAAAAGAATGTATAATGTAAAAATGTTTTACAATGCTCACCAATATATATACGTCTTAAAATGTGTTAATCCTTTGATCCAGTAATTTTGCTTCTAAGAAGCTGTTTTGGAGAAATGCTCCATGTGTACACAATGATTCATGTAAAAGAATGTTGGGCCAGGTGCGGTGGTTTACGCCTGTAATCCCAGCACTTTGGGAGGCCGAGGCAGGTGGATTACCTGAGGTCAGGAGTTCGAGACCAGCCTGGCCAACATGGTGAAACTCCCGTCTCTACTAAAAATACAAAAATTAGCTGGGCATGGTGGCACACACCTGTAATCCCAGCTACTCAGGAGGCTGAGGCAGGAGAATTGCTTGAGCCCGGGAGACGGAGGTTGCAGCGAGCCAAGATCGTGCCACTGCACTCCAACCTGGCCAGAGCAAGACTCTGTCTCACAGAAAAAAAAAAAAAAAAAAAAAGAATGTTAACTGTAGCATTTAACTGTAGGACTGAAAAATGAAAAATAGTCTAAATCTCTATCAGTGGGAAAAATTCATCATGGCTAAACCACGCTGCACAGCAATTATGTCACTTTTTATTAAGAAGAATCCATTGATATGAAAAAAAATCCACAGTACATTTTCAGGTAAAGAAAGCAAGTCAGAATAATAATATTTATTATGATCTTATGTGCATTTTTAAAGATTACAAATATGACACGTTTGCTTGTAAGTACATTTTTCTAAATATTCCTGTTTGTCAATGCATAGAAATGGATATCCACTGAATTGTTAAGAATGGCTACCAGTGGGGAGGACAGCAGATTAGGATGTCATCAAGGAAGACTTATTTTTTACAGTCTATGGTTTTGTATTGTTTAAAGATTTTTCCCCCAAATATTCCCATTTCACTGAATTTGAGATATCAATATTTTTAAGATTCAACATTAGATTATGTACCACTAAGGGGAAAAAGCTGCCAATATAACTGCAAGACAACATTAGTTTTAAGATGTAGCCCTGTGTTAGACATGTTAAACATGGGAGGAAAAGTGTGCCCTTGGATCAATAAAGTACAAAATATGACTTTAGGGATATGACAATACAGAAAAATACCGCCATTGGCACTCTAGGAATATGCATTATGTTTTACGTACCAAATTTTTGGGTTTTAGTTAACTAAATATGAAATGTGACTATCATGTGGTCTTTTCTTTTTGAAATCTAATGTCTACCCAGCCTTCCTTGATCTGTGTGCTTTCATTCCTTACCCTGCTCTGCAATATCCTAGCACTTCACAAAGGGCCCTGTGCATCATAATTAAATTTTCTGTGCTCCCTACCTTATCAACTTCACCTTGGTTCCGTTCCTATATTCGAAGCGTTAACAACATGATCAAGTGAGATGATTTGAAAATTTGATCAACAGGTTCTTAATTCTATCACTTGGATCAATAGAACCATTGAATCAAGTAAACCCCAAGACATTAATCTCCAGGACATCATTTGAAGTTAGATGATATTAAGCTATCAATAATAACTCTTTGGAAATAAGCTAGGGAACTAATCTGTTTATGCACTAACCATTTTAGCATGACATTCGCCATAGTTTTCTAGCTTGACAAATACTTGCCTCCAGCCCTTACTTCATGCGAACATTATTTAAAGGGATGTTTGAGAGATTGGGCTCAAGTCAGGACTGACTTTTTCTCTCTCATCTTTGCATCCTTTCACTTTATCATAGAGGGAACTTAACCAGGTGAGGCACAATTATTCCTTTTAAAAGTAATGAATGACTTTTAAAATTAATGACTGTCTCCTAGAATTGATTGTATTCCTGGGGTTTTTCAACTGATGAATTATTGGTTTTAGGACATCCCAAAGGATAATAATAATGAGCTGAAGAAAATTCTGTAAAGCAAGAAAACACTGAACAACAAATATTCTTGATGATTAAGCAGGATAATCACAAAACAATAATTTAAAATATTTTTATATCAATACTCTGGTAGTGTAGAGCTCAGATACCTTAGCCAAGAAGGAAAAATAATTTAAAGCAGAATTACCTTTCCTCAATCATTAGTAAGAGTTAGGAGAAATTTACTTCTCAGAAAGCTTTTGCTTTTGATTTTTTTTTTTAGAGATGAGACTCAAGTGTTTCCAAGCTCAAATCACTGTGGGCTGGAAGTGCACCATGGGTATTGGCAAGCGAACAAGCAATAGACAAAGCATCCTTTTTGGCTTCTAGAATTAAAAGTCTTAAATAAAACATTTTCCTTTTCAAACATCTACTCTACTCAAAGATATGTACCACATATACCTGCTTCCTTCAAAGATTCTGAATAGGCCAAACATCCAGACTCAAGGTCCGAACACTGATACCTTACTCAGTATGTACAAAACACCGTGGTAATTGATCATTTTAAAAAGCAAATGGCATATGGTGACATTTTTATCTTAATTGAAGAAACTGCTTATCAGCAAAAAGTACAAAATTTTGCATGTGAAGAAACCTTAGAAAATGATCTACTCAAATGTCTTCATTTTATACGAGGGAAAAACTGAGGATTACAGAGTCAGAGATTAAGTGACTTGCCCATGGTCACTGTTAAGAAGTGGCAAAGACCAAGATTCCCAACTCCCAGCGTTCTTTCTTTCTTTCTTTTTCTTTTATTTATTTATTTTTTAAGATGGAGTTTTGCTTTTGTCACCCAGGCTGGAGTGTAATGGCGTGATCTTGGCTCACTGCAATCTCTGCCTCCCAGGGTTCAAGTGATTCTCCTGCCTCAGTCTCCTGGGTACCTGGGATTACAGGCACCCACCACCACGCCCAACTAATTTTTATATTTTTAGTACAGATGGGGTTTCACCATCTTGGCCAGGCTGGTCTCAAACTCCTGACCTCACGATCCACCCACCTCAGCCTTCCAAAGTGCTGGGATTACAGGTGTGAGCCACTGCGCCCAGCCTCCCAGCATTATTTCAATTACACTTTACCACATGCTTTTCTAAAACAAAATACAATGAACTAATCATAAGGCCTTTGGGGATTACTGAATTCTTTCACCTGTCAACCACTATAAGATTGTTGGAAATCACTGTCAAAAACCATGCAAGGGCTCTGAAAATAAACCAAAAAACTTGGTGGGACTATCAGAACCTATAGAAGGAGGAGCATATTTAGTTACTGAAACTGTAAGTATATTCATTATATGTATAACAATAATGGCAGATAATATATATCTGATTTTAAGGGCTTTATACACATTAACTAACTTAATCTTCAAAACCACCCAAAAAGTAAGTTCTATCATTATTGACAGGGATGAGGAAACCAAGGCACAGAAAGTTTAAGAAATATGCCCATGGCCACAAAGTAGGAAAGGGAAAGTCAGGATTCAACCCCTGGCAATATGGCGCTGTCTCCACATTTTTTTTTTTTTTTTTTTTTTTTTTGAGACAGGGTCTCATTCTGTCACCAAGCCTGAAGTGCAGTGGCATGATCAGGCCTCACTGAAGCCTCAACCTCCTGGGCTCAAGCGATCCTCCTGCCTCAGCTTCCTGAGTAGCTAGGACTACAGGTACATGCCACCATGCCCCACTAATTTTTTTTATTTTTATTTTTTTGCAAAGATGGGGTTTTGCCATGTTGCCCAGACTGGTCTCAAACTCCTGAGCTCAAGCAATCTGCCCATCTGTGCCTCCTAAAGTGCTGAGATTACAGGTGTGAGCCACCGCGCCTGGTCTGTCTCCACTTTCAATCATGACACTATTATACTACAACATTTTTTCATAATACAAAGTACAAAAAGTAAAATAGAAATTTTCCTGGCTGATAGATATGCCCAATAGAAGGCAAAATTTTTTAAGTCTTATGGAGATTTAAAAAGATCTAGAAACAATTTCAACTACAACCTTATCACTCACCAAACTTTTCAACAAAGCTGCCAATAGAGTAATAACGTAGAAGGTCAGAATCTTTTTCCTATATGATGCTCAGGCTAAAAAGAAAAGGGAGATTAAGGAATAACAGGCATAAGAAAGGCAAAATAAGAGAACTGTTGTTTTTTTTTTTCCACAAACTACACAGACAAGCTCCTGAGTAATTGACAGTTGCCAATCTCCATGTCTGAGTGGATACCTTGGATCAACTCCTCTGAATGAAAAGGCTAAAAGCAAATTCAAAACATCCTGTTTTAAATATAAGACTTTTCAATATTTCTCATGACAGACACAAAAGAAAAAAAAGGACACAGGAAGTACTGATAATGTGGCACCATTTAAAAAGAGAGGAAAATATTTATAACTAAAACTATATAGTTATGTTATAAAAGAATATAAAATGTAGAGCAAGAGCAAGTATTGGTCTATTTAGATGTCAAAAATTGTCACGTGAGCTATCTGGGCTACCTTCTTTTGGCATACCAATACATGCTGTAAAAATAGCCACACAGTTTTATCTTAGACTCACGCCCTTCAAAGTCTTAAAAAGCTCAAAGTTGTCATTATTTTATATGAACTGTAAGCTCCTTTAGGTTTTACACACTAAGTTGTTCTGAGGGCAGGGCGCTAGCTTTACACGGCAGTGCCCCAGCCTCCTGTGAGAACTCGGGGATCCACCCAATGAATGTATTTTTTCTAGTGTGGCAGGTTACAGCTGTTGCTGTTTTCACAGCCGCCAGAGCCTGATGCAAACACATGAAAGGCCCCTAAATCAGCCGATGTAGATGAGAACACAGAGCCTATATCTGTAGCGCTTCCTTGGTACAATTTTTAACTTAATGTTATGGATATCTGAGTTCATGGCTTCATGATTATTTTAAAGGACAAGTGGGAGAGGGAAGAGAAGAGAATGAACGATGATAACCAGTCCAGTTATATCCTCTTGTCCTCCTTAAGTGGCCTTGTTCACCTGGGTAAGAGACGGTAAAGGGGAGACAGTGACCAGAATGGGAGAACTGTTGACATAGAAATAAGGTCCAAGCTGAACCCCACAGAAAGAGAAGAGCTAAGGTAATGGGAAGCCTCCCCACCTTCACCCTAAAATAATGATTTTTCACGGTTATTGCTGACCCTTTTACAGAATGTCTTGCACCACAGAATAATGGAATGTCCATTGAGTACATACAAAGGGAGTCACAGGGCCATATTCTAAAATCCTGGATTGACTCATCATAATCTAATAATAATAATAACAGCAGCAGAAAAGGAGACATGGAAGTACCTGGCGAGGATTGATCCGAATTCTTGCCTCTGTGACTCAAAAATAGAAAATTAACAAGAAAGCAGCAAGATTGACAAGCTGGAACAGCAAATTCATGGGATCTGATCGATTCAAGGAATTTCTCTCTTTGGCTCCATGCCAATTATATCTAGAAATAATTTCAATATATATTTTAGAAAACCATCATTGCTGATTGAAGAGAAAGCCCTGTTTGTCATTTACTTAACACACCCCTAGCCAAACACCAACACAGCTCAGCTGAGTAAAACAACTTGATTTTTCTCAGTCAAATTCCCTACACAAACCAGGAGCAACATTTGGTTTTCTTCTGTGGTCAGAGATGCCAACATCCAGTCCTTGGATTCTCTTACAGATCAGTCCTCATTCTCTATAAATAGGCCAGAAAGACTTTTTGACTCCAGAAGAGATGCTCTGATCCACCAAACCATAGAGACCTCTGGCCTTCTTGTTTCCAAAAGAAATCTAATCCTTAAATCCCTAAAGTGTCTTCTGAAGGCCCCTAAACATATAAATCCTTCTGTCTGAAGTTTATCCGCCTCCCTAGCAAGCACAAGGATATATCTTCATATTTAAAATAACTTTACTATATCTTTGAAAGGAGCAATCCTTTATTCTCTTGAGGCTGCTTTGCCTTTCAACTCTCTTGGGTATCTTTGTTCACATCAAAAGCAGCTAATTTTCCATCTCCAAAAGCTCCACAGTAGACATCTCCCACTTAGCATTAACCATCAATTAGCGATGCATGGAACATATCTGTATATGAATGTAGGTGAAGGTACCAGGGTGAACAGTACGCATGCATGCAGAGGTGCACAGACATTGAGACAAACATACATAGTTCCACAGCTTATAGAAAATAAATAGTTTAACACAAAGCTATTCTTATAATAATGTGTACGTACATGTAAATTTAAGTATGTGCTTTTATATATACACTCAGATATTGTTATACATACATATTAAGTTTGTAAAATTTACTTTGCTGTAACTTTTACATACATAAAATTTCTAACAGTATTAATCAATATATTATGATTCCTTTCTATGATTGAAAACACTTAAAGACTATATTTTCCTCTCTGGAAATTGCCCTGAATGATGATCTGATCATCTTTTTCACAGGAAAAGATCAGGTCCCTCTTTCTAAATGCTTTAGAATTTAAGCATTTGGAAATGGAAGCAATTGTGTCAGAGAAATGAACTATTACTCCTATGTGCAACTAACCCCGGCATCACCGTACAATATACCCTAAGAATCCGTATTTCAAGCTACTCACAATTCCAGAAGGTCCATGTAGGAGCTTTAAATTTTGCAAAGTGTCTCCTGTGCAGGCCAGTTCTAGTCCTAGTATGCTCAACATTTTCTCAAGTAAGAACAGCATTTGACAGAATAGGGTGCAACACACAGTAGCAGGTTGAGACTGACCTATTTACATATATGTGGATTGATCATCTGAAAGGGTGTGTAGCAATATATTAACAATGACTATTTCTGGGTGGTAGGTTTTTGGTAACTTTCTCTGCTGCGTCCATGGATCCCCATAAGAACATCCCTCGGTTTGTGTAATAAACCTGATGAATGAAAAAATAAATCTATTTCCAGAATAATTCCACAAACATCAAAATACACAATGAATCCATTTATGAAATACACGTACACACTAAAGAGCAGGTCTAATGAAATCTACTGCAAATCAGATGAAAACACATAGTATAGTGTACATGGGGGGCTCAGTCCATGAAAAAAATCTTGGCCACTAGAACTTGTATTAACACACAGTGGGGACAGTGAAGGTAGAATAGGCAGCTCTTATATAGCAGCTAATGTAGGAAGAGTCGATGTGCATGATCCACTGGAACCAGCCTGGGCTAGGTATGGGTTCATCTGGAAGCACACACTCCATCATCTATGTCAAGGTAATACAAGAAGTAAGGTGACGTTCTGTGTGAAATCTCCTATTCGGAAGTGGGGCCCTGCTGTGGGGCACTGAATGATCTTTTGCACTTCCTTGTAATCCAGATTCTTAACTACCCTCCTGGACACCAAAGCAGAAGTTAATGGACTTGCCCAAAAAGGCTCCACAGGACTCAAGAATCTAAAATGTCCAGCCTGGGCGACAGAGCGAGACTCCGTCTCAAAAAAAAAAAAAAAAAGAATCTAAAATGCCTGACTCAAGTGTGTTTCGGCATGTTTCTTTTTCCTCTCTCTTCACATATAGAGTATGTGAAACACGGAGGTTACAAACTAAAATCTAGGGCACTGGGAGCATAACATCTACTTTTGGACCAAACTCTTAAGAAAGCCTTGCATCACAGTACCAACATCTCTCTCCTACTGTGGGGATGTGAGGTGCTAACAGTGTATAATAATGGTTTACTCTTATTCGGAATAAAATTGTCCCTAGGCAAGATGATCTTATTACAAGCTTACTGTGTGAAAACATTGAAAATAATCACTTATCACAAGTTAACCCCCACACACCCCACAAAGACATTTTCAACAGCACAGAACGGTAGGACATATGCGGATGGTTCCCCAACCCCCACCCCCAACCGAAGTGCCGTACTCAGCTTTTAGTGCCTATATATTCTCGGACTGCAGCTAGCCATCTGAGAAAAGCCTTTCCACGCCTATCCACCAGACCTGTTCCGAGAGCTCTGCTTCCATCTGGACAACCCCCCACACTTACAGCCATAAATGCATTGGCACTGAGAAAGACTGCTGAGGAGGTGGCACTCCAGGTGTGGCTTTATGTGTCACTTCACCAGGTCAGCTATTTAGGCCTAGTCTTCTCCATTGGCTTGAAGCTCTGTTCACACCATCTTGGGTAACACATCACATTATTCTTCCTTATAAAAACAAATAAACTCAAATGAGCATTCAGAGTCAGTTCACCCCTCCGAACATCTCTCTCTTCCCCTGATTTATGTGACACGGTTTCAATCCCGCCCACCTGAAAGCCTCCCATACTCTCAACTGAGGATTGGCCAGATGCCCAACTCCACTCCTCATGTTTCCCACCTTCCTCACCTCCACAGATGTGCACAGCCCGGAGGATCTCAGCCTGCTGGCCACCACTGAGTCACCAGGAGTACAGCACTGCAGTACCTAGCACTACCCGCCATCAACTACTGCCACCGAGTCAAGTCACTGCACTCTTCACTTCCCATCTTACAGAAAAACTCAGCTGTCCTGTGACACTGGACCCAAAGGCAAAAAAAAAAAAAAAAAAAAATGTTTTCATACTTATAATGGCTCCCCTCTGAACCAGTGCATCTGAAATGTATACAGTTCTGGAGAACAAGGAGCTGGATTTATTAGTTCCTAGCCAACTCTTCACAGCAGCCAGTTTCTACAGGCATTTCTAAAATGACTCCAGTCCACTTCGGTGCAATTCACTGCCTGCCCAAGTTTAAAATCAATGGCCGAAAATAAAACTTACAATTCACAAGGCATCATAGGTTTCATAACTGAGTGAGCAGAGAAGGGGTAGAAGAAGTGATCAGGCCTTCTGAAGAAACCAGCCCAGGAAGCTGGCTTACTGAACTCCTGTAATTGCCTTTGCCATTCCCCCACCCCACCTGCAAGTGTGGACCTTCTTGATTTCAGCCACCAATGTTTCAGACTACAGTCCCTTACAATACACTGACAGTCTGATCATTTATGAGCACGTTGGGCAACACGCAGAGAGACTTTGCGGAAACAGAGTTAGAGTTAGAGAAAACACACAGACAGGAAGGAAAAATGGAATGCCTTAACAGAACTGAGGATTTCTATCTTTCATGGATAGCACATCATTAGACATATACGTCTGCATTGACGTATACCACAGGGTTTTTTTTTGTTTTTTGTTTTTTTTTTGTTATAACCTGTTTATTTGGTGGTTTAGCCAGAGAATCTTATATAACACACTCCTGTTTCAAATGTAGCAACATGTATTGGCACTGCACTCACATAAAATTCAGACTCCCCACAGCACTTCCCATTAACCACCCCCAGCCATTCTACCTTGCGAGGTTTCTGTGTATTGATGAAAAAAATAGGAACTACCACCAGCAAGAGTCAAAAGAAAGATTCAATTATCAGCTTTACCTTATATTTAAAAGCTAGCACTCTATGGTATGATTTCAGGGATTTCAGGAAATTATTTCACCCTGATTTTAACAGATTGCATGAGCCTGACCTAGGGGGGAGAAGGAGTCCAGTTCTCTAACCCAAAACACACGTGAGTCTGCTTCGCTCTTCCAAGGTAGAGTATAGGAACACTGCCCACTGCCTCTGCACTGGATTGCTGTATGGCCACAAGCCTAGCATCTGATTTCCTTAACAAAGAAGCAGTATATCTGCACTGCTTGTTTGGCCAGAAAGCACATAATAATACAGCCACAGCTTAGGAACTTCCATTCATGCTAGCTCAACAAACAATGTGTATTATATAATGAATGAGGCTTTTCTATGAACCCTGCTATTGGAAAACATAGGCACTTTCTGCATAGTTTAAACCAGTCTGCAAGGAGCAGTTACCCCTGGTGAGATCAAACGTGGACCCGGTAATGTATAAATTCAAACAGCCTACACTCTTGAATGCTTTGCCATCACCCTAATTTCTTTTTTGCTTGACAATAAATAATTTTAGTTACCTATAAACTACACAGAGAACATTTACACAGCAGCCAGCAAGCCCCAGAATGATGTTAGCTTTCTGCTCCATGTTCCCTGCGTTGCCTAAGAAATAAGAAGCGGGGGGGTGGAGGGGATAGTGGGAGGAGGAAGAGGAGGGGAGAGGGAATTAGCTATCTATGAAAATACTTACAGCCTCCGAGTCTTCAATTCCATGCAGGTACAAATTGTCATACATGGAGGTGTGATAATCCAGAGCACCTCTTTCAAGGCAAAAACAAAATTGCTGCAGAAACCACAGCTACAGCTTAAAGAGAAAAGGCCTGTTTGGGAGAACTGCGCCTGCCTTATCAATTCCTGTGGATTTACCAGGCAAGATGCTATTCATTCACATCCCACAGGGTGAGGTTATCCCCAGAGGCAGTCCAGACCTGGCATTTTATCTGCCTTCCCAATACAGAGCACAAAAAGCAAAACCCTTCCTCAACCACAGACTGGTGACTGAGCTAGGAAAGCGGCCTCTGATTGGCTCGGCTTCCCTGCTTCAGTCAGCTGAAGAGCGTTCCCTCGGAGAGTGGAGGGCGCCTCGGAGCATCCTACCCAGCAAAGAGCTGCTTCCTGTTTCGCCTGTATTGTTAGTTCTACAATAAACACTTATCAATATCCAAAAGGCTGCGTGGAATGTTTGGAAAGGCAAACTATTGAATACTCCAAACACAACTGCTCATCTTCTTAATTAAATTCACAATTGGAGAAGGGAGCAAAGGAAAGATTTTATTTTCAGAGAATATCATGTAAAGACAGGTAAACAGATACTAATCTCATCCAACATCTGTACTTAACAGATGCATTTAAGTCAAAAGGGCAATGAGTCATAAAAAAAATCTTTACACCCAATGTGAAGAAAAAAATGACTAGAATAAACAGATGGTAAGATTTCTTGTGGGAATTTCTATAGTAAAAGTTTTCAATATTCTCGTTGAAGTCTCTCTGCCTCACTGGCAAGAAAAGAGCTCTGTGTCCCAACTGGTGAAGTTTGAAAAGGAAGCCAAAAACTTCTCAACTTTTAGATGTGAAATGTTTAATGCTCTTTAGTTGAATGTTTTTAAATCAACTTTAAGCAACAGCCAATGTCTTCACGTAAATTCTTCATCCCCTTCCCATGCACAAATCTTTAATAATCCTGAAGTGGCATTGGTCTTTTCCCCAAAACCCAAATAGAAACGTCAGACTCCCTCCACCTGCTGCTCCACACCGCAACTCAGGTGACCTAGGACAGGTCCCACATTGCAGCAGCCTGGGATGAGTTTCTCTAGGTACTTAGAACTTTCTGGTCAACCAAAAAAAAAAAAAAAAAAAGCTGCAGCTTTGAAACAGGAGAGCTTTATGGCCCACTCTAAAAGTAGCCAGCTAAATTCAGGAGGACAAAGAAGCTGGTGAGGAGCACAGAACATATTTTAGAGAAGCTGCATGACTGACTGGGTAAGTAATGACCCAGAAACTCAGAGGCTCTAAGTCCCCTGTATCAGCTTTGCCACTAATTGGTCAGATGACTCTGGACCAGTCAGTCACCATCTTGATGGGCTCTGGTTTCTTCACCCGCCAAAATGAGGTAAGAAATAACTTAGGGAAAGAACTCTGCAAATCTAAAGTGCAACATAAACACTTACCATTGAGAAGCTGCTTTGTCAGCTGGAAGGCACTGGCTGCAGTTCATGGGAGCTCAGCACAAGAGTAACTGGCTGGCCCTGGATCTAGGAAAGGAGGCCTGTCCTTCCAGCCAGTATCTCTGAAAAGCGTAACTCTTAAAGGAACAAACCTGAGTCAAAATAATAACACAACAGCTACAACAGCTGAGCAGAGCATAGTTCTTCCAGGTCTGTGCTGACCCGTTCATGTCTTTCAATCACAGTCGCACATCTTGGGAGTGGCATCAATACCTAGTCCACTGTCAAATATAAATGATAGCAAGAAGATATTGCTGTCCTTCAGAATCCTAAAATGGT
Source organism: Homo sapiens (assembly GCF_000001405.40). Taxonomy (NCBI): domain Eukaryota; kingdom Metazoa; phylum Chordata; class Mammalia; order Primates; family Hominidae; genus Homo; species Homo sapiens. Next base: position 151,975,482 of record NC_000002.12, read on the forward strand.
AGGGTTTGAACAGATTGTCACCTCTGAGATTGTGCCCCCATGGAGGGAGGACAGCAGCAGGGGATGAGTGCAGTCAACGGGATTCCATAGAGAGAAACCCAGTGCTGGCTCTACCTGTCGACAAGGATGCATGTTGGAGAAAGTCCCTGGCCACGTGGAACCTCGGTTCCCTCCCCCATACACCAAGAGGACCAGATCAAAGGGCTGCTGTGCTCAAATTCATGTGTCAGACTCTTATTTTAATTATTAACTCTCTAATTACAGCCATACGGTATTTCAACCAGAATCAACAGAAAACTGAGACAAGAGGTTCTTTTTTTCTCTTAAATTCTCCAGATCATTTCCCGACTTTACCACTTCAATTGCAAGTATAGATATTCCCCGATTGTGTTAAAATGGACATCTAAATTAAGGGGAGAAGACAGAGGCAGCCCACTTTCACAATTCACCAAGATGAGACAAATTGTTCCCAACTGGATAAACTGTACATAGCTCGGCTCTTCTGTGGATGGCTGCCGTGGAGCGCTCCCTATAGCCAATGTGAGGGCCTAAAGGAAGTTTTAAAGAGCAGGGGCGCACTTTACGGTACCCTAATGCATGCAGTCAGCGAGTCTGACCAGGGAGGGATGTTAGCAGGGAGGCACTGGATCACATATAGCAGCCTGTGGTTGCTCCTGCACCCAACCCCTCTAACTAAGAATAGATGTGAAGGGGCAGGCTCTGCCTGCTTTCCAGGAAGTCAGAAATGTGCTGGACTCAGAATCATAAACTGTAAGAGGTGGGAAAACACCAGGAGTTGCCTTATCTGGCCTTTTAGTGCCTACAAAGGTTCAATTACTTTATTCAAAGCCATATGTTCTATACTGGAGTGTTCCTTCCCCCACTTCCTCCGTGATAAGAGTTTTCAAGATGAGGGGCAGTAGGCGTGTTCCCAAGAGGAATTTGGTGAAATAGAGAGAAGTCACTTTTTTGGGGAAATTCCTATTTTTCCCACGCCTTCCATTCTAAAAAATTATCCCATCAGAAGTCATTTTGTTCACCCACAGCTGATAACTAAAAATCAGATCACAGGTTGGGGAGTCTTCCCCTAGGGTCTGGATCTACACAGAATCAGCACCACACCTGTGAGTCACCTAAGGGTTTCAACCCAATACTCGGGCTGATCCCAGAGTTCCAGAGGAACCCCAGTGAGACGCTCAGCTCTGAACCTCCCCAGAGGAACTCTAAGGAGTTCCAGAAAAGTGAGCTCAGAACTCTAGAAAGATCTTAGAACTGACTATCTCTGCCCCAAGATTCTCTAAACTGAGACCAGGCTGAGAAGTAGTGAGACGTCCCTGGGAGCTTCCCGAGCCTGTTTCAGATCAGCTCCAGTCCCCAGCTTTTAGTAAAAGGGTCTATGGATTCCAGCAAGTTCAAGTTCCTAGGGCCAAATTTCACACTTCACTGCAGCAGGTAGTGAAAAGCAACCAAGACACTGGCACCTTCTTGGTTTTGACTTTAACAGTTCTCCAGCTGAATGATGGTCAAGAAGATGAAAGAGAAACCACCCCGTTTCTGGCCTACTTCTCCCACCTGAGGTTACAGTGAGAACAAGTTTGAAAACCTTGGGGCTCATCTTGTGCTGGTGCTTCCCAGGAACCCACCTACCTCTCATTACTGAGTAGCCTCCAAAACTGCATAGCCTCAAGGAGGCTGCCTCTGATTCTGAGAATGCCCTGTTAAATGTGTTTCTGACTCAACTCTTTTCCAGTTATCTCTCATTATGATCAACAGTTCAAAGTCAAAAAAAGCCCTATGAAAAAGCATCATCTCTATGATTCTGTTTATAAATGCCACGTGATTCATGATGGGGAAGGTATCCTTGCAATTTGACAAATGCCTCCACTGAGCTAAATTAAGTGGAGGAAATGGCATGTCCCTCAACAAATTAGGACAGCTCTATTTTGTATCACAAGGACACATTATTTTCAGTTCTTTTTCATGGGCTTCAAACTTAGGGATATTAAGTCCCTTTTCCTTACCCGTGCTGGGCTTTATCATAGAGTGAACCCATGAAATTGACAGTAGAGTACAAAGGACAGGTATTTCTGTTTTCCACTTGTTTGGACAGAGAGAAGAAGGAGAGAAAAGCCAAAGTGAGAAGATTAGCTATTAGCTATGAGATTTAAATAGCCATGATCAAGACAAACTGGTGCAGATTTAGAAGCAAAAGGCAATTCTGATTCTAATTTTCCACCTAAATTTCTCGGGAATTTAACTTTTCAAAGCCAGTGTAGTTATGCGTTCTATAGCAGAACTGCAAGAACTCAGAGAAGAGACAAAGGAATAATGTTGGGACTCAGCCAAGGCTAGCCCTCCTGTTGGCTCCACGGGCTAGAACACAAGCCCAAGGTCTCTGTTTGCCAATTCAGCCTTGGGAATTATTTTGTTGTTTGTTTTTGTTTAAATTTTACTAAGTGACTACAGTGTGCTAGATGAATTTTCTCATCTTCTGCTCTGCAAGTAATAGTACTCCACTCCTTTGCCTCTAGAAATCTGTGTGGCATTGCAAGAATGAATATCATAACCCTGTTTCCTCCCTGGAGCCCATCAGATAGGTGGTAGCAACAGGGCAGACAAGGGAATGAAAACAAAACAAACAAACAAAAAAACTACAGACAACAGATTCCACTTCTATTAGTCCTCTGCTGTAGTTCTCTGAGGCGGAGCTCAGCTTACCAACTAGGCAGGCATGTCCAGAGTCTCTCCAGGCCCCATGAAGACCATGGAGATAATAGTTTTGAAATTAATGAGTTAAGATATGAAAGATACATAGGAGGCAGTGTGGAAGAATTGGCCTTTTTAATTTTTTTAAGGGAAGAAGTATGGAATCAGGGCAGCCCACATTGCCCAGCTCCAAGGGCCCCATGCACCCCATGTGAATGGTCCTCCCTGTGATATGTAACAAGAATACCATGAAGCAAAGTGCTTATGAGCAGGGACCCTGGAGCCAGACTGCCTGCATATCCCAGCTGTGCCACTTCCCAGCAGGGTAACGCTCAGTAAGCTACTCTACCTTCCTGTGCCTCCATTTCCTCACTTACAAAATGAGGATTCTATCAAGAAGATTGTGCAAATTAAAAGCCTTGGTCTAATAAAACGTTCGGATGGGTACCTGGCACCAACTGTGCTCCACAAGCAAGCACAGGGCTGCTATGGTAGTTCTCATCATTCTCCGCCTGGGTTCTGGCCTAAAGCCCTGATGCCCTTGCCTCTAGGGTGGGATTGCTAAACCTTGCCCCTGATGCCGGCCTGGTCCTCTCAATCCCACCAGAGTCTCAGGTCTCAGCCGCCAGAGCTGAGCCCAGCCTCCTGCTGCCCTCATACCTTCATGCCAGCTCCTGCCGGCAGCCTACCTGCTCTATCTGGCCAGGCTGACTGCTCCTCGTGCCAAGGCTGTCATGCTTGCCCAGACCTCCTCCACCTAGTGACAGCACCCCCGCCCTCAGCCACCCCACTGAACGCTGTGTGTTTCCTCTGTACCTGGGTGTACCCAGCGCTCTCCCACTGGCCTCCTCAATTGTCTGGAATCTTGCTCCATCATCCCCACCAGCCACTCCTGGACCACCCCACCCTGTCACAAAACACTGCCCAGAAGACCGTCCTCATGAAAATCCTGTAACAAATGCTACTGCTGGTTCATGCCAAAGAGGCAAAAGAAGAGGAAGAACAGCAGAGAGAAACAAGCGGAGACAGGGATAAAGAGGCAGAGACAGAAAACCCTAGAGACGTGCAGAGGAAAAGTGAATATATGGACTAGCTCCCCTCCTCCCTGCCATTCTTGATGGCTTCAGGAAAAATAATACTTCATAATTCATAAGAGAGTGAGTGTAGGCAAGGTAAAAAAAATTCCCATGGCCTATTCAACTTGCCAGAAAATGACAGATCCCTCTCTGTGATTGACTTATTACTCAGAAAGCTCTTTCTAAAATTTCAGTTAAAAAAAAAAAAAAGAGCCAATCTCTTAGAAAACACATTCCATAAAGCCACAATTTTCATGAATGCTACCCAACTTTACTTTCCACTATTCTCCAAAATGAATCTAGGAGATTAGTTCAGCTGGTCACCTTCCCATTGCCTATATATTGTTTAGCTGATATTATTATCAGTGCTGATCTACCAATTACAGCTTCGAATTGTTGACTGGTCCACACTACTGGAGAGACTGGAATGTGAAGATCAATGAGAAATGATGGCATCTCCCTGGGGACAGACAGGGATGGCGTGGCAGCAACACTGAAGATCCTGAAGACAGAAATTGAACCAAGGAGATGGTTGCAATCAAAGCTCTCACATTTTGAGAAGCTCTGATGAGAGCCAGAGAGTAATTTGATTCCTTATCTGCAAAGCTTCAGCAGGAGTGGGAGGCAGGAAAGGGGGAAGGAAAGGAACAGTGTCACTCATGGAGCAGGGCAGAAATAAATCAGCCACCAACTTACTACTCAGCCTTGCGCAAACCACCTCCCTAAAAGGTGGGACTCCTTCAGTTCCATGATTCCAGATTTGCTATAAAGAGTAAACAAAACTGTTTAACGTAAAATTAGTAAAACTTTATTTTCTATTTTGTTACTGCTTTTAGGTAACAATTTATGTTTTTGCCTCCCAGGAGTTTTTCTCTTTGATTTGATAACACGATTAATAATAAGCATCCATAAATGCTTGTTTAGCACCTAATATTTCCTCTAAACAAAAATCAGTCAGCTCCATTTCAAAATCTTTCGGTGGCTTCCCATCGAAAAACCCAAATCCTTAACAAGGTCTAGTGTGTAGTGTGGCCCCAACACTTCTCTTCTGACAGCCCTCATTTTGCAAGCCTTTCCCCTTCACTCTCTCCAAGTTGGCCTTCTTGGACACATCACACCCCTTCCCACCACTGGGCTTTGTTGCTTCTGAGCCCCTTGCCTAGAGCCCCACACCTCCTCTCAATCTGCCCCCATTAGTTTGCATTAGTGCAATTGGTGAATTAATAGCTGTCTTTTAAATGTGAGTTCTGTGGGAAGACAGACCAGGATATCTTTTTACACACCATTATATCCCCACTGCCTAGCACATAGGCTTTCCACAAATACGTGAATAGTTAATGATGGCCCTGAGCTCCTTGGCTACCTTTGCACTTTGGTTGACAAAACAGTGCAGTGACTGGCAAAAGAGCTCACAAAGTGAAATATGGGTATTTTTTAGAGCTAAGAAAACCCAGAACATGAGCATCCCTAAAGGGTCCTTACCAAACTATCTTCATGTCCTGATTGGGACACAATGGTCCTGTTCAGATTCAGATTCTTACGAACTAAATAATCTAGGTGTGACATAGAGTTGTTTTAACAGAGTCTTTATTTCAAGGGAAACATCATTTATAGTGCGTTGATGGAGTTTTTGGTTTTGGTTCTTGGTTTTTTAGTGTTGAGGACAAGAACCCATGATCTTTCACACTTCACCCTTTGCACAAGATGTCCCCTCTGTCAGGGAGGCCACCTTCACTCTGTCCCCTACCCCGACTGCTTCTATTTGGTGAACTCATTCCTTCTTTAAGGTCAAATGTAAATGTCACTAACTTCTCCAACCCCTCAGACATTAGCCAGTCCTTCTCCCATACTTCCATAACACTCTATCTCCCACACCTCTACCAGTGGGCGAATCACATAATAGTGTAATTCTTTCATTACAAGATGAACAGCTCAAGAGCAAGAACCATGTCTTACTCAGCTTCACACCCCACATGCTTCATTCCATAGAAGATCCTCAACAAATATTGGTTAAGGAACTGAACAGCAAACATGAAAACAAAATTCACACTGTGAGCCTTGATGTCGTTGCCTCCATCATAATGCATGCAGCCTAGTCTAGTAGATATTTGAGGCCTTAAAGTCAGTCAGTGAGCCAAGGAAATCTGTGAGGTCAATTTCAGAGCCGCTGCAGATTTAGAAAACAAATACAAAATGGAAACTGATGTCAGGAATTCAGGTCTGAGCGGAACTCCTGTCGGTGGTAGGGGCTCTTCTTGGGTGGAATCTATGGGAAGAGGGGATATTGGTAGATAATGGATAGATGGTAGCAATAAGGTCCTGAGGTATTTTCCTCAGAACATATTTTTGGAGAAACACTTATTTACCTTTGAAAAAGTGTGCCAGAGCATGTATCCCTTAAAGGCAGGAACTATGTTTTACTCATCTTGTTGATATACCCCTCTTTTGATGCAGTGCCTATTACAACTTAAAAATAGTTAAAGTTTAATAACTACATTGCAAAAAGCCAACTAAGCTGGTATAATATAGATAATCTTCACAGTAGAGCATTCACTGAAGGAACCACATGTCTCAAGCACCAGGCAGCAAGCGTGCTAAAACCTCAACAATGGAGTAGAAAAATCTAGCTGACTCTAAAATACTGAGCTTAGAGTAGCGACACTCATTCTAGATCCCTCCTGCAAGCAGATCTAAAGCTTTTAAAGTACTGCTAAACATGGATAGAATTATCTCAAGCAATGGATTAGTCTTAGCCCTCAGGTTGCAAGCTTTCAGTTTCTGCAACATGGTGTCAGGTATGAAGAAAATGGAGGTTTGGGTGCACACTGCTGAACTTTGACCTCTCTATTATTCTAGGTGGCAGAGATGACTAAAAGCTCCAGTATTCTTTCTCCATTTCCCCCATTTAGCATTAAGCCATTCCACCTTCAATTTTAGCAAGGCTAAAATTTAGCAAGGTTCTTCAACTAGAAATTATACCTCACAGCCTCCCTTGCAACTAGATGTGACTGTGTTCTTGCCAATACAATAGGAGTGAAAGTCATGTGTCCAACTTACACATTACACCCTTAAAAAGATACTGACTGCCAGCCGGGCACAGTGGCTCACACCTGTAATCCCAGCACTTTGGGAGGCCAAGGCGGGCAGATCACGAGGTCAGGAGATTTAGACCATCCTGGCTAACACAGTGAAACCCTGTCTCTACTAAAAATACAAAAAAATCAGCCAGGCGTGGTGGCTGGCGCCTGTAGTCCCAGCTACTTGGGAGGCTGAGGCAGGAGAATGGCCTGAACCTGGAGGCGGAGCTTGCAGTGAGCTGAGATTGCACCACTGCACTCCAGCCTGGACGACAGAGCGAGACTCCGTCTCAAAAAAAAAAAAAAAAAAAAGATACTGACTGCCTTCCCATTCCTTTGGATGTGGTGCTGATGAAACAACTTCCAGCATACAGATGAGGAACTCACCTTAGGGAAGAAAAGTTAATAGGATAAAGAAGCTTCTGCATTGTTAGATGAAAGAGAAAGTCATTTCCATCTTATTGAGGCAACTTTATTTAGGGGTCTCTTGTTGAGCGGCTCAACCTGACTAATTCCAGCTGCAAAAGTAAAAATATTGAGGTCAGTAGAATAGGAATAAAGACAACCAGAAAAATACATACAGAAAGTAAGAACTGGACTCAGAAAAAAAGACCTCACTAGGTTATACTGTTTCTTCTAATTCTCCTTTCATGAAATGCTGACAAGCCCAAGATGGTAGTCAGTGACTGCAAATCTCCACCTAAACCCATCATCCCCATTAAAAACACAACAGTGCTATGCACATGTTAGCCTGCTTACTTTCTGAAACCAAAGACTATGGGCCAAAACAAAATGTTTGTGAGCTAAAAACACATACACAGATAAATTGCCAATTTTACACAGCTTTTTCAAAGCCCAAATGAATTCAAAGAAAAATCTTCAACTCTATTGAGTTTTTGAGCTTAAGTAGATCATTACAAAGAGAAAAATATCCGCCACCTTTTAGCCAAGTCCATAAGTAATTCCTCATGAAGATTTGGATTTTTGATATAATTTCTCTTAGTTCTCAGTCTGATTGGTCATTTCCTTTGCAGTATTGGATGGAAAATTAGTTGGAGCACTAAGTCCAAAGCCTTTCCCCAAGAGGCGCAAATGGAAACAAACTGAATTACTTGATCTAAATGCCAATTCTCAGAAGTGATTCTTGCATCAAATATTTAAGGAAAATAACATTCATCTACATAGAAAACAGTATAAATTTGGAGCCAAATAATAAAAATAATGTACATTGGTACTGATAGAAAGTAGAGGAGAATGTAAAAAAAATCAAGGACCTCTTATATTTGTAGGTATGTCTCGTAAGTCCAAAAGTATAAAAAAGCCATAAACTTTGGTCACACACACACACACACACACACACACACACACACACAGGGCTTTGCAAGTTATTTAGTAATGCATTTTTCTTCATAACAGAAAATGAACTCTCAAATTTTTAAGATAGATTGAAAAATTTAAAATAGCAAGATCCAAATAAATCTTTCGCAGCCATGTATCTCACGGCACCCCTATAGTCACTGGATTTCTGAACTTTGCGTGGGAGAGCAAGCTATAAATACTACCTGACCCTCTGGTCTTGTGTACTTCAGAAATCCATTCTCTTTTAAACTAAGAAAGGCAATAGTATCATAATTTTCAAAAACATTAGTTTTAAAAAAATTATTTCTAATAGCTTGTTACTCTTTTAATATCAAATTAGCTTTAAATAAATGTGCAATACCACAAGATAGGAAAGTAATAACCAGTCGGTCCAGAGCTCTATCGAATCATAATGCCCCCTGAATTTACTGGGCTCCCCTAACCAGCCATTTAAACCTACGAATTGCTTGAACATGGAGCAATTGTTTTAACATGCTTTGGAAATGTTGACATGCAACGAAAGAGATACTAACAAACACAAACAGTCCATTCCAAAAACCCAGGGAAAATTCATAAATACATTGTTATGGCTCTTAGTAGCCTTTAGGAAAAGGGCTATTGTCAGTAAATGATCGGATTTACCTAACTTAATGAGAAATTATGAGCTTTTCTCAACCAGGTACCTTTAGAGCTTTCCATCAAAGTATTGACTAAAAAAGACAATGTCAGACAGATGGCCTGTGAGCCTCAACTAATACAGGTTCACTTTTGAAAGAGATATCTTCTAGAATACTAACATATTAAACAACCAGCAACTTTGGGAATCATTATCCTATCCCCAACCAAGCCTATCAACTTCTTAAAGTTTGGGGAGAAGAACAAAAGGCCTAGAAGAAGAAAGTCATTTCAGAACCAGTAGAGTCATCTGCTTCCTTTCACATTCAGCCTTTGATGGTTGTGTTTACTTCATTTAACCATATACTTGATGAATATAAACAAATCATGAAGATCCAAAGGGTTAGGAAAGTTTCCTAACATCACACAACTCTGAAGACATAAAAGAAGAGAATGAAATATATTTTTCATTATATCCATCCAGCATCAACTTGCCTCCTGCCATCTCTACAACATACTTCTCATATTTCGTATTTCAGCCACTCATTATACTTTCCTCAAAACACATGCTTATGATCCAGCTTCCTGTTTCTTCTTATGCTGGAAAACAACTTAAGCATTTTTCTGGTCTACTGAAATTTTTCCTCAAATCTCTTCCCTTCACAGATCGATTCCCCAATTTATGAGATCTTCCACAGCCAATTCTTCCACAAAATACTTGCCTTTAAAGCATTTCCCATGAGTGTATTTTTTTGCTGATTATAAAAGTAAAATATGTTTTTTAAAAAGTGGTATTGCAGAAAACTTGGAAAATTCAAAAGAGTAAGAAGACAAGAATTAAAATTTGTAGTCTTAGTACTAAAATATGATTACTGTTAATATTTTGGTGTTTTTCTATCTTTGTAGGCATTTGTTTTACATCTAGAATATGCTATATGTAAACTTTTGCATTCTCTTAGCAGTAACAACATAAGTGTTCCCCACATTACTAAAAACTCCTCAAAACATAATTTATTACAATTACAAACTATTGCACCATATAGATGTCCTATGCAGTTCTCATTGTTTCACTCATGTAAATAATGCTGGAATTCTATTAGTCTGCAATTCAGATTATTTTCTTGGGCTAGATTCCCATATATTCTTGGGTCAAAGTATATGAATGCTTTTAAGCCTCTTGATCACATTGCCAAAGGTTGTACAGAAAAACTCTGCCAATTTACATACCTATTAGCTCAATGTGAAGTACCAACTCTCAGCTTTATCACCAACAATACGACAAACAGGGACCTAAGGGTCTAATTTTTTAATCTGTTAATTTGATATGCCAATAGTAGAAATCCACCGCTGCCTTAATTTTCTTTTTTTTTTTTTTGCCAATGAGCAAGAATGTGAGTATATATAATGCTACGTATTTTCATAAGTATACTTAACCTACTGTCTCTGAGTGAGGAATGTCCATCCACATCTAAATAACAGAGACTGTGGTGTTCATGTCTCTAATCTCTTTTTGGAAAGTCTTATGACATTGGCACCTAAGGTAATGGCTCTCAACAACGGCAGAAAATCTGAATCATCTCTGGAGCTTTTGAAAAATCCATTTACACTCCAGAAACTCAAGCTCAGTAAAGGTTCTAGTATCTACATTTTCTAAAAATTCCAAAGTCGTTCTATTAGGCAAATGAATGAGACGACTGAGCTAAGACTACCCTAGTTAGGTATCATATCTGGTGGATGAAAAAGCTACTACATGCACTTCCTTAGGCATATGAAGAAGAGCATTATTCCCTAAGCTATCATCTTGTTCTACGGTACTGACCTTACATCAAAATAAAGCACTTATTTACCTTGTGTGATCTACTTTCACAAGGTGGCACAATAGTGCCCATTGCTGTTAGTCTCATTTCTAAGAATGCTCTTGTTTCATATGAAAAAAAAGTAATCTAAACACTGATATGCCTTTTACTTATATACCCAACACCTGGAGGAAATATTTATACAGTAGACAGAATAAGCATCTGGTTTGAATTTCCAAAATGGCTCCTTCCAACTCAAGAAGAGCCTCTGTCTGTATTTTATGGGTCAGTGATAAGTGTTCATATTATTTACCGATTTATGATGAGGTTTACCAAGATGTGAAATCTCAGCTAACCCTTCAACCCACTCCCAATCCCACTCCCATCTCTAAGACACCAATTATTCCACTCCACATTATTAAGCACCATACTAGAATCATCTATAGCTATTGATATTGGGGTCACATTTAGCATACTCATCAACCTCATATAACCTGGACTTAGGAAGTACCCTTGATTTACTTTCAGAGCTAGGTTAGTTAACATTCTAATGAAGAAAAAATATATAGAGAAAAACAAAGGCCTGGTATTAGAGAGAAAAGTTCCCTTCATATCAGACTTTGGTACAATGCCATCTGACGGGGATATGCTAGCATAAGAGCAGCCTGGCCCAGTCTGATTCTCCTAGCATTGCTTGGACTGAGTGCCACCTCCAGACTAATCTCTTACTGGGGTTGGGGGGAGTCACACATTGAATTGTTACAAATCACCGGTATAAGAAGTTCAGCAGGAGTTGCTTCAGAGATTGTTTTTTTCCCTCTCAGGTGCTCAAAGTGGTCATCTCCTACCACCATACAGAGACCCTTCTGGAAGGAAGAGATGGAGGAACACCAAGTGCTGACAACCAGTGCGCTGTTGGGTCAAATGCAAAGAGGAAACTGAATTCCTCAACAAATCCATTAGTGGGAAATTCATTCCAATTTTCCAACATGAAAAGTAAGGGATGGATTTTCAAAATTAGGTAAAGTATGAATCCAAATGAATTATTCTATTTGCTCTGCAGACAACCTCCGCAACATATGAGCACTACTACACCAACCACCTTGAGCTCTTGGTACAAATTAATTGACAATGATGGATAGGCTACCTGAACTTCAAAACGTAAGTCTTAATATGGCAATGATATTCTTTACAGTATACTCCCGTAGCTCAGTGGGGGGCAGCACTACAATCTCTGGGCTTGGTTGAGTTCAGAGAACACTCTGTTCCATTCTGTTTCTCTCTCTCCATGGGCTATTTTGCCTGCCTTTGGATGGTCTCTACCGCAGACATCATCCTCAAAAAAGCCTCAGGACAGAAAAGCCTGGACATTCCTGAGCATAATAAATCGGGATGATGGATCCAAAAGAAAGGCACTTTGTTGATGTTTTGAATTAAGTCAAAGAAAAAAGCATTAACAAGTGTACCAAACTTGGTGACTGGAATTAGCAAAACAGCACATATAGCCAAAAGTGTAATCACAAGGTCACACATTCACATCTCAGCATTAGCTGTGTGTCACTGTAAATCGCCATGCCAGCACTTTCCCTCCTCTTCATTTTATTTTATTTTTCTAAATTTGGAGTCATTACACATGCTGCTAACTCAGATAACTTAGTACCTAGGCACAGGGAGAATGAATCACAGTTTCGATGCGACCCACCAATTTAAATGTCTTCCCTTTGTATATTTCCATTTCCAATGACAATATCTCCGTCACCATGTATCATTTTCTGGTGTTCATTCTTGAGGATTTATGCATCTGCATGAATTTGCCTGAAAAATCTCTACATATATTCATTAGAAACTGTAACTTTCCTTTTGAAAATGATTCCATTAAATAATTTTTACACTCCCATTTTCTTACCAAGTAATTTATCGCCAACTGAAATACTTTTTTTAAGATCTGAAGCTTAAGATGAAAACACATTGTTAAAATGATCTAGAAATCAAAGTAAATTAAAATTCTAATGGGAAGTTGTTACAAGTGATTAGCTGTAAATTACTGCTACTGTATTTTTTTTTCTAAAGAAAAGTCAAAGTGGACAACGGTTGCGGCAAAGGCTTAGACAAACCAGTCTCCCTACCCAAGGACGTGACTTCCACTACTAATCCCTCTAAATTTCTCTCTCAGTTGTTCATATTCACTTACATTCTGGACCCACTGAGCTCTCTAGGCCCTAAATGCCTCCAATTTTACCTCATACATCTGCCTTTCCTGTGCTTACTTCACCCACATCCTGGCGGATTCTAAAAACCTTCCCCACCCTACATGAGAGTGGGTAATCAAATAATAAATATATATAATAAAATCATGCAGTGCAGCCTCATAACCTTGGGCCTCTACTAGTCTCTCAATACTGCTGTTTTAGTTAGCTGGAGCTGCTATAAAAAAAATCAAGCACTGAGTGGCTTAAACAACAAAGATTTATTTCTCTGAATTTTGGAGGCTGAGAAGTCCAAGACCAAGGTAGTAGAGTCGGGGTCTGGGGAGGTCCCAGTTCCTGGTTTGCAGAAGGCCACCTCCCTGCCATATCCTTGAGTGGTAGAGAGAGGAGGCTCTGGTTTCTCCTCTTCTTCTATAAGGACACTAATCCCATCATGGGGGCTCCACCCTCCTGGCCCAATCACCTCCCAAAGGCCCCACCTCCCACTACCATCACTTTGGGCATTAAGATTTCAACCTATGAACTGGGGAGAGGGAGGCATAAACATGTAGTTGATAGCAATTGCCCAGCACCCCTTCCATATCTATTATGAGTTTTTTCCCTCAATCCACAAAAGTCTTCACCAATCGCCTCAAGACTCTTACCTCATCTCTCTTCTTTTACCATTAGCAGAGGTGAATAGAGCAACTGACAATTCCTCAATATCCTGTTCCACCCCACAAATACCTCTTTTCATTCCATTTCAGTGGAAGAAAGTATCCCTTCTTCTTCTAAGATTGATCTTCTCACCTGTGTTTGGAATCCCAATTTCTCTGGCCTCAGTACGAATCTGGTTCCATATGCTCTCTTGACTATAACTTCAACCCACACCTCTCTTTGAGCTGTTAGCCTTAACACACAAACACTTCAAAGAATAACAACACTTCCCTGGCCTTGCCTCTTCCAGCTATCAACTTACTTCTATCTGTCCTTCATAGCCAACATCCAAAGAGTGCTTCTACACTCTGTCTTCATTTCTTCTCCATTATTCATGTTTCAATAATCTGGCCTTTATCTCTATCTCTGACTCAAACTGTATTTGCCAAGGTTGCCAGTGACCTCTTTGTTGCAATTTCTAATAGAACCTCGTCTTATGTGACCTCTGACACTATTGACCTTTCTCCCGTTGGAAACTCTCCTGCTCCTTGGTTTCTATGGTATGGCTCTCCATGGTTTCTCTTCTACTTCTCTGGCCATTCTTTCTTGATTTCCTTCATGGGTTCTTCACCCTCTGGCCACCTCTCAAATTTCACAGTTTCACCTCCTCTCCCTTAGCTTCAACTACGTTCCATCTTCTGATGATTCATAAATAAACACATCCAGTTCAAATACAGGTCTGAAGTTCAACAACCACATATTCAACTGCCTACCAGATACCTCTCCTCAGATGTCCCATGGTCCACATATATTAGACTCAACATGTGCAATAGTGAACTCACCTCCATCTCCTTCGAAAATCAAGTCCTTATATTCTAAAACAGAGTGACTACCCACCCAGTTGTCCAATTTGGAAATCTAGGAATCATCCTTGATGCTTCCCTTCCCCCTCTCCACTGACTTTATGTTCTGTTGGTATTCCCCCTAACAACTTTTGAACCTCTCCTCTTTTTTCAGTCTCTACAGTTGAGGCTCTCCCAATTTGTTCCCTGTGACAGCCTCCTTACCAGTCTTCTGCATCCAACTGTGCCCACCCCTCAAGTCCCATATATCTTTCCATTTGAATACCAAAATATTCTACAAGTCCAATCAGATGACTCTGTTGACACAACATCCATGACACCTCCCTTTCTTTAAGATAAAATTTGAATTCTTTCAGGAAAAAATTACAAGCCACTTCTGGTGTGCCCAGCCTCATCTCTTGCCATAATTTCCTCACACATGCTCCAGCCATATCTCATTGTATCAAATTCTTGCACTTCTTGTCCTAGGCTTCTGAGCACATTGAACCTTGCTCCTCAAAAACTATCTCACCACCTAATTCCCTGTGCATAACTTCCTCCTACTGGTTATTCAAAAGTCAGCCCAGACATCTCCTCACTTCCCTACCAAAAGCACAACCCTCTCCAGTTAGAGATTACACATCCCTGCTGTGGGGTCTCTCAGGTGCCACCACATCACAGCATTTCCCACGGTTCGCCCTCCTCACTCAGGCAACAATGTGAGCTCCAGGAGGAACAGGGACCGGGTCTTGTGCACTGTTGCTTCCTTAACAATTACCATAGTGCCTGTGACATAGAAAGTGCCCCCCAATCTTTTAACAAAGAGTTCTGCAAATTCTGGGATTAATCTCATGATCAGTGAACACATTCTGATCCCTTTTACCTTCTGATTCTATCTAATACACCATGGGCACAACTCTGACCAGAAGTCACAATTTCAACTGAGTGAGCAAACAGGACAAGGAAGCAGTCAGTTGATTACCTTAGAAAGAAAGAGATGTCTGTAGGCAGAGACTCTCCCAAGGAATGAGAGAATATTCAAAAATTAGTTTAATAAGATGACAGATAAGCCCATTCAAAACCTTGCTAATATCTGTTTGAAAGGTCATTTTAAAATGTTGTCTTCTGATTGGGAGATGGTGAATTGTGTGGCTATATAAAATGGCATTATCCAGCAGGAACAAATTTGCAGTGTGTTACATATGGAATACAAATTATACTAAATTTCTTTCAACAAAAATTGCATGTCTAAGTCCTATTTATCTTAGACCTTTGGTTACATTTGAAAATATCTCAGAGGAGCCTGCTCCTGATGAAGCTCAGATTCTCTCTAGCATGCTCCCATCAAGCTAGCAGTGATGAACTCTCTTTAGAGAGAAGGCTTGGACTCTGAACACTGGAGGTGAGCAGCTCATCACCTTCTAACTCAGAGTTCGGCTCCAGACTAGTCTTAGGACTCTGAGTACAGTAGTTCCATTTTGGAGATCCAATTTAGTTCTTATTAATCAATAACATTTAATCCAAAATCCAAATTCTGGAACCCATCCTGAAGAACCAGTTTTCCCAGAAGCTGGTCTGCACAGTTCTGCTAAGCTCACTGTGAAATCTCTTTACATGTTTTTCTCTAACCTGAGTCCTCCTCTCACCTGAAGATGGAGCACTGAGCCAGATGACTTTTCATTGTCTCTTGTTATAATTTTCCACATGTGGTTTTGAACTGGGAGTAGCCATTAGGTGACGAATTCTGAAAATGGGCTAAATGACATGCCAAAAACTGAAAAATGGGGTGTGAAGAATGTGCTTCTTGCTTTCTAAAGCATAACCATAGGAATGCAGGGCTTCTGAATGTCTTCTTTTTCTTAACATGACAATAAGAAACAAACAATCTTTTTCTTCATCTGTCTATTTTTCTGGCTTCCATTTTTTAAAAAAATCGTGAAAAACTATCTTTCTCTATAGGGAGTCAAAAGGAGATGCTAAAAGAGATGCTTCTAGTGATTTGTTTATCATTCTGTAATGGCGATTGTCTTAATTTGGCCTCCCTCAAAGCAGAACCTAAGATAACGACTTTCGGAGGGGATCTTAGGAAGCAGGAATGAGGGAAACAAAAGAGCGAATCCAGGAAGGAGGAAAAGTCAATGAAGAATACATAACTGATTTCCGATTGCAGAGAGGTAACTGGGACTCAGTCCCACTGAGAACTTCTAAGCGAGAGTAAAATGCTCTCCAGAATGGCCCCCCTGAAGGACAATGAGCTAGAGTACTTAATCCTCGACCCCCCTTCACCATTGGTGGAGAGGGCATTAAGTTTCCTCTATTTGGAGACAGGCCTGGATGGAGTAAACTCCTTCAAGGGAGAACCGTGAGGCAGAAGAGAGAAGGCAAACAGGCTGGATGCATAAGCACTGTCCACCACAGCTGCAGCTGAAGTCTACAGTGGGTCAGGGAGATGCATGCAGCCTGGCACCCAAAAAGTGCCAGCCAGAGTTATGTGTGGGTATAAGACAATGCAGCATGGCAAGCTACACCTACTTTTCAAAAAGCACGATTTCCTTCAGTTTATCCCGTGTCCCGGGGATTTTAATTAATAAACAGTGCACATTTACTCCCTGTATTATTAGTTTATCTTACAAGAATTAAGAACAAAATGCAAGAGCAACTATAGCTTTGGGACGTTGTTAGCATGTAACTATGGCAAGAAAAGAAGTATGATAACCACTGGAAGGAACAACTAAGTGTATACCTATGCTGGAGGGCTTTTACTTACCAACACAGAGTTCTAGCTTTTTCTGTAAATGGCGTGGCTGTTGCATGTCATTATGACAGTTGCTGAGATATGTGAATGCAAACCAGCACCCGGGGGAGCAGAGCAAATTTAAGTTTCTGGGAAAGCTACAAGCTAGCCACCATTGCAATCAGGAAGCAATCCTTAGTCCCATTTCTCACCTCATTCCAACTGGGACCCATTCAGTCACCCCTAGAGAAACTTGATGCTATGAGCACTTAGCCAATGTAAGCTGAGTATTTCACATCCTTTGACTGACTCTTACTCCTCCAAAGTCAAGGTTAAGCCATGTCACTAAAGATGCTTTGGAAATATTCCGCTTCCTAAATTGCAAATAGTTCTGCAAGCAATGCAAACAGAACATTTAAGTTCTCAGGACTGTCAAAATGACACCTTCATCAGCTTCCAAATCTGGTAATTATTGTCTTCCTCACACCCACGAAAAGGACTGAAATTGAGTGGATCTCACAAGGTTCTCAGCTCTGGTGTCTTTTTTGGTAGGTGTGGGAAGAAGGGACAAGAAAACATCTTGAATAAGGTCAGAGTCAGAGACAGTAAGCCACGTTTTTTGTTTTTTTTTTTTTTAAACATCTTTTTTACTATCAAGGCTTTTACCCACAAGCTTTCCTCCTTGTTTGGAAGCACATTTTTGATCACTAACTATATCTAGAAACACTCCTTGAGACAAAGTAATTTGTAGATACCATTTTTGTTTGACCCAAGAAGCCCAGACCTACTTTCAGGGACAGGAAATAGGAGCCTGGGGCCCAGGAGAAATGATATTCATGGTAGCCAATGAAAGTGGAACTGGACGAGAAGGTACACAGGGCAAAGTGCCAAAGCAAGGATGAAACACACAGCAGTGAGAATTCATAGGCCAGATGAGGCACACAAATTACAAGAGGGGCCAGGTAAGGAACCAGAAAAACAGGATAGTGCCAGAGACTACTTCTCTGAACACGGAGGCATAGGTTGGGGAGCACTTTTTTTTTTTTTTTTTTTGAGACGGAGTCTTGCTCTATCGCCCAGGCTGGAGTGCAGTAGCACAATCTTGGCCCACTGCAACCTCTGCCTCCCAGGTTCAAGCGATTCTCCTGCCTCAGCCTCCCGAGTAGCTGGGAGTACAGGTGTGTGCCACCACGCCGGGCTAATTTTTGTATTTTCAGTAGAGACGGGGTTTCACCATGTTGGTCAGGCTGGTCTCGAACTCCTGACCTTGTGATCCGCCCACCTCGGCCTCCCAAAGTGCTGGGATTACAGGCGTGAGCCACTGTGCCCAGCCGGGGACCACTTTTAAAGTTGAAAAAGTGGCCAGGCACAGTGGCTCATGCCTGTAATCCCAGCACTTTGGGAGGTCAAGGCAGGAGGATTGCTTGAGCCCAGGAGTTTGAGACCAGCCTGGATAACATGGCAAGACCCTATCTCTACAAAAAATTTAAAAATTAGCTGAGTATGGTGGTGTGTGCCTGTAGTCTCAGCTACTTGGGAGGCTGAGGTAGGAGAATTGCTTTAGCCCAGGAGTTTGAGGCTGCAGTGAGCTATGCTGGAATCACTACACTCCAGCCTAAGTAAGAGAGAAAGACTCTGTTTCTTAAAAAAAAACACCACCGAGGATTAAATTTTCCTGTCTGGAATCCAGAAAAAAAGGGTCCCTTTTCTTTTTTTTTCAGACACTGTCTCACTCTGTCGCCCAGGCTGGAGTGCAGTGGCATGATCATGCTTTACAAAGCGATTCTTCTGCCTCAGCCTCCCAAGTAGCTGGGATTAAAGGCGTGTGCCACCACACCCAGCTCATTTTGTATTTTTAGTAGAGACGGGGTTTCAGCATGTTGCCGGGCTGGTCTCAAACTCCTGGCCTCAAGTGATCTGCCCACCTTGGCCTCCCAAAGTGCTGAGATTACAGGCGTGAGCCACCATTCCCAGCCAAAAGGGTCCCCCCTTTTTTTTTTGAGGCACAGTCTCACTCTGTCGCCCAGGCTGGAGTGCAGTGGTACAATCTTGGCTCACTGCAACCTCCACCTCCTGGGTTCAAGCAATTCTCGTGCCTCAGCTTCCCAAGGAGCTGGGATTAGAGGCGCCTGTCCCTTTTCTACAGGCTGCCTCATAGGCTCCTTAAGCAAATATGACTGCCTGCCCCACCTACATCTAGGAGATACATCATTTAGGCCAGGTTTTCCTTTTAGCCTCCTGATTTCTATTAGCCTTGCAAATGCATTTTTCTTTTCTTTCTTTCTTTTTTTCTTTAGAGACAGAGTCTTGCCCATGCTGGTCTTGAACTCCTGGCCTCAAGTGATCCTTCTGCCTCAGCCTCCCAAAGTACTGAGATCACAAGTGTGAGCCACCATATCTAGCTGCCTTGTCAATTCTTGCAATAATTTTTGTTCCCAAGTGAAAATAGAAATTAAATTTAAACTTGAGGTCCAGTTTGATGCTGATCAAACAAGGAATTAAATAAATTTGCAGAAACTTTGGTTTTTACATCTCTCAGAAGTATATGCTCAACAAGACATATTCCAAATTATTACTGGCCTACTCAGTTGGCAAATATAAGTGCCAAAAAGGTTGCAAGCATAAATGCCAAAGTAACTGCCCCCTCCCCCCGCCCAAGGCTATCCCTTAGACACACACCAGGAGTGTTTTGGGTACTTTATATGACAAAAATAAAAATGTACCTCAAAAACACTCCCAGGCCATAACAATAAACCACAAGGCCAAAGTCATTACAAGGTAAAATGAGAAAACATCATGTGAATTTTTTGAGTGTAAGATTTATGGCTCACAGCCTTTCAGTCATGTGCTTAGCACAAAAAGAAGCAGAATACATTAGATTTAATAGGCATTAGCCAAAAAAATAAGGAAGTAAGTTCATACACAAAATGATTCAAAGCATAATATCACTTAACAGACATGCTTTATTAAAGTCTGTACCATCCTGGCTAACACAGTGAAACCCCGTCTCTACTAAAAATGCAAAAACAATTAGCCTGGCATGGTGGCGGGCACCTGTAGTCCCAGCTACTCGGGAGGCTGAGGCAGGAGAGTGGCGTGAACCCAGAAGGTGGAGCTTGCAGTGAGCCAAGATCACGCCACTGCACCCCAGCCTGGGTGACAAAGCGAGACTCCGTCTCAAAAATAAAATAAAATAAAATAAAGTCTGTCATTTAGAAGTCTGCAGAGCCTACCAACATTGCCTGGCAGTTGGGCCCTATGTTGGGAAACTACCTACCAGTACCTGGTAAAGCTATCAACTTCTCCTGAGACAAGGCAAACTGCTCTTTGGGCTGGTTTACTTCAATATTTACTCCAGCTCTCCAAATAGCTTTCATTCTCCTGAACTAGTGGAGGGCTGACCTTGCAAACAAGTTCAAAGCAGTTCAAAGTCTGCAAAGAGAAAATCTACTTTTAGATGAATGGTCGGAGCAAGTCCTTATGAAGAAGAAAGGCTGGCTTCTGTTTGTTGTTATTTTTCCTATATAAGTCTACAAACACCAGCACCAGACATGGTAATCCTTCAGACAATTCACTTGGATTCAAGAACGGTATTGCCCGTAATAGATACTAGTATGAAATTTTAAAAATCCATTTGCTTACAGGCTTCTCACTACTGGCTAGCTTGGAAACAAGTTGAATACAACCACAGCATTCATTTCTTTTACTCATTTATTGAATGAAGATCAAACACAGCAAAGTCAAGGCTTAACCTCTCCTGTGTGCTCATTTGGCTGTGAGTGTCAAGACCCTCATATACTGCTTAGACAACCAAAGATTAATAGAGTGAGACCCCCTCAAGAGTCACTGTGATTCAGAAGCTCAGAACAGAGAACTCATCGGGGCTGCAGTGAGCTGTGATCACGCTGCTGCACTCCAGCCTGGGCAACAGAGCAAGACCCTGTCTCTTAAAAAAAAAAAAAAAAAAGAATAGAGAACTCAGAAGCTCTTAGTCTTAATGCTATGTCAGCCCACAACTTGCCAAGTGACCTTACATAATCCTTCTGGCTTTCAGTTTTTTCCATTTTCAAACTGAAGAATGTGAGTGACTCAAAAATAAATAGCCCAATATCCCCTCCTGTCCCAAGGTTTTTACCTTTCTTTCCAATCTGGGCTGAGTAAACCTGCCATTCCTTTCCATGATTAAAGAAGGCAGAAACCTCAGAATATTTTTCTTATTTTCTGTCACTTGATTTCCTCCCTTTTGAATACCAGTTTCTAAAATCCTAGTGTCTTGCCCAGGAAACTAAAGAAAAGGAGGCAGAGATGGAGTCACAGAAATGTCATCACAGACAGACACAGGAAAGGCTCAAGAGAAGCTCCTGCTTTCAAACTGGCAGCTGTTACCTGTTGGTGTTTAAGAAAAAAAATAACACAAACCTAGTCCCTAGGGATGAGGTGTTCCAATGGTTGTATAAATATACATCACAGGGTATAAGGGCCAAGGGGTTTTTTCATTTCACTATGAAAATGTTAAGTAAATAAATACACCCTGTAGTGAGCTGAGTGATGACCCCACACCAAAAGATACATCTGCATTCAAATCCCTGGAACCTCTAAATGTGACCTCATTTGGAAAAAGGGTCTTTGCAAATTTAAGTTAAGGATGTTGCAATGAGATCATCCTGGATTACTTGAATGGGTCCTAAATCCAATGGCAAGTGTCCTTATAAGAGACAAAGGGGGCCAGGCGCAGTGGCTCACGCCTGTAATCCCAGCACTTTGGGAGGCTGAGGCAGGCGGATCACGAGGTCAGGAGATCGAGACCATCCTGGCCAACACGGTGAAACCCCGTCTCTACTAAAAATACAAAAAATTAGGCAGGCGTGGTGGCGGGCGCCTCTAGTCCCAGCTGCTCAGGAGGCTGAGGCAGGAGAATGGCGTGAACCCAGGAGGCAGAGCTTGCAGTGAGCTGAGATCGCGCCACTGCACTCCAGCCTGGGAGACAGAGTGAGACTCTGTCTCAAAAAAAAAGAGACGAAGGGGACAAAGGGGAGAAGACACAGAGGACAAGGTGACATGAAGATGAATGCTGAGATTGGAGTGATGTAACCATGAGCCAAGAAGTCACGGAATGCTAACGGCCACCAGACGCTGGAAGGTCAAGGAACGAAATTCTCCCCCAGAGCCTTCCAAGGAAGGCAACCCTGCTGACACCTTGATTTCCAACTTCTGACCCCTACAACTGTGAGAAAATAAATGTGTGCTATTTTACACCACCGGCTTTGTAGTACTTTGTTGCAGCAACCTCAGGAAACAAGTATGTCCTAAACCCAACCACAGTCAAATTCCTAAATTAATCCCTTTTTAATACATGATACTATCTTTTTCACTTTCGTGGGAGCCATCATTTCAGAATATTTCTCAATGTTTTTCAGCCTCATTACTCTATTACACTGGCACAAATTTATCTACAGATCCCGAAGTCTACTCTACCTTCCAGAAATGAATGTTTATCAAAAAGTTGAAATAGGCTGGGCATGGTGGCTCATGTCTGTAATCCCAGCACTTTGGGAGGCCAAGGTGGGGGGATCGCCTGAGGTCAGGAGTTCAAGACCAGCCTGGCCAACATGGTGAACCCCTGTCTCTACTAAAAATACAAAAAAATTAGCTGGGCATGGTGTTGCACACCTGTAGTCCCAGCTACTCAGGAGGCTCAGACAAGAGAATCGCTTGAACTCAGGAGGCGTAGGTTGTGGTGAGTGGAGATGGTGCCACTGCAATCCAGCCTGGGCAACTCCATCTCCAAAAAAAAAAAAAAAAAAAAAAAAAAAAGTTGAAATTAAGTAAATTATGTAAACTGGAAAATATGCGATAAGTAGAAAGAGAATATCATCTGAGGTAGCAAAACCCAGTTTTGGTTCCTTACTCTGCTACATGTTACCTGAATGAACTTGATCAAGTCCCTGAACTTCCTTAACTTCTCAGAACCTCAGCTGTCTTATTGGTAAAATGAAACCATAAGTGCCATTTGCCTCACAAGATTGTTATGAGGCTCAGATGAAAGATGTGGAAATGATAAGGCCTGTACAGAAATCCACGGTGCTTATTATCCTTCCTCTCAGTATTCTGTCTCCCCTCCACGGGGGCACTAAGTCCATCTAGCAGGACCAGCAATGCATACAGCCAATAATAGGCTGGTCATCCCACATCTGCATCATTGGAATGCTGTATTCAGCACACCCCCCAGAAAATCTATTTTCACAGTGAGCCTCTCCCCTGCGTTCGAGGGCTGTCTACCCTAGTCTATGAGAATAGGGACATCGGTGGGCAGCCAGGTCTCCCAATGGATGTCTGAGCAGTGAGCAAGAGGGTGACCCACCTCTCCACCAAAGTGTGAAAAGCTTTCCCCTGGAGCTTGGTGAGCTTCACCCTCACGAAGATGCAAAAGTACCTTCTGCTTCTCTGTCACCTTGGTGCCAATGTAGGGACTCACACCCCGGGGCTGAGCCTGAATTTTATTTGGAGAACAGTTCTTGCAGCTTTAGCCTGAGAACAAATGCGGCTGTCAGCTGCTTGGCATAAGGAATCAGTAGGAACAGGGTGTCTTTTAATTAATTATCCAGACAATCAATCACTCACTCCATGGCCTACTCATGACCTCCACTAGATGGCGCAGGTGGTGCTTCTTCCCAGCTCCAGCCCAGAACGGTGCTCCCCTTGGACAGTTCATGTCCGCCCCCTCTGGGTTTTTTGCTCTATCTTTTAAAATCCAGTCCCCAGTCCCATCTGCTGGTACCTTCGGGACAATCCTCAGAATTTCTTTCCAGTTGATGGTACCTTATTCTGTCTGCCCGCCCTGTTATGGTTTTTTTTTTTTCTTCTTATACCCTTTGGGGGAATCATTTCAGTGAGATTCTGGGATGAAAAGGAAATAAATACTTATGTCATTCCAGCATCTTGACAAAGGAGCACCTATTTTTAAAATGCACAACAACAGCCCCAGTCCACTCCTTTACCTCTAACCCAATTTACCCAACGGAAATTTGCAGAGGTGGGGCCTAAGAATGCAGTTTCTTAAAGCCCCTTGGGTGATTCTGACGCACAGCCAGAGCCGAGAGCCAATGTGTTAATCCTCTTCTTGGTATAATTAAGGCAGCTTGTAGAGTAAAAATAAATCATTAGCAGCCATTTCATTTTGTTTAGGTACCAAGGCTATGCCACCCAAAAAGTTAATTGAAAATTACTAACCCAACTCCAGGACATAACTAGTACTTTGCAATCTACACCTTCTATCAGTGTGTGCTTTGTTAAATAAAACTCTTGGCGGGGAGAGTCTGGCTAGGATTCTATTCCCAAATTCATTTCTTCCTGTGTACCCTCAGTAATAACACTTCCCACCTACTTACCTCACAAGAGTGTTAATCAAAGGAATTTGAAAGCCATCTGAGCAAACTTTGTTGACTGAAATGGACACATAAGTATTGTATCAAAGCATTGTGTCATCAATCCTATAGCCTTTACTTAGAGATATTAACAAGAATATCATACTCCGACTTGACCTTTCCTCCCAGTCATACCTTTTATTGATCCTGAATTTTCAACAATGATGCTCATTTGCATCAGCAAATTGAGTTTCTTTCCTCCACCACCCACCTCACTCTTCAGGGGCTTTCGAGCTATGTCCTCCCTGCCAAGGCTTCACCACACCTACATGTCCAGACCTATCCTCCCAGAAACGAGATGGAGGGTCTGTGTAGAGTAGCAGCAAAATGTGGGGGCTATCTGGGACCAGACTACCTGGGTCCCAATCTCTGCACCATCTCTTGTTAGCAGTGTGGCCTTACACAAGTAACTAAAGCACCCTGCATCTAGTCTTCTCATCTGTAAAATGGGAATAAGAATTGTACCTCCTTCATAAGGTTGTTGTGAGAATAAGTGGATTCAAACCTGTGAAGGGCTTGGAACAGACACTGGAACATGATATTCCATATATGTTCTCTGTTGTCATTACAACTGGATGGCTCCATCTAGATGCATCCCGGATCCTGCAAACCCAAGACGTCTGTAACTAAATTCATTACCAGCCCCTCTAAACCTGTTCCAACTCTTGGTTCCTTTCTCAGTTAACAGCATCCATGTCAACCCAGTTGTCCAAACTGGAAACCTGAAAGGAATCCTTAACTCCCCATTTACTTTTCGTATATCCAATTAGCCACCAAATCCTCCCTCCCAGTGACAGCACTCTGTACCTACTCTCCCCTCCCAGCACTCACACGCCCCTGACCTCTTGGGCTGGGACAAGACTGCAGCGAGGACTGATGCTCATGGCCTGGGCGGAGGATGTGCAGAAAAGTGCGCGGGCTCTTGAGCCAGCGCAGATGTGGCTCTTCCACCGTCACCGCCCCAGAGGCCTCCTCATGGGCCTCCAGCCTCCCACCTCCAGCAGATTCTTCCTGAAGCATAACAATAGGTATGGCTTTTATCATGCCTACTGCATACCAGACACCATGCTAAGCAGTTTTCACATCAAATCTCACCGAATCTTTTCAACAACCCTACGAGGCAGGTACCATTAGGATTTCCATTTTACAGATTAAGAGGCTGAGCTACCAAAGGTCACGGTCAGTAAGTAGCAGTCAGGATTCAAACCTAGGAGGTCGGGATCAGAGCACATGGCCTTAACCACAGCCTCCTGCCTCTTGCCTCTCAACAAACTGGGCCTGGCCAAAGGCTGAGTGCCAAGGGGTGGTGGAAGGAGAGGGCAGCAAGAATGGGGCCTGAGACTCAGGCCCTGCCCTCTGGAAATTCACACTAAAGGCAGGGAGATGAAATGTGTATGTACCTGAATAAAACCACCATCTGGCAGGGTAGCGTCCATCAGTTAAAGAACGAGTCGGCCAGGCACGGTGGCGCATGCCTGTAATCCCAGCACTTTAGGAGGCCAAGACAGGTGGATCACCTGAGGTCAGGAGTTCGAGACCAGCCTGACCAACATGGTGAAACCCCATCTCTACTAAAAAAAAAAAAAAAAAAAAAAAAAAAAAATACAAAATTAGCCGGGCATGGTGGCACATGGCTATAATCCCAACTACTCAGGAGGCTGAGGCAGGAGAATCGCTTGAACCTGGGAGGCGGAGGTTGCAGTGAGCTGAGATCATGCCACTGCACTTCAGCCTGGGCAACAAGAGCAAAACTCTGTCTCGAAAGAAAAAAAAAAAAAAAGAGAATGAGTTTTACGGGTAACAAGTGCTTCCGGAGGATGATGTTTACATGAGTCTGGGATGTCAGGGAAGGAGCTTAGGAAAGCTGGCTCTTATGGGCTGTGGAATAGAATGTAAATAAGTGTAAATGGTCAGCAAGAGCTATCCTCATCAGGAGGATGCCAATGCAAAAATAGCAGGGAGGTGCGGGAGAGGTAGTCATTTTAGAAAGCTGGCTTCTGCCATTCTGCCAGCAAAAACCTAACTGTGCTAACAACGAGCATTTCTCCAAGGAGTGATCCACAGCACACCAAAGTCTTCACATGCCACACACCCCTACAAGAGGGACTGCTCACAACCTTTCCGTGTGTGCTTCAGGCATGATCATGGATATGAACAGCAATGCCGCACCTCCACGATCTGCAAGTCCCAGGAGATTTTAAAACAAAAGCCATCTCAGAGTTTCAGCAGTGGCTGACTTGCAGTACAGCAACATTTTTAAAGAGAAGAGGCTTTTTTTGTTCCTCTGTCCTCTTTCGTCCTCTTACTTGAAACACACACACACATACATATACACACACATGTGATGGCACTTCTTGATTCAATGAATTGGGAATATGATTTTTTTAGGAAGACAATTTTTTTAATACCAAATCATGTGGAGCTGATATAAATCAAAGATGTATCTGTGTGGGTCTTTCTCTGTTCATATATACAGCAAATACTGTCGAGGTTATACAGCGACCATGGCCTAAATAGCTGCAGTGGAAGATTTTGCAGATACTTCCCCAAAGCAAAATGTTATTGGAATCTATTCATTTTAATAAGAATTCTTCTGAGATCAAATATGCAACTTATCCAACTAACTAATTGTTGCCTTGGTCAAGTTAATTCACCTCTCTGAGACTTGGTTCTATCATCTATCAAATATATTTAACAATGTGTACCTTATACCACACAGAGTTGCTGTAAGAATTCAATGTAACCACATGTGATAGTGTGATTCAAATGTGCAGTATGGCTATTATCATTCACACCAAATAGATACAGCAGCATCAAAATGAGCTTGATACCATTCTATGTGGTGTTAGTGATGACCAAGGACTCAAAAGGAAGCATCTGTGGTTACATGCAATAAAGAGGTACTAGTGTTAGCAGGATTCCTATTTGAAATAACTTAGTATTTGCATTTTTGAGTTTAGCAGAAAGTCTCCATTTGAATTAATAAGGGTAGAAAATTTGAGAGCCCCAATTAGGTTCTGCATTTTTAAAATACATTCCATCAATGAACATCATGCAAAGCATGCTTTCCACTCCCAAGCAAATGAATTTCCATCTCCAGGGCCCATGGAAAATATAAAGTTTTGCCTGATACCATTTTCTTCCTGTAATTTAAAGACATTCATCTATACCATTTGCTTTATTATCCAGATTTTAAAAACATATCTCGGCCGGGCATGGTGCCTCACACCTGTAATCCCAGCACTTTGGGAGGCTGAGGCAGGCAGATTGCCTGAGGTCAGGAGTTCAAGACCAGTCTGGCCAATATGGTGAAACCCTGTCTCTATTAAAAATACAAAAAAAATTAGCCGGGCCTGGTGGCATGCACCTATAATCCCAGCTACTTGGGAGGCTGAGGCAGGGGAATTGCTTCAACCAGGGAGGTGGAGGTTGCAGTGAGCCAAGATTGTGCCACTGCACTCCAGCCTGGGCGACAGACCAAGATTCCATCTAAAAAAAAAAAAAAAATCTCTACAGCTGTTCTCATAACTTACACAGCCCCATTTTTCAAAACAGCTCTTGATGCGCTTATTATATTTTGACCTCCTCTCCAAAAGAAAGGAGACACATTTCAGTGAAAGCTTTAAGGTTTTTCTGCGGCAGTTCCCTCCTCCCCCTTCTCTGCTCTATTTTGGTATGGGTTACCTTTCACAGTGTTCTAGAGAAACCTCTCTTCGTTTTCCAGCCTCAAGGTAACTGGATAAAAATGTAATTCATCATTGTATTGACTATATTTAGATATACAGAATTCTTGAAATATTTACAGTAAAGAAGGAAGATTTTTAAGTTAGTTGAGGATGCTGGGATGGAGGAAAAGGAATATTTTAAAGAGAAATTAATAAAAAAAAAAACCTTACTTTAAAAAAAAACCAAACAAACATGGTCTCTGTCACCCAGGCTGGAGTGCAATGGTGCCATTAAGGCTCACTGCAGCCTTAAACTTCTGGGGTCAAGCAATCCTCTCACCTCTGCCTCCCAAGTACTCGGACCACAGGCACATGCCACCATGTCTGGTGACAGGATCTCGTTGTTACCCAGGCTGGTCTTGAACTCCTGGGCTCAAGTGATCCTCCTGCCTCAGTCTCCAAAAGCGCTGGGACTATAGGCATGAGCCACCGTGCCTGGTTGATTTGCTCAACTTTGACAAATCTTTGTAGGTACCTGAAGAACATGTACATTCCATAGCTATATCCTGAATAAGTAAGTCGGGTACCTGTGAGGAGGGCACCATACACCTTCCTTTATTTCCCTCTGAATGAACCCCTGGCAAACTCTCCTCTACCTACCCACTGCCCTGAGAGGTTCAGGCACTACCTAGTCCCTTCCAAGATCCTCCTCTCCTTTTCGATGTTCTGTGCAGAAGCCCCATTCCTGCCCTTCTGTGCAACTTAATTTAGCATATATTGGTCACACTTCTGCCCTGTGCAAGCCCCATGTTAAGGAAGGTCTTAGTTGAAAGCACTAGACCAATGTGCAAGAGCAGGTCCTGAGTTATTCAAAACTGGAAACAACCCCCGTGTCCCCCCTACTTTACATACATACACACACACACACACACACACACACACACACACACATGCTAACAACCAAAACCTCCTTCAGTCAATCCTGCCCCTCCTGCCTTCAGTGGAGTGGGCAGCTGATGCAGGAAGGAGTTGACTTATGAAATGACAGAGTCCCTTCTAGTTTTCCTGAAATTACAAAATCTACCAGCAGAATAGGGCTCCCGCAGCACCACTTAGCTGGGCTGGACAATGGGGATAGGGGAGGAGTCAGAGGCACTGTGGCAACCAGGTCACATCAGCATTCTTCAATAGGAAGACCATAAATATCAGTGGTTAAGCAGTTTTTCTGTTTCTTCAAGGCAGAGCCACAGCGGCGTTTCTTGTCTGTTTCTCTTTCTTAAGGAGCACTGGGTAGTGACATCTAGTGGTCCCTATTTAAATTACTCTTGGATGCAAATCAAAACCACAATGAGACACCATCTCACACCAGTCAGAATTGCTATTATTAAAAAGTCAAAAAATAACAGATGCTGGTGAGGTCGTGGCAAAAAAGAAATGCTTATAAACTGTTGGTGGGAATGCAAATTAGTTCAGCCCCTGTGGAAAGCACTTTGGAAATTTTGCAAAGAACTAAAAATAGAACTACCATTCAACCCAGCAGTTCCATTACTGGGTATCTACTCAAAGGAGAATGAATCTTTCTGCCATAAAGACACATGCATGTGTATGTTCATCGCAGTACTATTCACAGTAGCAAAGACATGGACTCAACCTACATGCCCATCAGTGGTGGATCAGACAAAGAAAACGTGGGACATATACATCAGGGAATACTAGGCAGTCATAAAAAGAACAAAATCAGGTTCTTTGCAGCAATGTGGATGCAGCAGGAGGCTGTCATCCTAAGAGAACTAATGCAGAAATGGAAAATCAAGAACTGAATGTTCTCACTTATAAGTGAGAGCTAAAATTTGGGGTCACACAGACATAAAGATGGGAACAAGAGACAATGGAGACTTCAAAAGGAGGGAGTGAGGGGGGCGGAAAAACTTCCTATTGGGTACTATGTTCATGATCTGGGTGAAGGGATCCATAGAAACACAAACCTCAGCACCACACAACCTCGTCCTTGGAACAAACCTGCACATGTATTTCTAAATCTACAATAAAAATGGAAACATTTCTTAAATTACTCTTGGACTACAGTGCCATGACAAAATAAATGAGAAACAGCTTTCAGGAAACTCAGAGTTAATTCTAAGTGCAAGTGCAACCACCACTGTGTCCCAGATTTCTGTCACAACCATTTCGGGCAAGTTACTTCCCCTTTCTGCACCTCCATTTCCTTATTTGTAAATAGGGATAACAATGGAACCAAGTACATGGGCTATTTGGAGGACTGAAGGAGATAATATATGCAAAATGCTCAGAACGGTGCCTGGCACATAGTCAGCATTCAACAATGTTCGCTATCATTAGTATTCTACTCCACCTGTCTTTGTCATACCATAAAAATCATTTTTTAAGTACTTAGTGAAAGTGCATCAATTTTTACCCATAATCTTCTAGTGCTATTGACACAGCCAGGAAGATATGCCTCATATACCATGTGGTCTTGCATATGCCCTCGACACCACTCTGCATGCCTTCAAAGGGCACAGCAACCTCACCATCAGAAGTTCAATGTCATCCAAGCCCATCAGTGGCCCACATTGCCCAGGATTTATGTTTGAGATCTGAATGTCTCAGGTGGGATGTGCTCTATTCAGCTTGCCACAGTCCATACTACTCCCTGTCACCTGGACTAAGCCACTTGTCTCACATTTGTTACCTGCTGGCCTCTGAAAACACTTGAGTTTGAGTTTGATGCCCCCGTTCCATATCTCTCTTTTTTCTTTTCTTTCTTTTTTTTTTTTTTTCTTTGAGATGGAGTCTCACTCTGTTGTCCAGGCTGGAGTGCAGTGATGCAGTCTCGGCTCACTGAAACCTCCGCCTCCTGGGTTCAAGCGATTCATGCCTCAGCCTCCCAAGTAGCTGGGACTACAGGTGTGAGCCACCACATCTGGCTAATTTTTGTACTTTTTAGTAGGGTTTTGACATGGTGGCCAGGCGGGTTTCAAACTCCTGACCTCAAGTGATCCACCTGCCTTGGCCTCCCAAAGTGCTGGGATTACAGGCATGAGACACCACGCCTGGCCCTATATCTCTTACTCTGGGATTGAAAGCCTTTCATTATCTGCCCTGGTAGTCACGTTTCATTCATACGAACCCTACATACCAACCATCGTCATGGCAGCTGAATATTTAAGTTCCCACCAGTTTCTGGATCTTTCCTTAGCCAGCTCCTATCTATCTAGAATACCTCCTATCCTCTTTCCACCCCAATCCTGCCTCTCCTCCAAGGTCCACCTTCAATTACACGGCTACCTTAGAAACTTCCCATTGACTAGTAGAGCCTTAAGTAATCTTCCCTTTCTCAGTTGTGTCATCTATAAAGCAGGGCTAATAAGTACCTGTTTCAGAGGGTTGCTGGAGATGAGCAATAAGTTAGATGAGTTAATAAGTACTTTGTGCCGGCAAGTCACACCTGGTCTGTCAATAAGGCCTTACTGTTACCATTTTATCCCTCTCCGCTGACAACTCTACCACCTATTGTATTTTTGTGTATGTGCCTTTTTTTTAACCATTTTTCAAATCATGGGAAAATATGCATAACAAAATGTAGCATTTTAACCATCCGTAAGTGTGCAGTTCAGTGATATTAACTACATTCAAATTGATGTGCAACCATCATCACTATCCATCTCTAGAACTTTTCCATCTTCCATTTCAACTTTTCAAAAAGAAACTCTGTACCCATTTAACACTAACTCTCCATTCTGTCCTCCCCCAAACCCTGGCAACCACTATTAGAATTTGTGTCTCTGAAGTTGACTACTCTAGATATTTCATATAAGTGGAACCATAAAACATTCTTCCTTTGGGGCCTGGCTTATTTCACTTAGCGTAATGTCTTCAAGGTTCACCTATGTTGCAGCACGAGTCAAACTTTTCCCTCATTTTCAAGGCTGGATAGTATTCTGTTGTATGTGTATCCTACATTTTCTTTAGCCATCCGTCTGTGGATGGACACTTGGGTTACTTCCACATTTTGGCTATTGTGAAGAATGCTGCTGTGAACACAGTTGTACAGATACCTGTTCAAATTCCTGCTTTCAGTCCTTATGGGCATATATTCAGAAGTGGAATTGCTGGATCATATGGTAATTCTACGTAATTTTTTTTTTTTTTTGAGACGGAGTCTCGCTCTGTCACCCAGGCTGGAGTGCAGTGGCACCATCTTGGCTTACTGCAACCTCCACCTCCCGGGTTCAAGTGGTTCTGCTGCTTCAGTCTCCTGAGCAGCTAGGATTACAGGCACCTGCCACCATGCCCAGCTAATTTTTGTATTTTTAGTAGAGACAGGGTTTCACCATGTTGGCCAGGCTGGTCTTGAACTCCTGGCCTCAAGTGATCTGCCCGCCTCAGCCTCCCAAAGTGCTGGGATTAGGTGCCAGCCACCATGCCCTGCCAATTCTACATAATTTTCTGAGGAACTCCTGTACTCTTTTCCACAGTGGCTGCACCATTTTACATTTCCACAAGCAATGCATAAGAGTTCCCATTTCTCCACATGCTTTCTAACACTTGTTCTTTTTTTTTTTAAGCCATCACAGTGGTGTGAACTGTCTACTGTCTATTGTCTTCATCTCCATTTTGCAATTTACTTTTACTCCCTTGCTTTGTTCAGTCTTCTTTCTTTTTCTTGAGATGAAGTCTCACTCTGTCGCCCAGGCTGGAGTGCAGTGGTGCAATCTCAGCTCAGTGCAACCTCCGCCTCCCGGGTTCAAGTGATTCTCTTGCCTCAGCCTCCCAAGTAGCTAAAATTACAGTCATGCACCACCACGCTCAGCTAATTTTTGTATTTTTAGTAGAGACAGGGTTTCACTGTCTCTACTAAATATGTTGGCCAGGCTGGTCTCGAACTCCTGGCCTCAAGTGATTCACCCACCTTGGCCTCCCAAAGTGCCGGGATTACAAGCATGAGCCACCATGCCCAGCCAGTCTTCTTTATTTTTCTGATAGAACCACGAACTTCCTGAAGGCAGAAACTGTGATATATAATTTATCTAACTCTTCTCTCATCTCCCACCTGGCCCCCTTGCTCTCACTGCCACTTAATATGGAGTCTGGCCCAAGTCTAGGGTCTTGATCCTCCAAGCATGATCTCTTGCAGCCTGGGTGCAGCGGGGAGCTTGTTGGGAATGCAAAATCTCAGGCCCTGCCCTGGAACTACTGAACAAGAATCTGCATTTTAACAAGATCTCCAGTGAAGCGCTGGGCAGCACTAGCACGGGGAAAGGCAACTTCCCTTGGTTCTGTCATTAAGTTCAGTGACCTCATCTGGTAAGTACTCTGCAAATGTTTGCTGACTGGAGGATTAATGAAGAAAATGAACAGCGCTTTTAACCACCACCATCAGGCCTTTATCAAAAATGTGAAAAAGGACCAGGCATGGTGGCTCACACCTTTAATCCCAGCACTTTGGGAGGCTGAGGTGGGAGGATCGCTTGAGCCCAGGAGTTCAAGGCTGCAGTTAGCTGTGTTTGTGCCCCTGCACTCTAGCCTGGGAAACAGTGAGACCCTGTCTCAAAAAAAAAAAAAAAAGAAAGAAAGAAAGAAAGGAAAAAGCATCTCTTGCAAAGTAGCTCAAAGCAGATTGAAAAATAGGGCACAGAAAACTGTCACAGTCAAGAGGAGCCTAAGGAGACATAATGACAAAATGTCATGTGGTATCCTGGGTGAGACTGTCATGTGGTATCCTGGATGAAATCATGGGACAGAAAAAAGGTCATTAGGTAAAAGGTAGGGAAATCTGAACAAAGAATGGACTTATTTCATAAGAACATATCAATATCAGTTTACCGATGGTGACAAATGTACCATAGTAAGGTAAGATGTTACTAACGGGGGAAACTCGGTGCAGGGTATAGAGGAACTCTCTGTACCACTGTCACAGTTGGTTGTATATCTAAAACAACTCTGAAACACAAAGTTTATTAAAGAAGGGGAGACAGAGAAGAGGCAGGTATCAAGATGACCCTCAGCAGCAAACGTGCAGGAAGTAACCTTTGTGCCATTAATTTCCTGCAGTGCAATGCACGGGTGCCTCCAGGACCCTATGGAATCAAAATGACACATTTGTAGCTCTGAGGAAAGACGGTCCACAGCTGGCTGTCTCTGAATCTGAGGTCAGTTTGGCCTCCCTCTGCGGGGACAGGCCTCTGCTTTCTAACTGGCTCCTCACCTTTTTCCCTAGAGGAGGGAGCCACCTGCTAAAAAGGCGTCAAGAAACTGGGGCTGGGGACACAGCAACAGTGAGAAATCTTCCAGCACTCTCTTCTCTGCCTTCCCTGTGTTGAAATGTACTTTCTTGAGATTAACATTTAAGTTATATCTGTTCTTAAAAGAAAACATTAATACTGAGTCACAACCAAAGTCAAGGACCATAGGGAGCTAAGTTTTATTGGGAGGCCACTACCTTCCTCCAGATGTTGCGCTAACCTTTAACTAAGCTCATTCTAACAGGGGTGACTTCTTTCTCTCTAAATTTCTCCAATAAGCTTCTTCGTTGAATATGACACACTTTGTTGATATCAAAATGTAGATGTTAGGGAAGTAAGCACCATTAAAATCAATCTGCACTAAAACAGGTAGTCATAATAAAGTTTTACAGCTAGCATTTCTTCTTTGTACTATGTTCTAGACATGGCAAGCGTGTTATTATCTCCATGGAATACTTGCTACACTGGCAGGATAGAAGAGACGGGTTTAACGTGGAAGGCTTTGGGACTTGAGATCATTACAAGTTCGGTGTGGCACAGGGGAGATATGGCTAACCACAAAGCTGACATAATATTATACTGAACTAATAAAAATATAATGACTAGGGCAATGGGAAGGCAAATATTTACTGAGAAAAGATTATTTGCCATACACTGATATTAGAGACTTCACACATGTCATTGCCTTATTGTGTATAGCACCCCTTAAGTGGAGGAATTATTGTTCCCTCTCTACAAGATGAATAAACTTGAGATTCGAAGAACAGATAAACGGTGCATGGGTCACTCTGCTAGCAAGTGGCAGAGCTGGATCTTGAGCCCAGGTGCATCTGAGGGCAAAGCCTGGGCCCCTTCCATGAGGGCCACCCTGCCCAACCAGGGTCAATGATGGCCCGGCGGCGTTTGGCACTGGGGTCCTGCATCTGTTCCCAGCCCAGCACTGTATAGGGTGGAGGCTGGGGATCTGTGGGAACACACCTCAAGGACAGCAACCAGCAGGGAGGCAAAACTAAAACGTTTCCTGTAAGAGATGGTGAGGGAGAAAACGTGGCCCAGAGATGAGATGTTACAAGGAGATATGACTGCTCCCCTCATATTTAAGAGCTCCCAAGGTAGAAAAAGGAACAGACACCCTTGGGTGATCAAAGAAAACAGAAATAGGGTCGAAGAAAATCAAAACTAGAGGGAGACAGAGGTAGGTTCAATACAATGAAGAACACAGAACAATTATTCCAGAAGAGTCACTGTCTCATGAGGTAGCAAGGTCTGCATCTGTACAGGTGAGAGCCCACCTATCATTGAGATGAAGTCATCTAGAATTCAAGAAAAACTTTCAGCTCCCTTCTAACTGAAACTCCAGGCTCAGTTATCTGGTATAGAACCCTCCAGTAACCCCCAGGTCCCTCCACCTTCTTCCTTTGAGGTCCTGACCAAGAAACACGGTGCCTTGATCACTCTGTGACCTGGACACCTGCATGTTTTCCACTCTGGGCTCGAACCCAAGCTGGGGTCTTGAACATTCCCAGGCACTGATAAAGTTGTTGAGGTTATTGCTTGAAGCACGGAGAAATCAACTATGTTGCTAAACACAGAAATTACCCCTGACCCTGAGCCAAATTCTTTGAACCCTCATAGAACCCTGCCGTCCCAGTAGCAACATACCTGGGTAGAATATCTCTTTTCTCACTGTCTGTCACAAAGATGCTAAAGCTCCCTAAGTTCCCCCTAATAAATGTTTTTGACTGATCACCCTGGTGTTTGATGCTTCTTTCTTTGGAATCCCAAACGGTCCCATTTCTGGTCTGAGACAGTCCCTTGCAGGAATTCCCCTGCTGCCACTTTTGGGGTGACTCCAGGGCAGGTTCAGTGGACAGAACATCCTAATACAGTCATGCGCCACATAATGATGTTTCAACATTTTGGTCAACCATGGACCAAATATATGACAGTGGTCCCATAAGACTGTAATGGGGCTGAAGAATTCCTATCACCTAGTGACTCTGTAGCTGTCCTAACTTCATAGCATGAGGCATTACTCAGGTTTTTGTGACGATGCTAGTGTAAACAAACCTACTGTGCTGTCAGTCATATAAAAGTATAGCACAGATAGTTATGTACAGTACATCATATTGACAATAAACAACTGTGTTTCTGGTTTATATATTTACTAAACTAGGCTTTTTATTTTTATTTTAGAGTATACTCCTTCTATTTATTAAAAAAAAAAAAAAAGTTAACTGTAAAACAGCCTCAGGCAGGTCCTTCTGGAGGTATCCCAGAAGAAGGCATCATTGTCATAGCAGATGACAGCTCCATGTGGGTTACTGCCCCTGAGATCCTTCCAGTGCGAAAAGATGTGGAGATGGAAGACAGCGAGACTGATGAGCCTCACTCTGTGGAGACCTAGGCTAATGTGCATGCTTGTGTGTTAGTTTTTAATTAAAAGGCGTGGTGGCTCACACCTGTAATCCCAGCACTTTGGGAGGCCGAGGCAGGTGGAGCGCCTGAAGTCAGGAGTTCCAGACCAGCCTGACCAACATGGTGAAACGCAGCCTCTACTAAAAATACAAAAATTAGCCGGGCGTGGCGGCGGGCACCTGTATTCCCAGCTACTCAGGAGGCTGAGGCTGGAGAATTGCTTGAACCCGGGAGGCGGAGGTTGCAGTGAGCCAAGATCGTGTCACTGTGCTGCAGCCTGGAAGACAGAGCGACGCTCCATCTCAAAAAAAAAAAAAAAGTGTAAAAAGTAAAAGAAAAAAGTTCATATAAGGATAAATAGAAAATATATTTACACAGAAGTATAATGTGTTTGTGTTTTAAGCTAAGTGTTATTCCAAAACAGTCAAAAGGTTAAAAAGAAGTTAAAGTTTATAAAGTAAAAAAGTTATACTAAGCTAAGGTTGATTTATTATTGAAGAAAAAATTCTTAAAAATGTAGTGTAGCCTAATTGTACAGGGATAAAGTCTACAGTAGTGGACAGTAATGTCCCTGGCATTCACGTTCACTCAGGACTCACTCACTGACTCACCCAGAGCAACTTCCAATCCTGCAAGCTCCATTTGCAATAAGTGCCCTAGACAAGTGTACCATTTTAATCTCTTACACCATACTTTTACTGTACCTTTTCTATGTGTAGATACATTTAAATATACAAACACTTACTATTGTGTTACAATTGGCTACAATATCCAGTAGCTCACATGCTGCACAGGTTTGTAGCTAGGAGCAACAGGCTATACCACATAGCCTAAGTGTGTGGTAGGCTACACCATCTAGGTTTGTGTAAGTGCATTTTGTGATGTTCACACAATGACCAAATCACCTATAATGATGTGTTTTTCAGAACGTCTCCCCATCACTAAGTGGTACATGACTGTACAGAGTTTTATCACATAACTCATTTGGACAGAATATACACAGGCCATATGAGGATTACACAATTTCAAGACAGCAAATTATAAACATGTCTAATTCACACCAAACATACAGAAGTCTTTGTCAGCACTTCAAGGATATCATTATGAATACGGAATGTCATCAAGCAGCAGGTACACAGAAATGCCCATGACAGAGAGTACTAGGTTGCTCGGAGGGAGGGCAGGAGAGGTGCCTTTAGACCTGCTGGAGCCCATTAGCCTGTGTCCTTGTGAGTCCCATGATGGAATCCTGGGGTTCACATAGCAGAGAGGCTCTGCAGAGGGGATACGCAGGGGGCCAAATTGAGCACGAGATCCTGCACAAAAGCATGCCCCGTGCAAAGGACCCTTCCCCCAGGATATAGAGAGGTCCTCTTTGAACCTCTTCATGCAACCATTACCAAGGAATCAGCAAGAATGTGAGAGCTGTTGTGTTATAATCGCAAAGCCCTGGTAACTCTGGTAAGGAGGCTCACTCTGCTACTACTCATTATGGGATGGGATAGTGCCTTCCTTCGGAAGAATGTAATCTTCCCAGCATACCTTTTACAGACTTCCCAGCTTTGCTCCATATGGATGAAATGCTTCTAGGTCTCCAGAGCCAACACGGCTCTTTCACTTAGCAGTTCCATCTGTTCTGCAGGTCAGTTCACTGGTTAAGCAAGTCACACCTTTCCTAGCTGGCTGGGAAAACAATGACACTACCCTGTTACATGATGGGATGTAGTGAGCAACACTCCATGGTCCAAAAGAGTCCTTCTTAGCCTGATGTGGTGGCTCATGCCTGCAATCCCAGCACTTTGGGAGACCGAGGCAGGAGGATCACTTACTTGAGCTCAGGAGTTTGAAACCAGCCTGGCCAACATGGTGAAACCCCATCTCTACTAAAATTACAAAAATCAGCTGGGCATGGTGACGGACACCTGTAATCCCAGCTACTCCAGAGGCTGAGACAGGAGAATCACTCAAACCCAGGGGACAGAGATTGTAGTGAGCCAAGATCACACCACTGCGCTCCAGCCTGGGTGACAAAGTGAGACTCCATCTCAAAAACAAAAACAAAAGAGTCATTCTTGGTCCAGTACAGGCCTCTTTCTAAAGCTTTCTTCTTACAGATAATTTGCGTAGAATCTAAAGAATCATAATTTTTGGCTGGACATGGTGGCTCTCACCTGTAATCCTAGCACTTTGGGAGGCTGAGGTGGGCACATCACTTGAGGCCAGGAGTTCGAGACCAGCCTGGCCAACATGGTGAAACCCCATCTCTACTAAAAATACAAAAATTAGCTGGGTGTGGTGGCAGGCACCTATAATCCCAGGTACTCAGGAGGGTGAGGCAGGAGAATCGCTTGAACCCAGGAAGTGGAGGTTGCAGTGAGCTGAGATTGCACCACTGCACTCCAGCCTGGGTGACAGAGCGCAACTCTGTCTCAAAAAAAAAAAAAATCATAATTTTAAATTAATATGGAAAAACTGTCTTAAAAAAAAGTCTTGTTGGCCATTTTCATTTCTTGTAAGTTTTGTGCCTCAGAGAACCAATTATGAAAACATTTATGCAGTCACTGTGTTCCACTATTAGAAATTTAAATGTTTAACTTAATTTAATTATCCAAAGGAATGTTAATCAAAAGGACAAAAACAAATGGAAGGCAAGGCGCTGTAAACCAAGGCTGAATGTGCTCTCTTGTACAAAGTGCTCGTTTGTCAAAACCATGAAACCAAGCTTCCTAATTCTAGAAAGAAAAGAATGTAAGCCCCAAAACCTTCATGAACCATTTCCTCCAGCTCTAAAATTCTGTGATTCCACCATTACTCCCCTCAACCAGCACCTCTAAAACAATTTTTTTTTTTTGA
Organism: Homo sapiens; assembly: GCF_000001405.40. Classification (NCBI taxonomy): domain Eukaryota; kingdom Metazoa; phylum Chordata; class Mammalia; order Primates; family Hominidae; genus Homo; species Homo sapiens. The sequence continues at coordinate 152,015,153 of NC_000002.12, forward strand.
GATGGAGTCTCGCTCTGTTGCCCAGGCTGGAGTGCAGTGGCACGATCTCGGCTCACCGCAACCTCCGCCTCCAGGGTTCAAGTGATTCTCCTGCCTCAGCCTCCTGAGTAGCTGGGATTACAGGCACCCGCCACCATGCCCAGCTAATTTTTGGATTTTTAGTAGAGACGGGGTTTCACTATGTTGGCCAGGCTGGTCTCGAACTCCTGACCTCATGATCCACCCACCTCAGCTTCCCAAAGTGCTGGGATTACAGGCGTGAGCCACCATGCCCAGCCAAAACAATTTTTTTTAACTAAAAATATATCATCTGTAAGTTCTAGTGTCCCCCTATGGCACATCTTCTTAGCACAACTGGGGACACACTGCCTTGCAGAGGGATTCTATTTACCTAACCAATGGATTCAGGCAAGACATGGGATTTGCTTTGGAAAATGAATTGTGAGCAAAAATGTACGTTACTTCTGGATGGAAGATTTAAGAGTCAGTAGTTGCTTCATTGCACTCTTCTCCCTTTGCCGGGCAGTGTTCCAGATAGGGGCTGTTCTGTCAGCCCAGGTCCCAGAGCGAAGATGACAGAGAGAGCAACTACAGTAAACCTGCACGGGCAGAAGCAACAAATGAGAAATAAACTCTGGTTGTCATAAGCCACTGAGACTTTCCACTGTGTTTGTTACCACAGCCCAACATAGCCTTTATACTTGGAACTGCCCACCCAGTTAGTCAATATCTGCAACAGACTTTGTCTTCAGGATTACGAGATCCAATTTTAAAATACTTCCAGACAGATATGTGCTAAAAATACATCGTTTACAAAAATTAGGTATTTACGCAAAAGCTTTTTTTTGTAGTTGCCACTAAAAATAGGCTGACTTGCTAACCTAGGAATTCTGTAACAGGTTTTCTCTCCTATTACCAATTGCTATAGTATTAGAAAAGTAAAAACTATATAGTGCATCTGCTATAAACGACAAAGTGAAACATCAGCTATTCATAGCAAAACAAGCACTTTAGGGTGGCTTGAGATTCTCATTCAGAGATACAGAAAGAATGTAGGAATGCAGTACTACAAAATTGTTAAAATTATTAATGGCAAGAAAGTAAAAAGACAAAAGTTCCATTTAGAAAATACTTTGTACAAACTATATGTTCCATAACTACAGAAAGAATGAAACTTGCTTTTTCTACTCTGAAGAGGCTTCTAACATCCTATTTTGAATTCAGGTTGCCATAGAAACCAGTAGACTTCTGTATGGGATTCCATCAAAATTACTGTATAATTTGATGCACACAGAAGAACCCTGTCTCACTGTCTCAACTTAAAACAAAGCCACTACTCTGGTTTGAATCCTTTGATGAGTCTCATCGTTTGAGGCTAAACCAATCTATTAAAAAAAATTAAGGCTCATGACAGTGATATTCCTTTGAATTTAGACATTTTGCTTTCCAAGAGATAGGAGCAATGTTGACATGACCATGACCCACAGTCACGTTATCTGAAGCCAGGTCACGATACATCACTCACCGTTCCAGGCATGCATGTCTACGTTTGCACGCTCAGGCACAAATGTGGCTAGGAGGATATCTTTATGTAGAGCCACAATAACTGTGCTTCGGATAAGCCACAAAATATATGGTACAGCCACTATACAAAAATATAATATTCATAGTAATAATAGCTGCCATTCTGTGTGCTTACTGTTTTAAATTATTTTTCTATATTAATGCAACAGCCCTATGAATCAGGCTTTATTATCATCTTCCTTTTATACACAGGGGAAATGAGGCAAAGAGAGTTTTCACAGATTGCCCAATATCATTTAGTTGTTAAAGGTAGAACTGCAAGTTTAACCCAGGTGTTGCTCTTTAGAGTTTGCACTTTTAACCACTAGGCTTCCTTCTCCAGGCATTTCATCTTAATTTACAACTACAAACATGAGACAAGCTTAGCCCAGATTAAGAACACAGGCACAGCACCCACTCCAATAGTTATCAAGCTCTAGGGCATACATATAACTAAGGCTGTTTAATGAAAATGTATATTCCTGGGTCTTCCATCCAGATATTCTGATTCAACGTATCTGAGAAGGGACCTGTGCACCTGCATTTTAACAGCACCCCTAGTGGTTCTGACACAAGTAGTTCTGCAGACCACATTTGAAAAATAACAATTTATTCAAACTCAGCTAATGAGTCATTGCAGATAGATAAATCAACTTCACTGATCCAGAGAAAACCTGAGAAACAGAAGGAAGCCTTAAAAAAATGAGATGGGCCGGGCGCGGTGGCTCACGCCTGTAATCCCAGCATTTTGGGAGGCTGAGGCGGGCGGATCCCGAGGTCAGGAGATCGAGACCCATCCTGGCTAAGACGGTGAAACCCCATCTCTACTAAAAATACAAAAAATCAGCCGGGCATGGTGGCGGGTGCCTGTAGTCCCAGCTACTTGGGAGGCTGAGGCAGGTGAATCACTTGAACCCAGGAGGCAGAGGTTGCAGTGAGCCGAGATCATGCCACTGCACTCCAGCCTGAGTGACAGAGTGAGACTCCGTCTCAACAACAAAAAAAAAAAGAGAAAAGCAGAAAATAAAAGTCCTAAAACAATAAAGCTCTCATATACTGTATTCCTTAGAATTTCCTCAGACCTTTGATCAAAGACTGTTTCTTTTAATTTTACACACAATTCTTTTCTTTTTTTTTTATGGAATTTCGCTCTTTTGCCCAGGCTGGAGTGCAATGGCATGGTCTTGGCTCACTGCAACCTCTGCCTCCTGGGTTCAAGCGATTCTCCTGCCTCAGCCTCCAGAGTAGCCGGGATTACAGGTGCTCACCACCATGCCCAGCTAATTTTTGTAATTTTAGTAGAGACGGGGTTTCACCATGTTGGCCAGGCTGGTCTTGAACTCCTGACCTCAGGTGATCCACCCGCTTCAGCCTCCCAAAGTGCTGGGATTACAAGTGTGAGCCACCATGCCCGGCCTTTTTTACACACAATTCTAAGAAGCTATTTAGTTTTCAAAATCACAGAAGATTAGAAGCGAAAATAAACAAAAGATGAAATGGGCTGGAGGAATTAGGGACCTCAGGCAGAAACACAGCCAGCAATGAAAGAAAGCAGGTAGAAAAGGGAGGGAGGAGGCAAGAGAAGAAAGTTTAAAAATACCAACATTCAAAGAAGCACTAAGACCTGGGAGCATCAGGGTTGAGACCCTGAGCCCTCTACACACCTGAAAAAAAGGACTATTTCTCATAACGTGGTAAAAATAATAATAATAATATTCCTGATGTTGCACCATCCAAAAACAAAAAGAAGGGGTAGTCAAATATTTATTAGATTTTGCAGACTATTTTCAAAAGACAAATAAAAAGGTCAAGCACAGTGGTTCATGCCTGCAGTCCCAGCACTTTGGGAAGCTGAGGCAGGAGAGTTACTTGAGCCCAAGAGTTCGAGACCAGCCCTGGCAACATAGTGAAACCCCATTGCTACAGAAAATACAAAAATTATCTGAGCGTGGTGGCAAGCACCTGTAGTCCTAGCTACTTTGGAGGCTGAGATAGGAGAATCACTTTGAGCCCGGGAGAGCCAGGCTGCAGTGACCCATAATTGCACCACTGCACTCCACCCTGGGCAACATAGTAAGACCCTGTCTCAAAACACACACACACACACACACACACACACACACAGACAAAGGTATCAAATATTTGAGGAAACTTTCCATTTAAATAATTGATACTACAAAAACTGGAGTGCTGAAAAGCTAGTATGAGGTCATTCTCTCTTAGGCAAGAGAGCTGCTAAGAAATTTATTGATGGGGGTGGGTGAAGTCAAGGGGGAAAGGTTTGGTTAGTGATTGGTATCTGGGGGCCAGGAGAGGGGAATTCACACACCACAGTGTGTTTTGTCCTCTGCTGCTTGGAAAATGTAGGTTGCATTCACAATGGCACAGTGGCCAGGCTTTCATGTTGAATAAAGACCAGTATTGCATTAGTGCTTGCACCTGAGAGTATTTTTGACTTGTGCACAGGCCTTTCAGGACAGTTACCCAGATAGTAATTTTCAACCACACTTCTTTGCCTTCAGTAAAATTGGATGATAGAAGTTATTTCAGATCATTTCTGATTACCTCTATGCCTCAGGAATATGATCTTATATATAAGCATCTTTTCAATCTCACTTCTACGTTTGATGGTCAGTTAGCACTAATTCAAAAAGTTAGATGTATATGAGTGTATGATAGATGAGATAGCAAAATGAAGGGAAATTATTCTCAGATTTTGAGCTCCCTATATCTGGCAGTAATGGCACATCATAGCTACTCAGTACATGTTTAATTGGTGAATGATGGGTGGATGGGTGGGTGGGCAGATGGATGAATGAGTGGGTGGATGGTGGATGGATGGATAAGTGGATACATGAACAGGTGGATGACTGGAAAGACTAACGGAAAAAATAAGTGAATAAAAGTGTTTTCTGATAACAAGAAAGATGATATCTCCCCAAAAAATGGAAATAAAGGTTAAAAGAGGTTAAATGGCAAGTGGACTGAACAGAGTTAAGATGACCACCAAATGTGTGTGTGCATACACATAATTGTGTATATACATTTATACAAAGGCTCAGGGACAGAGGTGCTCCTCAATGAAATTAGTTTTCTCTTTCTTTTATTAATTATTCTGGAAATGTCAAACAACTCACACAACTGAGACAGGCAGGAGGACTGTGCAGTGGGTATATGGGCAAGTCAGCTGTACCTATGGTTGCCAAAAGAGGAAGAGGAATCTTTAGATTGAGAGGCAGTCAGAATGAGAGTGAGAGGGCAAAGAAGGCCCAGAAGCAGATGAAGCTCTTAAAAACTCAAGGAAAAACCACTGTGTTTCTATGCCTCCACTTCCAGGATTTTCACCCTGCAGCCTATGTGTACATTCCCAAATCAATGTCTCTGGAACCTAGAGATCCTGGTCCAGTCCTGTTTATTGTGGGCTCTACCCTTTAGGGAAAGGAGAGCCTTTGCAGACTAAGAAGTACCCAACAGCATCGATTTGAGATGCTGGGGCCATGACAGTTTAATTGAAAGAGGCTATCAGGCATTTCTATGTCCATTTGGGTTTTGATGGGATCAAGATGGTGGGTGGCATTCTTCCCCTATTCTTCCAGGATTTCTCCCATTAATGGCTCCTGGGTGAGAACTGGATAAGTGCCATTCTCTAAAGGCTTCCAATTTGGCAATGAAGTTGTGATGATGCTTCAGAGAGCATTTCAGTATAGGGTGAGGGGGCAAGAAGCCAGGTGCTCCTGTCTGAGAAGTGAATTGGACGTGAGGAAATAAAGGAAATGGGTAGAAGATTTCTCTTTTGTGATGTCTGATGATAAAGAAAGAAAAGAAAGATCCAGCAGTAGTTTGAGAAGGAAATTGTGGGGAGTTAGTAGGTTTTTGTGTTTACTATTCTTTTGATTTCAGAATGGGATGTACTTTGGTGCCATGAAGCCAAAGGAGAAGTTCTCAGAGGACAGGGAAAGACTGAAGTTGAAGAGCATAACCAACAGTGATAATTAACAGGTGGCGATGCTGGTAACGGGGTTAGAATTGAGAGCACACCCAGAGGAGGAAGCCGGGGAAAGGAAAGCACAAGGCATTCCCTTGTCTGAAACACTGCTGGAAGCAGGCAAAAACCTAACCTCGGGCACCTAAATTGTGCTTTACATAAATGTAAATATTTAATATCCTCCACCTGCATTCAAGGCTTATCCCCAAAATCAACGCTTAAAATAACTCGGAAACTACTAGCACAGAGACTGAAGAAAAAAATAACTCTAGCTGGGTGCGGTGGTTCACACCTGTAATCCCAGCACTTTGGGAGGCTGAGGCGGGTGGATCACGAGGTCAGGAGATTGAGACCATCCTGGCCAACGTGGTGAAACCCCGTTTCTACTAAAATACACCACACCAGGTGTGGTGGCGAGCGCCTGTAGTCCCAGCTATTCTGGAGGCCGAGGCAGGGGAATCGCTTGAACCCGGGAGGCGGAGGTTGCAGTGAGCAGAGATTGCATCACTGCGCTCCAGCCTGGTGACACAGCAAGACTCCATCTCAAAATAAATAAATACATAACTCTGAAACATTAAAACAATTTTTTTTCAAACTATATTCTCTACCTTATATTTAAGCAAGCAGAAAAACACATAATCCATTTTAGAATGATTTCAAATTTAAAAAAATTATAGGTCAGATACTCAAAGGGTTAAAACTTCAAATAAGGAGTAATGTTACCCTTCTGGCAGCCAAAGTTTGACTCAATAAAAACAGGCATATTCATTGCATCAACCCATAATCTCTTAACATTTGATTTGCCTCAAAATTTCAGTAGACTATTGGTGAAAACATGGTGAAAAATCTCTTCATATGAAAATATTTTGCTTTTGAAAATACTGTCAAAACTTGCATAAATATTTGACATTCATTCTAAATAATAAAACAATGTCTCTTTTTCCCCTTCTCATACGTATGTAAATCAATGATGCTTTATCAAGGATAAAAATACCATTAGATTTAGACTTCACAGAATTGGAGACAACTCACAAGGAACTAGACACTGAATCTTAAACATGAAAGGAAGAAAACTGAAAAGCTAAAAGTAATTTGATGTTTCTTTTTTTCTTTCTTAATTCAACTCTCACATCTAACTCTTAAGAAAGGATACAGCTTATTCTTTTATCTTGCTGAACATTGGCTTTTTACGTTTTATCTTCTTCTTGAAAAGATTTTCTCTACTAGAATAGGTATTTAAAGTCAAGGCTATATACATTCAAGAAGTATAAGCGTCTAATCTTTAAACATGTCATTTTGATCCAGCATCCAAAGTTGTATTAAAAAGCACATTTACAGATAAGTTCCTTCACAGTTGTAGTGACTGCACATGAGCTCATCAAGTAAGCCTTGGGGAAACAAAGAACCTCTCTCCTCCTCTCTTTGGCAATCGGCTTATTGCCTATTACTTGCATCTCTCCCCTTCAACCACCTCTGCATCATCTTCAACCAAATATACACCACTCAAACTGCTACCCTTAATTTCACTCCTACAAATAAGCCCTGTTTGTTTACTGTTCACCATTCATTATACCATGAGTGAAGGACAGAGATGAATCATACTCAGCCCGTAGCCATCAAGGAGAAGTGGTGGAGGGAATGTGAAACCAATAACTATTTCACAAAGGACACAATCCATGTCTCCAATGATATAAAAGCGAAGTGCTTCAGAGTGCTTTGCAAAAAGCAACTAATTTAGTCAAACACAATATAAAAACATCAGCAGTAATCAAGAATAATCCCTATTGCTACAATTTTTCTAAAATTCCCTGGTTTTAAGTTGGACAAGAAGTGCAATATTCCTTTCAAAGAGATACCAGCATGTCACAGATCTCTATTTTTAAAATATGCTTGATTTGCATATACGAAAGCATGGGCTTTATTTTAATGACCTGCAATCTCTACATTTGTTTCAGTCCTCCATGCAATATGCATGTTTACCTCCTACACTTAGACTCTTGGTATGATTTTTCCTTAATGAAATAACATAAAGCAAAGAATCATAGAAAGCATAATATTCTACTGGGATCCACAGCACCCCCATCACCTACAATGTTGTTGCCACAACTCTCCTACTTGATCATGTACAGGACTCAAAACTGTAATCATTAAAACCCAGATGATCAGGGTAAAGGAATTTAGGGTTGTTTTGAGGTTGTTTGACAATATTTACACTTGGAAAAGTTAAGGAACATATTAGTCTGTTTTCACACTGCTACAAAGACATACCCAAGACTGGGTAATTTATAAAGAAAAGAGGTGTCATTGACTCACAGTTCTGCAAGACTGGGAAAACCTCAGGAAACTTACAATCATGGTAGAAGGGGAAGAGGCATGTCTTACATGGTGACAGGTGCAGGGGGTCCATGAGGGGGTGAGAGAAAGGAAGGGGGAAGAGAGAGAGCATGAGCGAGCACAAACAAGTGAAAGGGTAAGAGCCCCTTATAAAACCATCAGATCTCGTGATAACTCACTATCAGGAGAACAGCATGGGGGATACTGCCCCCATGATCCAATCACCTCCCACCAGGCCCTGCCCTCAACACGTGGGGATTATGGGGATTACAATTCGAGATGAGATTTGGGTGGGGACACAGAGCCAAACCATATCAAGGAGGCCCAAGAAAAATAAAACTGAAATAAGTTTGGACAAAGAGAATGCGCTCTGGATAAAGGCCACCGTAAAAGTGAGAGGTGCTTTTTTTTTTTGGTCAGACAAAGTCTCACTCTTGTCCCCCCGGCTGGAATGCAATGGCGCGATCTCAGCTCACTGCAACCTCTGCCTCCCGGGTTCAAGCAATTCTCCTGCCTCAGCCTCCCAAGTAGCTGGGATTACAGGCGCCTGCCACCACGCCCAGCTAATTTTTGTATTTTAAGTAGAGACAGGGTATCACCATGTTGGCCAGGCTGGTCTCCAACTCCTCATCTCAGGTGATCCGCCTGCCTCAGCCTACCAAAGTGCTGGGATTACAGGCGTGAGCCACCACACCCAGCCAGTAATAGCATTTAATATGAATTTCTGGACTTACATTTTAAATAGCTTTCCTCCACCGAAGCAATGTGTGAAAACAACAACTTAGGCGTACAACTCAACGAATTGAAAACATTTATGTTATCACAAAGTCAAAACAAGAAACTCTAAAAGCACAGATCAATTAGAACTGTGTCCTGGAGGCACATATCTGTTTACCATGGTGACAATTTACATTTAAGATGAAGAAGCACAATGAATGGATTGTGGTAGGAGTGCTTAAAATATCAGGAGCACCCTAACATGTTTAGTTTAAGAACCAGTGTTGGCTGGGCACAGTGGCTCACGCCTGCAAGCCCAACACTTTGGGAGGCTGAAGGAGGAGGATTGCTTGAGGCCAGGAGGTCAAGACCAGCCTGGGTAATATAATGAGACCTGTCTCTACAAAAAATACAAATAAAAATTAGCCAGGTATGGTGTCACGTGCCTGTAGTCCTAGCTACTCAGGAGGCTGAGATGGAAGGACAAACTAAGCCCAGGAGTTTAAGGTTGCAGTGAGCTATGAATGCGTGCCACTGTACCTCTGTGCCTGGGCAACAGAGCTGTCTCAAAAAAAGAACTAATTGTTTACCAGTTCAAGGTAAATTGAGCAAAATACAAAGTGGTTAAAAAATGAATATATGCAGACTGATTTTGTAATTATTTAGCTGACAATGGCTACTCTTGATCATTTCTGTTTGTCTGTTTCTTTTATATTTAAGTAGCTTCCATAAAGCCTTTGCATAGACAACAATGTAATTTTCTTATTGGATAGCCCTAAAAAATGGCACTAAAAGATTATGTATTACTTTGGCTTTGAATTGTGAAACAAAGCAGTAAGAAATACTTGCCCCAATAGTTGCTTACTAACATAGCATACCAACTATGATAGGGATCCACAGCATCATTGTATATTTCCCCACAAGCAAATCATTACACAATGGAAGGCTGCTACACCCTTAGGGACTTGCCATTGTTTGCAACAATATGGTGGGCATCACACATTTAAATATTGCAAAACCAGGGCTAGGCGTGGTGGCTCACGCCTGTAATCCTAGCACTTTGGGAAGCCAAGGTGGGCAGATCACCTGAGGTCAGGAGTTCAAGACCAGCCTGGCCAACATGGCGACACTCCATCTCTACTAAAAATACAAAAATTAGCCAGGCGTGGTGGCACGTGCCTGTAATCCCAGGTACTCGGGAGGCTGAGGCAGGAGAATCACTTGAACCTGGGAGGCAGGGGTTGCAGTGAGCCAAGATCACACCACTGTACTCCAGCCTGGGCAACAGAGTGAGACTCTGTCTCAAAAAAATAAAAATAATAAATAAATTTTGCAAAACCAGAAATCTGAGGCCCGATATTAACTTTCAACTAATTTGTCATTTTGGCTAAATTATTTGCAAATACTAGCTTATCTATTGCTAGACAGTGAGCAAATTCTATTCTCCTAATCCTACACTACCTCTGAAACCTCTTCTTTCATATGTGTAAATTAAGTTTGATAGCTTTCCTGAAAACAGGAAATTGTTCAAAAGACTTAATTTTTTCTTTCCTGTCATAAAAAGTGTAATAGCTCAAGCTTCAGAGGCGAGAGCTGGGGAACGGTGGAATGAGAACCAAGAAAGACAACGACATTTTCTCTCAAACTGTCTACTTCAGACAACCTTATTCCAGATATGAGCACAAACTGGACTCGCTGCTAGCTCACAGCCTCTATTGTAAGCATAAGAAAGAGCAGAAATAAGACAAATATGCATTGTGCCTTAAATGCAAAGGAAGTGGCTGTAACACTAAAAGAATGATTGCCCAGGGGCCAGATTAAATAAAAAATCTAGGAGTTTGGAATATCTCAAATCATCTATGAAGTACAGAAAATATTTTGTTATTGTGACACAACAGCCTCTCTTCTAAAAGGAAAATAAACTTCAGGAAATTGAACTTCAAAGATGCCACTGTTTCAGTCATCAAAATTGGACATACCGTACTGTGTATTTTAAAGGAATAGTGCCCCCGTGTGGTTTTTGACAAGATTTCAGAAAATGTTCAGCGTTGTCTCAGAAGTCACAGTTACACTTGTTATACAAGAAACAGTGAATTTTTCTTGTGTGGATTTATTTTTAAATGTGATTACAGATGTGTTTGCAGTATAGTAGAAAAACGTCAGAGCTGTGAAGAGCTGTGTTTGCAGCGGGAGGGTTGCTCCATCTATCTCCGTGTTTAGTAAAGAGGATGTGAGAACAGGACGTGCACAGGGCGCCCCCTGCAGGTGCTGATGCAGCCGACACCTCTGGAGGCGCAGGGCCGAGGCCACCACAAGTCACTTGGCATGAATGTCCACAGAGCTTCCTAGGAGCTACCAGAAGTGAACCACATCTCCCCTCTTACCTGCAGTGGGTTCACACACTCTGCCTTTTCTCGTTGTTGTGAACAAACTGACCAAATCCCTTACAGACCGGCCCTTCCACTCGAGCACTGGATCTTACTCCAGGACAGGGCCCCAGCAATTTTCCTCCTTCCCTCCTGAATCTTCAGCGTCTTCCTTTCCACTGGACTGTTTCCATCAGCGTCAACATATAAACATGCTATCATATTAATAAAAACCCTCTCTGGGCTCCACTTCTCTAGTCCCTTTTTTTTTTTTTCTTCTTCTTTGAGACAGGTTCTCGCTCTGTCACCCAGGCTGGAGTGCAGTGGTGCCATCTCTGCTCACTGCAACCTCTGCCTCCTGGGCTCAAGCGATTCTCATGCCTCAGCCCCCTGAATAGCTGGGAATACAGGTGCATGCCACCACGCGCAGCTAATTTTTGTACTTTTAGCAGAGATGAGGTTTCTCCATGTTGGCCGGGCTCGAACTCCTGACCTCAGGTGATCTGCCTGCCTCGGCCTCCCAAAGTGCTGAGATTACAGCCATGAGCCACTGCACTCGGCCTCCACTCCCTTTTACTGCTATAGTACCTAGAAGAATTGTCCATATTAACTGACTCTAACTTCAATCTTTCCATTCTCTCTTGAACCCATTCCAATAAGGCTTTTCTGCTCACTACTCCAGACCAAAACTGGTCTTACTGAGGTCACCAATGGTATCCATATTGTTAAGTCCATTGGGGAATCTTGGGCTCATCTAACTTGACCCATTGACAGCATTTGACACAATTATCTTTCTTTTTTTTTTTTGATACGGAGTTTCACTCTGTCACCCAGGCTGGAGTGCAGTGGTGTAATCTCAGCTCACTGCAACCTCCACCTCCTGGGTTCAAGCGATTCTTCTACCCCAGCCTCCTCAGTAGCTGGGATTACAGGCACATGCCACCATGCCCGGCTAATTTTCGTATTTTTAGTAGAGACAGGGTCCACGTTGGCCAGGCTGGTCTCAAACTCCTGGCCTCAGGTGGTCCGCCCACCTCAGCCTCCCAAAGTGTTGAGATTACAGGCGTGAGCCAGGGCTCCCAGCCACATTCCTCCTTTCTTAGAATCATTTCTTCTGTTGGCTTTCAGGCACCTCCTCCCATTTTTCTGGCCACTCCTTCATCTCCTTTGTATTGTTTCAGCAAATATCTACTGAGAGCCTCTGACTGCCTGGGGCAGTTCTCAGCTGTGGAAATTGGATGCTGAACAAATCAAAGAGCTTACAATCTAGCAGAAGAAACTGTAATTAGATAGATTTTAAATATAAAATCAGGTATTCACAAGTTATGGTCAGGAAAGCCTCCCTGAGTTTTCAAGCTCCTCCCCTGCCACCTCCCCTCCTGACTCACACCAAGGGAAGTGACAGGAAAGCCATGTGCTACCTCTTTGGCTCCAGTGGGAAGCTCAAACCACACAAGCTTTGGCCCCAGCCCAAACCACTGACCACCATAAAAGCCAAAGCCGAGGCGGGCGGATCACGAGGTCAGGAGATCGAGACCAGCCTGACCCACACGGTGAAACCCAGTCTCTACTAAAAATACAAAAATTACCTGGGCTTGGTGGCGCACGCCTATAATTCCAGCTACTCAGGAGGCTGAGGCAGGAGAATCGCTTGAACCCGGGAGGCGGAGGTTGCAGTGAGTCGAGATTGTTGCCACTGCACTCCAGCCCGGGCGACAGAGTGAGACTCCGTCTCAAAAAAAAAAAAAAAAAAAAAAAAGCCAAAGCCAGTTGCCCTTGAGGCTCTCAAGCCATTTTCTAACCTGCCTGAGAGCCTGCCCAGCTCTCCTCAGAGAGCTTCGATTTGTGAGTAACAGATCTTTTTATACCTTCTTAGTGCACAGGTGGCACCCTCAGCCTCAATATCACAACTAAATTTTAGGTCAGAGGTTGACACCTGCTCCCTTCTACAAGGGCAATCACAAGACAAGGATCGCCTGAGCAGAAACCTAATCAAATGAGGGGATGAGGGAAGAGCAAAGAGGGCATGACCTACAATCCCCTCTAAACTCAAAGCAACAATTTAGGACTGGGAACCCCAGGAATTCAGATGATGGATACTGAACCAAAGGGTTGTGGATTTGTTCATGATTACTGCCATCTCCAGACCAGCAAAGGACACAACTGGGAAAAGCTGCACTACAAAATTTAAATTACCTAAAATATGGAAGTGGAACATGAACAAGTACTTCATCAGGGCCCAGATTTACATGTGCCCCGAATGAGTCAACATGAATTCTCCCGACACCCACTGATACCTTCGTGTGTAACAGCACAAGCCTAACTAGTTCTACTGTAGCCTGTGGACAAATCTCTCCATAACTGCACCTTTCAATACTTAACCTATATGATTTCTAGATAATGATATAATCATGTAATCATGTTATCACAATGATTATATATAACCATATCATTTAAATTTGTCTTTCTGCGAAAGAAGAAGGGAGTATTATTTTAATTTGTTTTCCTTGGAATCTGACCAAGGCTGAGACCAAATGAGCAATCTGTTGGTCAAAAACATTTCATTTATAACCACGTGGTGAACAGCTTGCAGTGAGATTTGGGAGAGTCACAAGGAAAGGAGGAGCAGATCCTTGCATACAGTGTTTAAAATCTAATAAGCAACAAGGAGCTCACACAAGTGGGTATTAGCCAAAACATGATAAATATATACAAATGCTCCAGCTATTTTTGTTGTGTACAAGTGCTAGGGATGGAAAACTAAAGAAAGTATTTGTCCAAGAAAGCTTCATAAAGGATGGCACTTCTGAGTAGCTTTGAAGAAGAAAAATCCAAGTAGCTTGGGAAGACATTCCATCCAGAAGAAATGGATTAAGGCCAAGAAGATAGAGTGTGTTGGTGACATGGAAACAAAGGCATGTTATGGACTGAACTGTGTCCCCTGACAAATTCATATGTTAAAGACCTAACCTCCAATATGATGGTATTTGAATGTATTTGGGAGGTAATTAGATTTAGATGAGGTCATGAGGGTCTTATAAGGACACTAATCCCATGATGAGATTAGGGTTCTTATAAGAAAAGAAAGAGCCCAGGGCTAGGCGTGGTGGCTCACGCCTGTAATCCCAGCACTTTGGGAGGCTGAGGTGGGCGGATCACGAGGTCAGGAGTTCGAGACCAGCCTGGCCAACATGGTGAAGCCCCGTCTCTACTAAAAATACAAAAAATTAGCCAGGTGTGGTGTTGTGCACCTGTAATCCCAGCTACTCAGGAGGTTGAGGCAGGAGAATTGCTTGAACCCAGGAGGCAGAGGTTGCAGTGAGCCAAGACCACGCCACTGCACTCTAGCCTGGGCAACAGAGCGAGACTCGATCTCAAAAAAAAAAAAAAAAAAGAAAAGAAAAGAAAAGAAAAGAAAAGAAAGAGCCCAGAGTTTGCTCTCTCTGCCACATGAAGACACAGCAGGAAGACAACCACCTGCAGATTAGGAAGAGGGTCTGCTATGGTCTGAATGTTTGTGTCCCCTCAAAATTCACAGACTGAAATCCTAACCCCCACGGTGATGGTATTAGGAGGTGGGGCCTTTAGGAGGTGCTTAGGGCATGAGGGCAGAGCCTCATGAAAGTGATTAGTGCCTTAATGAAAGAAGCCCTGGATTGACCCCTTGCCCCTTCTACCATTTGAGGACACAGTGAGAAGAAGGCACCATCCATGAACCAGAACGTTGGCCTTTGGCAGACACCAAATCTACCAACACCTTGATCTCGGACTTCCCAGCCTCTAGAACTGTGAGAAATAAATTCCTGTTGTTTAAGCCACCTGGTCTACAGTATTTTGTTGTGGCATCCTGAGCTGACTAATACAGTCATGCATCATGATAACAAGAAAAGAGCAAATTACACAAACAGGTGCACTGAGTAGAGAATGCTGAAGTGCAAATTCAAGAAGCCTCATTTTCTTTTTGAGGCAATTGTGAGCACTCTTACCTTCTTTTTTTTTTCTGATTACATTTCTACTCTTCACTTTATTCACTATTTAGTTGCTTCTAAAATAGTTTGAGGATTATATTAACACAGTCTTGAAAAAATAAAATTCACACATAGTCAAATAACACTGTAGGACATGTTTGTTAAGACAAAAGAAACACAACATTGAAAATACTTGGACATTTTTCATGCTTATAAGACACTAGATTTATGTTTACATTTTTTCATCAATATTAATAGTATAATTCACTATGTATAGATGAAATTTTACACAAGATCATCATTAATTTTTACAGATATGATCTCATAATTTTAGAAAATTTTGTTTCCATTGTTATTGAAAAGAATTTTATGTATTTATTTATTTTTCTTATACTTTAAGTTCTAGGGTACATGTGCACAACGTGCAGGTTTGTTACATATGTATACATGTGCCATGTTGGTGTGCTGCACCCATTAACTTGTCATTTACATTAGGTATATCTCCTAATGCTATCCCTCCCCACTTGACAGGCCCCAGTGTGTGATGTTCCCCTTCCTGTGTCCAAGTGTTCTCATTGTTCAATTCCCACCTATGAGTGAGAACATGCAGTGTTTGGTTTTCTGTCCCTGCAATAGTTTGCTGAGAATGATGGTTTCCAGCTGCCTCCATGTCCCTACAAAGGACGTGAACTCATCCTTTTTTATGGCTGCATAGTATTCCATGGTGTATATGTGCCACATTTTCTTAATCCAGTTGGAACCAACCCAAATGTCCATCAATGATAGACTGGATTAAGAAAATGTGGCACTCTCACCTTCTAAAATTGATACTGATGTCAAGCAAGGTTGGGGAAAGATGATTCATTCACTGCACAGCCTCAGCCCTGGGCAGAAAACACAGCAGTAACAGGGAAGTGGATACAAGCAGTCCAGGAGAAAGGGTACTTGGGGTAGACAGGCGGTATTGCCACGGGACTAGCAAGATATTTTACAGATGAAGAAATAACAATTTACAGAGAAACTTCCTTCCAGAAAGAAAAAGAGGAACCAAGAGAAGAATGACCATCATCCTGATGTGCCCAGAACTCTTTCAGTTTTAGCACCTAATATTGTACATCCTGGGAAACCCCTCAGTCCCCAGGACTGTTGGTCACCCCACAAAGGACACTTCACAAATTATTAAATCTGAACAAGTAACAGGTACAAGATATTATGATGATGACTTAATGACCGAATAAGACTCTGAGGGTAAATCAAGATTTAAATTGCAGTTACGTGTTATACAATGCATGTAGTTCAGGCTGGTAGGAGGACCTTCCAGAAACTGGAAACATGGGACTCTGAGGATGAGAGAGCACACGCAGGTGAGCGGAGACTTCTTCTCCTCCTAATATCCCACTGTTGACGGGTGCTGTGTTATCTGTACTGTGGCCCCTCTGCAGCACAACCTGAGGGAGGAAGGCAGGTCAGACACAGCCAGGGGCTTGCTCAAAGGCCTGGGACCAGGCAGAGGAGGATCCACAGATGGAGCTCAGGTCTCCTCATCCTTAATCCTAGGCTTTCTCCCCTGCCCATCAGCCCCTCCCGGCCGCCATTAATCCTCGGATTTCAGAGTCCTGATGGCCTCTAAGGAGTGAGAGGACAGTCAGCAGGGTCTCTGCTAGACCCTGAAGAGAGACCTGGAGTTAATGGTAGAGAACTAGGCAACAGGAAAAAGAGGAGGTTTTAAAAATTATCCATATTTTTGAAAACTGATATTTTCCTCCATTACTAGAAAACTGCCCTTTCTGTTGGCATTAGGCTCTCTAAAAGGGAAGCACCGTGCTGACAGTCTTGCCAAGCCAAGGGTGAAAGCCTCACAGCCCGTGGCTTGCTTGAACGAAGGCTCCATCAGGGGACAGCAAACTCCCTCATTTCATATTCAGGCAAGAGCGGAGAGCAACAGAGCCTTGATGATTCGAGTGTCTGGATCCTTCTATAGTGTGGGGAAAGGATGTGGCAAATAGAGAGAGAGAAAAAAGGAATAGGAGGCACATGACCAAGTCTGATTTTTTCAGACCTTCTGTTAAAACTGCCCCACAGATGGCTTCAAAATATAGAACCAGAGACTGTGGAGAGCTGGAAGGAATCCCCTTCCCCCCGTCCATTATCTTTGCTCCACGGATAAGAAATTGGCCTGAGAAGGGAAGGGACTGACCCAGGCCACACAGCCAGGAAGGGGCAACAGCCATGTCTCCTGACTCTCAGTGTAACATTTTTTCCCCTAAAATACATTGGACCAAAATCTACTTAGCAGCCCATGGAAATGAACAAGTAAATTGTTAACTTGCTACTAATTTTAGCTATCAACTATTGATGGTGGCACATCTAACTCAGTCGGTCATGATTTTAAGAAAGCCACAATTAATTACAAATTCCTTAAAAAACACAAATAGAGACTATGGTTTAACCATATATTACCGAGACATTTTAATACAACTTTATTTTTAATAATAGGGAATTCAAAAAAATCTAAATGCTTTTTTGCTTAATGCATTTTCTCTCTCCAAAGAAAGTCTCAATATACTTTATATGTTTCCATCTTAAAAAGATTTTTTAGGCAGGGTGTGGTGGCTCATGCCTATAATCTCAGCACTTTGGGAGGTTGAGGCAGGAAGATTACTTCAAGACCACCCAGGGCAATATAGTGAGACCCCCCATCTCTACAAAAACAAAAAAATTAGCTGGGTATGTTGGCATACGCCTATAGTCCTGGCTACTCAGGAGACTGAGGCAAGAGAATTGATTAAGCCCTGGAGTTCAAGGCTGCAGTGAGCTATGATTATGCCACTGCACTCCAGCCCGGGCAATAGAGCAAGACCCTGTCTCTTAAAAAAAAAATAAATAAATAAAAAGGTAGAAAAATGAACTAGTTTGGTGTAGACAGGTTCCCCTGCAGAGGTTCTGCTTCAGGCCTAAGTGAGGCAGTGGCAGCCAGGCAAGGCCCTGGAGAACAGCATGCCAAACAAGAGGAACAGACAGGGCCAAGGTCCCCAGGTGGGGAAGGGACTGGCATGCTTGAGAGCAGAAAGAAGACCCAGGCGGCTGGTTAAATAATGAATGAGGAGAAGCGGGGTGGGGGAATGAGGATGAAGAGGCATGCTTACACGTTTTTACAAAAGGGCAGCTTTTGACTTGCTGAAGCAAATGAAATGCTTCCATTAAATCCCCGCTTGGTGGTGTAGACGGGCTGCCACCACCTCTCTGAAGTGACTGAAAACAACAGGGAGGGGACTGAGGGGATGCGACCAGCATCCTAGAAGAGCAACTTCAGACTCCCTCCTTCAACTCCAGCAGCCACAGTTGCTTAGATACCCTTGTAGTTCAGGTCTCCTGAGGTCTCCACATGGCTTCCAGCTGCCTTTCTAGCACGTGAAGATCCTACCCTATCATCCTCTGCCATTTAAGGCGAGAGGCAGATTCACTGTGATCTGGGTAAATACCATTTCCAAAAAGGAAACCGGCACCCAAACCTCCCATCTTTTTATAAATTCTCCTGCACAGACGGTATAGTCTCAAAGGACGTAGGAGCCAAACTTGGGGAAAAAAAATTTTCTCCCCTATTTAGAAAGTTCTAAATAATCTGACACAACATTCAGCTAGTGGGGGTGTGAGAAAGTGGGAAGGAGGACTTTAAGGCCAAAGTCACATGAAATAAAGAGAAAAATGAAAAATGTAAGCTTTTGCCCTTTTGTGAGGACTTCTCTAATTCTCGTGGTATTTCAGATTTCCCTCAATCAAATCATTCACTCCTTCAGTTTGTAGGTAACAGACATTTCCCTTCCTTATTAACAAGATGCAGGTAGTTAGCAACATAATAGAAGCAAGAACTTTGTATTGCTTGGTGTGTCTGGGTCACATACTATTTTTAATTCCTGTCTCCTAACACCTGGGGGGGAAAATTAAGTTCAACAGTTCCTTACACAGGAAAAAAAAGAAATGAGCATTTCTCCCTCACTAACAGGCAGCACTTCCAAATAAAACCTGTCAGGCTTAAGAGCAAGATGGACTCGGAGTGGCTTTCTCCTCATTACTTGTCTCCCAACAGGTCTATTAAATGATCGGAATGCCCAGGGTTGGTACATTTAAATTTCATTTCAAATTAAAATCCCAACAGAAGTCACGTCTTGCAAAGTAGGTCTTAAAAATACTTCTATGCTGGACACATGAGACCTGCAGGGGAAGGAAAAGCAGAGAGTGGATGCAGGTGGCAGTACCTAGTGAACTAAAAGCTCTTGAAGTCTCCATTAGGGCCCTCACACAGGGCTCTGGTGAAGGGTGATAACAAGGAAGGGACCAGGCCACACAGCAGGGGAACTGAGAGCAAGGACAACGCTTATCCTGCAAGAGCAAGCTAACCTTGCTGCCTGCTCCGGCCTCTCCTTTATTTCAAGCCGTTACCACAAAATGGGCAAGCGGCTTCCCTTGCAGAAAATCCCCCATCATGAAAAGCATCGCATAAATTCCATTCTCACTTAACGATCTGTATATGAATTAGAGAATGTGGGTTTTGTTTTTGTTTTTTGTTTTCCTCTCTAGATGTTTGTAATCCTGCCTTTAAAACACCAGGGGATGGCATCCGATACAGAGTTGCTGCTTTCTACAACAGCACCCCCACAGTGCTCTTTTAAACACACTAACCCCTGGGGTAAGGAAAAAAAATTATGAGGAAAAGTGTTCCCTGGCTTCTTAGTCTCTAATAAGTACTGTGTGGTGCTGCTTCACTGGGATCAACTGGTTTCAACTTTCTATTCTCAGTGGCATCTACAGCAGGCTTGAGGCAGAACAGTTGACCAAAGGAATCGTGAGTGCAGCTGGAGTCCTGGGAAGTCCGCGGCAAAAGTATTGGCAGTGGTTGATCAAGTGGCACCTGCTGTTAAATGAACAAATTCCCCATTTCCAGACCTAATCACAAATTGGCAAGTGCACTTTATAATCCAATGCCCTT